>NC_000018.10:11810299-12110349 GCF_000001405.40 Homo sapiens
GGGAGGATCTCTTGAGCCCAAAGGGGCGGAGGTTGCAGTAAGCCGAGATCGCATCACTGCGCTCCAGCCTGAGTGACAGAGTGAGATCCTGTCTCAAAAAAACCCTTGTTGGTTCCCAATTAGGACACTATCAGCTAATTTTATGGTGTTGGGTGCAAGTACATCTGCCCATTGATAACACAGAGATCACAGGCCTGCACATTGCCTGGCAGGTGTGAGCTGTTGGTCCCAGTGGGGCTGAATATGGCTGGACCAGTCCCAGCTCGTCACCTGGAAAACTCAGCCCGGAGCCTGCAGGGAGGGGCTGTCCAGTGGTGGGTCACTAGCATCCCCTTACCCCACAGAGGATTGAGGCTTGGTTTACAGCATGCAGCCCCTCAGGTACATTTCAGAGCTGCATCTCACGTTGTTTATGGCAGTATTCTGCTACCCCTTTTCTTCCCTGTGGCATATTTTTCCTAGTCATCTGTTGCCCTTCTGTTCCATCCACGCTGGCTATAAGTGCATTGGCCTGGACAAGTCACATTTTCTTGGGCCGTTCCTGAAGGGTCTGAAGGCTGAGAGCAAATCCAGGAATCTGTGGGTGTGGTTGAAGCTCAGTTCTGAATGCAGTGCCCTTGGGCCGCCCCCCACACCCCGCCGTGCTTATGATCTGAGCACAGCCCCTCCTGCAGCTCAGAACCTGTGCCCCCTTCTCTCTTCTGCACCAGGACTTAATGTGGTGCTCTCCACATGCAGGTGTTCTGTAGATGTTTCTAGAATTTCCTTTACTTACCATGTGTTGCTCCCCTGCCCCACCATTGAAATCCGGGCCTTGCCACATTTCCCAAAAGCCACAACGCCACATTCCTGGGTGCCTTCCTTGCACCCAAAGCCGCCAAAGGAGCCTCCTGGACCGTCCCACGGCCCCAGCGCAGCCCTCCCCACGGCTGATCGCCACACTCTTGACTGCCCCACGGCTGTGCTTGTCCTCCCTGACACCACATCCCCGCACCCCCACTCGCTTCTCCTTTGTCTTTCCAGCCTCTTTCACCATGTCCTCCTGCCCCTTGCCCCTCACAGACTCTCCTCCTTTCTGCCCCACCCACCTTCCCCTGTGAGCTGTGAACTGGTCAGTCCTGGCCTTAGCACCAGCCTCTGCCCAGGAATACTGGATTATCCCTTGGACCAGGCGAGGAAACTGTTAAAACTGTTAACTGTCAGCAGTCGGAGCTAAGAACCCACCCACCCCAGCCGGGATTCGAACCCCAGCACTCAGATACCAAAATCTATGCTCAAATTGCCATAAACATTATTTCATGCCTTCTCATTAGAAACGGTGTGTTTTACACTAAAATTTGCCAACAGAAAAATATATTTAATTCTATAGTCACTGTCAGCAAGAATATAGCAAGCCCACCTTTACAGATATTTGCTTTAAATTTAACCTTGTTCCCCCAAAAAAGGAATCTCCTTTCTCCATTTTGCTTCTCAACAGGTAAAACAGAAAGGATACGGAGTGACTAAAAAGACCAAGAATAAGAGTAATACCCTAAAATGTTACATAATTCAAGCTTGATGTTCCAAGGAGAATTTTTGTCAGATAACTTAGAGGCTTGTCTGGAAGCAAAGACTAAAGTCGTGATTCTTTGAATCTTTTTTCCCTGATGAAAATACCTAATTATTTTATTTCTGTTCCCACACAAATAAGTTTCTCTTGTGAGTCTCTTTGGCATGCTGCAAGTGCACAGCTTTCTTAGAGAATTAGGATTTTACAGAGAGAATCTTAGGTCTATGAGTGGGAGTATTGTGAAAAGTCAAAAGCTAAAAAATTAATTTTGTGGGAAAAAAAATACTTGAGGAAAATTCTATGTTCCATCACTGGAGACTCGATTTATTTAATTCTGTACTGTGGGAACTGATTAGTAAAAGTTTATACTTTCCACAGTTGTTTTGTGAGATTATAATTTGGAAATAAAAGATAGCATCCCTAGACAAATCTTCAAGTATCTTTGAAAAAATGAGTAAAAGCAGTAGAAATCCTGCAACTGGCCCTGGGGGGCTATGAAGGTCCCTTGGCTTCATCTTCCTGTACTTGGGAACCTGCAGGGAATTCCGTTTCTGCCCCAGGCCTCAAGGATCTTGAGAGAATTAATATGTGAAATTAGCAAGCTTGCAGGACACAGGAACAAATACAGAGATCAATTGTATTTCTGGGCACTAGAAATGAAAAAAATCTGAAAAATGAAATTTATAAAACATGAACATTAAAAATGACATTCAGGCTGGGCACGGTGGCTCACGCCTGTAATCCCAGCACTTTGGGAGGCCAAGGTGGGTGGATCACCTGAGGTCAGGAGTTCAAGACCAGCCCAGCCAACATGGTGAAACCCTGTCTCTACTAAAAATACAAAAATTAGCTGGGTGTGGTGGCGCATGCCTGTAATCCCAGCTACTCGGGAGGCTGAGGCAAGAGAATCACTTGAACCTGGGAGGCGGAGGTGTAGTGAGCCGAGCTCGCACCACTGCACTCCAGCCTGGGTGACAGAGTGAGACTCCGTCTCAAAAAAAAAAATTAAGAAATAAATAACATCCAAAAAAGTTTACTTGGAAAAAAATTTAACAGCAGATGTAAAAAATCTATATGCTGAAAACTACAAAACATTATTGAGATAATTTAAATAAGATGTAAGTAGGCCAGGTGTGGTGGCTCATACCTGTAATCCCAGCACTTTGGGAGGCCAAGGCAGGCAGATCACGAGGTCAGGAGTTCGAGACCAGCCTGGCCAACATGCTGAAACCCCATCTCTATTAACGATACAACAAATTAGTCGAGCATGGTGGCACACACCTGTAATCCCAGCTACTCAGGAGGCTGAGGCAGGAGAATTGGTGGAACCCGGGAGGTGGAGGTTGCAGTGAGCCGAGATCGCTCTATTGCACTCCAGCTCTGGCGACAGGGTGAGACTCCATCTTAAAAAAAAGAAAAAAAGACATAAGTAGAGAAATAACATGTTCAATTATGTTCATGGATTACACAACCATTAACTGCCATTAAGGTGGCAGTTCTTCTCAAGTGACCCATAGATTCAATGTAATCCCAATCAAAATACCAACAGGCTTTTTTATAAAAATTGACAAGCTAATGCTAAAATTTATGCAAAAATTCAAAAGACTTAGAGGCTTGTCTGGAAGCAAAGACTAAAGTCGTGATTCTTCGAATCTTTTTTCCCTGATAAAAATACCTAATTATTTTATTAGAATAGCCGAAACAATGTTAGAAAAGGAGAACAAAGTTGGAGAAGTTAGAACTGCCTAATTTGAAGACTTACTAGAAAGCCACAATAATCAAGACAGTATAGTGCTAGCATGAGGAGAGAGCTAGAGATCAGTGGAACAGAATTGAGAATTCAGAAATAGATCCACCTTCATATGGTCCATTTTAAGAGAGATGTCAAGCGCAGTGGCATGTGCCTGTGGTCCCAGCTACTCAGGAGGCTGACATGGGAGGGTGGCTTGAGCCCAGGAGGTCGAGGCTGCAGTGAGCTGTGATTGCACCACTGCACTCCAGCCTGGGGAACAGAGCAAGACCCTGTGTCTAAAACAAATTTAAAAATTAAAAAAAAATTTTAACAGAGAGCCAGAGATACTAAGGATTCAAGGAGAAAGGATAGTCTTTTCTCTAAATGTTCAGGAGAAGCTGGATATCCCTATGGAAAAAAAGTGAATATTGACCCTTTCCTTACACCATACCCAAAAACTAATTTGCATGGATCATAGGCCTAAATGTAAGAGCTGAAAACTATAAACTTTAAGAAAAAAAATGGAAGAAATATTTTTTACTAAGTGGTAGGCAAATATTTCTTTGATAGAACACAAAAAAAGGATAAACTCTAAAAGAAAAAAATGGATTAATTGGACATCAGAATTTAAAACTTTGTTCATCAGGCACAGAAAAACACTGGGCCGGGCACGGTGGCTCATGCCTGGAATCCCAACACTTTGGGAGGCTGAGGTGGGTGGATCATCTGAGAACAGGAGTTCGAGACCAGTCTGACCAACGTGGTGAAACCCCGTCTCTATCAAAAATACAAAAAATATTAGCCAGGCATTGTGGCAGGTGCCTGTAATCCCAGCTACTTGGGAGGCTGAGGCAGGGGAATTGCTTGAACCTGGGAGACAGATGTTGCAGTGACCAGAGATCATTCCATTGCACTCCAGCCTGGGCGACAGAGCAAGACTCTGTCTCAGAAAAGAAAAGAAAAAGAAAAAAAATGAAAAACAAAACACCATATGGTCTCATCATATATGGAGTCTTAAAAAGTTGCTCTTGGCCAGGTGCCACTAGTGGCTCACACCTGTAATCCCAGCACTTTGGAAGGCCAAAGCAGGTGGATCACTTGAGGTCAGGAGTTGGGGACCAGCCTGACCAACATGGCGAAACGCTGTCTATACTAAAAATACAAAATTAACTGGGCATGGGGTGGCACATGCCTGTAATACCAGCTACTTGGGAGGCTAAGGCAGGAGAATCACTTGAATTCGGGAAACAGAGGTTTCAGTGAACCGAGATCACGCCACTGCACTCCATCCTGGGCAATAAGAGTGAAACTCCATCTCAAAAAAAAAAAAAAAAAGTTGATTTCATAGAAGTAGAGAGTAGAAGTGGTTACCAGAGGTTGGAGAGGGGAAAGTAGAGGAGAGGGAATTGGAAGAAGCTGATCAATGGGTACAGAGTTACAGTTAGACATGAAGAATAAGTTTGGGCATTCTATTACACAGTAGAGTGACTATAGCAAATAATAATGTAGTGTATATTTCAAGTTAGCCAGAAGAGCAGACTTGGAATATTATCACCCCAGAGAAATGATAAATATTTAAAGTGATAGATATAGTAGTTACCCAGATTTGATCATTATACTATGTATATACTCATTGAAGCACCACATTATACCCCATAAATATGAAGTTATTATGTGTCAATTATGTATTAGTCCATTCTCTATATATTTCTTTATAGTCACTGCTATAAAGAAATAGCTGAGACTGTGTAATTTATGAAGAAAAGAGGTTTAATTGACTCATAGTTCTGCAGGCTGTACAGGAAGCAAAGCGGCTTCTGCTTCTGGGGAGGCCTCAGGAAACTTAGAATCATGGCAGAAGGCAAAGGAGAAGCAGACATGTCTTACCTGGCCACAGCAGGAGAAAGAGAGAAGCGGGGAGATGCTACACACTTTTAAACAAGCAGCTCTCACGAGCACTAAGTCACCGAGGGGGAAGTCTGCCTCCATGATCCAGTCACCTCCCACCAGGCCCCACCTCCAACATTGGGGATTACAATTCAACATGAGATTTAGGCTAAGATACAGTTCCAAACCATAGCAGATTATATATTTTTAAATGTTTTAAATAAAAAAATAAACTTTGCTCATCAAAAAATACTTAAGAAAAATAAAATGCGAATTTGGGAAAAAATATTTGCAAAACCTATAGCTGATAAAGGATTTTAATCCAGATTATTTGTTGTAATCTCTTACTTTTATTTTTAAAAAACTCAATAATAAGAAAACAATTGTTGAGCCAACAGTTTCATAAAAGATAGCCAACGTAATTCATCATTAGGGAAATGCAAATTAAAACCACAACGAGATACCACTACATGCCCACTAGAATAATTAAAATTAAGAAAATGAAGCCAAGCACTGGTGAGGATGTGCAATACTAGAACCCCTAAACATTGCCCTTGACAATGCAAAATGGTGCAACCACCATGGAAAACAATTTGACAATTTTTAAAACTTAAACGTTCACTTACCATAAAACCCTGCAATTCCCATCCTGCCCAAAAGAAATAAAAATAAATGTCCATACTAAGACTTTTACACAAATAGTCCTAGTAGCACTATTCACAATAGTCAAAAACTGGAAATAACCCAAGTGCCCACCAGCTGGTGAATGGATAAATAAAACATGATATATCCATAAAATGGAATAGAACTCAGCAATTTTTTTATTTTTTATTTATTTAATTTTTTTGAGACCGAGTCTTGCTCTGTCACCCAGGCTGGAGTGCAGTAGCACAATCTCAGCTCACTGCAGCCTCTGCCTCCCGGGTTCAAGCGATTCTCCTGCCTCAGCCTCCTAAGTAGCTGGGACTACAGGCGCCCGCCACCACACCCAGCTAATTTTTTTGTATTTTTATTAGAGACGGGGTTTCACCATTTTAGTCAGGATGGTCTCGATCTCCTTTCATGATCCACCTGCCTCGGGCTCCCAAAGTGCTGGGATTATAGGCATGAGCCACCGTACCCGGCCACTCTAATTTTTTTTAAAAAGGCCAGCCTGGCCAACACGGTGAAACCCTGTCTCTACTAAAAATACAAAAATTAGCTGGATCTGATGGTGGGCACCTGTAATCCCAGCTACTGGGGAGGCTGAGGCAGGAGAATCTCTTGAACCTGGGAGGCGGAGGTTGCAGTGAGCCAAGATCGTGCCACTGCACTCCAACCTGGGCGACAGAGTGAGACGCTGTCTCGAAAGAAAAAAAAAAAAAAGGAACAAACTGTTAATGTACGTAACAAAATGGATGAATTTCAAAAATGTGCTAAGTGAAAGAAGCCAGTCAGAAAAGACTATGGTTTTATTTACATGAAGTTTCTAGAAAAGGCAAAACTATAGAGACAGAAGGAACTGAGTGGTGGTTGGGGCCTGGGGTGGTGGCACGGCTTGGCTCCAAAGGAGGATGAGGCACCTTTCGTGTGATAGAGGAATTCTAAAACCTGGGTGTTGGTGGTTGCATGACTTTATAAATGGATGAATTTATGGCATATATAGTATACTCAAAAAGTTGTTTAAACATGACACTAATAATAATTGAAGTAGGCTAAGTCCTAAGGGAAAAATAGATGTGTGGGGTATATTGCAAATTTGTACTTGTCCTCACTGGTCTCTTATACCCAAGGAACTGCTATTGAGCAGAGAACAGGGAAGCTAGCCAGCCTCAGAGCATGCTTTTGAATCCAGGTTTGACCACTTCCTAGTTAAGTGAACTTAAGCAGTTTTATGAAGTATTCTCGATGGTTCTCATGTTGTCATTGAATTACCTGCACAGCAGGATTGTTTGAGACAGATAGACCTTATACCTAGGCTCTCAGAACATTGCCTGGGCACTCGGTAAATGCTAAGGTAAACGTTAACCTCATGCAGTTGCTTAGTTGTTGAACTTGTTGCCTGTGGCGATCACGCTTCTTGCTAGGAAAGATGCTTTCCCCTCAGGAACTGCAAAGGCTTTTAATTGGCTTGTTTTCGTGTAGTTTTCTTTTTGTTTGGTTGTGTTTTTTGAGACAGATTTCTTGCTCTGTCGCCCAGGCTGGAGTTCTCTGCTCACTGCAACCTCCACCTCCCAGGTTCCAGTGATCTCCTGTCTCAGCCTCTTGAGTAGCTGGGATTGCAGGTGCGTGCCACAACACCGGGCTAATTTTTGTATTTTTAGTAGAGACGGGCTTCCACCATGTTGGCCAGGCTGGTCTCGAACTCCTGGGCTCTGGTGATCCGCCCGCCTCAGCCTCCCAAAGTGTCGGTATTACAGGCGTGAGCCACCGCGCACAACCCATTTGTGAAGTTTTTTTTAACGTGGTTTCTGAAAACTGTTCCTCAATAGAATTTTAGATATACTGGCCAGGCACTATGCCTCATGCCTGTAATCCCAGCACTTTGGGAGGCTGAGACGGGCGGATCACTTGAGGCCAGCCTGGCCAATGTGGCAAAACCCCATCTGTACTAAAAATTAAAAAAAAAAAAAAAAATTAGCCGGGTGTGGTGGCTCCTGCCTGTAGTCTCAGCTAGTCAGGAGGCTGAGGCACGAGAATGGCTTGAACCCAGGAGGCAGAGGAGAATTTTAGATAAACTGTGTAACATTAAATTTCAGGATGGACAGAAATTATACATAACAAAATCATAGTGTTATAACACTGTAAAATAACAAAATAACAGATCCAGACTTTTAACTTGATATTCACCAGATACCTGAAAAAAGAAACAACGGATACCTACTAGCTCATTCTGTTATCCAAGGGATAAAATTGAGTAGGTGTATTTTAAATGTATCAGACCTAAACTCGAGTTTTAAAAAATTCAATTTAAGTGGTTACTGTCCTGAAACTGCCTGTTTCTAAGGCTCATGTGATTACAGTGGTGGACATTATTCACTAGGTTCCCGTAAAAGGTTACATTAAACAACTTAAACGACTGTGTGTGCTTCCACTTGGTCCAGAAAGGATTTAGTGCTGCTCACAAAGTTACAATACAAGTTAATAAAGCAACTGAAAATGTGGGAGGATGAAGGCAGGAACGGGGAGAGTGAGTTTTGTGGAACCGCAGTGAAGTTACTGCTCAGTGTGTCTGACCGAGGCTTTCACACGTGCCGGGACGCACCCTGAAACTTGGTTTCTAAGCTTTCACACAGTGAACTCAGTGACGTAAATGAAAGCAGTAGGAAAGTCACAGGATCCACAGATTAAAAATGAATAATAAAATGTAAAAAGCAGTTGCTTGAGAAATGCAAGAGTATTCCCGACACTAAAATTAGAAGTATTTTTCATAAGTCACCCTAGAAAGAATATTGTGCGAATGTTGGGAACATTTTCACACTCAACCCAGGGATGTGGTCCACCAGCCCACAGGGCAGGGCTCAGTGTGGACCACCGGCCACCCCCAGCATGGCGAGTGGGAGCAGGGCGGCCTGACCCCACAGCCGCCAGACAGACGGCACCACACTCACGTCAAGTGATGGGAAATAGCTCTTTGATTTTTATTTCAAAATGAAAAATGTATCCCAAATGTCAGTGTAACCAAAAAGTCATTTGACTGTGTTATATTAGCACAGAAATTATGCAAGAAATGTTATTCTTACACTTCTTATTGTCATCTGTTTGTTTGCATTTTAAAGTAATTAAGAAGAATTTAAAAGCAAAAAACTTTCTTTTACTCATCTGAGAATTTCATGTTATCTTTGAGTATACTTTCAATATAAAGGTAGTCGTAGATAGCAGTATCAGAAGGAAAATGTTGTCAATATGAAATAGAGTCATTACATACTTTAATTTTTTAAACTTTAGTTTAAATGTTGATTTAAAAATCAAAATTGTACTTCAAAATTTTAAAGCCTTGCTTTTAAAAAATAGGTTTAAACTTGGTATCATTATTTTTATTTTATATAACTGAAATCCCTTTGAATATAAATAACAAATATTCACATATATCAGTTGCTGAACATAATGAAGATCACATGGCAATTCTCATATTCAGTAATACAGAAAAAATTAAGAAATTTAACTTAGTAATTTTCTTTTTATGCTTTCAGTTTTTATATACCCTCAGATGTCAAAAACAGGTTACATTTTACTGTGAATTACTCTTTTCAGACACATACACACAAAAAAAACCCTGAAATTATTTTTATTTAGTATTATTTATCTTAGTTGCTAATGTAGACATACTAAAATTATTCTTCATATTAATTTCTCCGTTGTTTTTTAAAATGTATGAGATCTATAGGGAAGGAAAAAAACTAGAGCCTGTGAATTAAAATGACAACAGACAACAAGAGAAAAGACATACAAATTTTATTAATGTTTTTAATTTTATATGCACAGGGGCGTCACAGAAAAGAAGTGGAACTTATAAAAAAAAAAGTTAGAGTTGGGAGCTTATATACCATTTTAACAAAGGGTGAGAAATTGTGGAAGAAGTGACTACAAATGAAAGGGGATTTGGGCTCCTAGGGTTGATATAATTGTGAGAAAGGGCTATTTTAGTAAGGTTTGCTTATGCAGACTCATCTTGGTGACAGCTCTCTGTCTCTGCGATAAAGGTCACTCTTATCCTAGTACAGGGTGGGGGATATTTATGCTCTTTTTTAGGCAGAAAGGGGGAGAGCAGACAGCTCTTCTTATATCTGTTGTTTCTCAGTTGCCTTCAGCTCAAAATAATCAATATGCCAGTGTCACATAATTGGGGGTGGCGTATTTTGATCCCTATCAGAATCCTAGCCTAGCTCTGAACAAATGTTTAATTATACCTTAAGAAGCTTCACTGGCTGGCTAAATATTTAATGACTTCGCAGAATCCTTTTCTATGTGTTTATGTATTTTTTAGTTGAGATAATGGTATTACGGCTATTTTTTAAAAGTCTTTATGTTTTAGAAATAATGTTGAAATAACATGATATGCTGCCTTATAAATAAAATATTTGTTTCAAAATAATAAAAGCAGTGTAAAAGTGGATGAGATATGGATGAAAAGAAATTGGCCATGTGTTGATAAATGTGGAACCTGAGTAATGGGTACCTGGAGATTCATTCTCTCTATTTTTATAAGTTTGAAACTTTTCCATGTAAAACATTGAAGTAACAATCACAACAGCAGCCCTGGAATTCACCATGAAGTTTTTAGAACCCTTTAAAAAGTAAATATGTGGAATCATGGGGACTTAGCTGTATGCTAGTCCAACATGTTTACCCATGAGGAAGTTGAAGTGAAGAGAGATTGTTGTCGCTTTTGTGTTTCTTCAGTGTTATCTAAATCACCTACTTAAAAATCACAGTGCCTACAATCCCTGTTTTACTCTTGCTATCAACACATGCTCCAGAAATTCTGTATCTTCATTCTTGGTTCAAGCACTTCTCTGTAATTCTCTCAGGCTTCAGCTCAAACCTAGAGTTTCGTCTCCTATAAAGCAGTTCCAGTCCTCACCAGTGAATCTTACCCAACAACAGGACATTAAGCCTTATCCCATGAACTGAATTTACACTTGGCATCTTTGCAATGTATTTGTGAATCGTGGAAGGACCACAGAAGTTACTGAGCTTTACAGACCTGTGGGAATCCTCATGAGTGTCTTGTGTTGCTTTAACAAGGTACCCTTGTATGAGATCCCCTGTACTTTATCCAGCGAAGAGTGGTTTTTCTAAAATAGTGGTTTTAAAGAAACCCAGTAGAAAACTAAAGAATAGAAGATGATTTAATATATACATAATAAAAGGTGGTAGTATGCATAGTGGTTAAAAACACAGGCAGTGGAATAAGATATTCTGCTATTACCTGCTGTGTGCCCTTGGGTGGATTACTTAACTGATCTGAGCACAATGACAACAGCGACCTCTTCCAGTTTTGTGAGAGTTAAATGCGATCATGTGTTAAAGTACTGTGCACAGTACCCTCGACAAAATAAGAACTACGTAAGAACTATTTTAAATAGGGATTATCATGTGAGTAAGGCCCTTACTGTGACATGCAGGAAATTAACGCAAAATGAGAAAGGGTATTGCGAAGGAAGTGAGAAAACAGCAGAAGCCGAAGCCTGAAGGAATGAGCTGAGGCCTGGGGGCGCTGAGGATCCCAGCCCCGCTGGGCAGGGCCTCCAAGCTGGGGAGCTGCGGGGGTGCACTGTTTGCAGAGGCAGGTGGGGCGGTGATACTGATATTTCTGCAGGAGGGAGCCGGGAGGTCCTTGAGCAGGGGCCCCAGTAAATGCTTCAGAGCTAGAATGTCCTCCCTTTCCAGCTCACCAAGGGCTGAAGCACAAGGGCCTCCCGCCTCCCTGCAGCGCACATCCGCCCTCTGGCGAGGCCAGGCCGGCATCCAGTGTGGCCCGGTGGCCAGAACGCGCCCAGGCCATGGCCGCCGCTCCGTAGGCCTCCGTTTCACGGGTGCTAAGTAAGTCGAAAAGCAAGGGCATCTGATAGGAGCCTCAGTTTCTCCTCCGCCTGCCAGGAGGTCTTGTGCGTGCAGAGCGGCGGATGCGTGTGGCACCGCAGGCGCGGGGCGAGGGCGGCTCCGGAGAGGCCCAGGGGCTTAGCGCGCCTGGCTTTCCACAGCCCGGCTTCGGGCCTACTCAAGATGGGGTTTCTCGGGCGGGGCGTGGTGGGCGCGCCTGTGGAATCACTTGAGCCTGGAGTTCGAGACCAGCCTGGGCAACATTATGAGACCTCCCTTCCCATCCCCCCCACCGCCAAATCTCAAAACAAACAAACGAACAAACAAATTAGCTGGATATTGTGGTACACACCTGTCGTCCCCGCTGCTCGGGAGCCTGAGGGCAGAGGATCGCTTGAGCCTAAGAGTTGGAGACCAGCTTGGGCAACATGGTAAAACCCCGTCTCTAGGAAAATACAAAAATTAGCCAGGCGTGGTGGCACGCGGCTGTAGTCCCAGCTACTTGGGAGGCTGAGGCAGGAGGATTGCTTGAGCTCGGGAGGTCAAGGCTGCAATGAACCCAGATTGCACCACTGCACTCCAGCCTGTGAGAAGGGGCAGAGTGAGACCACGTCTCAAAAAATTAAAGTTAAAAATTAAAAAGATCAATTTCTCAACCCTCTCACTGACCTCTAGCCACATGCCTGTTAGCTCTGGGGTCAGCACCGTGTGGGCTCACTTCCATGGCTGGTTGGGTAGTAGGGTGACCACACGACCGTACCCCACACGGTTTGGAGCCCTTTCTGCCCTGCAGGGCCTGGAGCAATATTGTTTTTCTTTTTTTTTTTCTTTTTTTTTTTTTTTTTTTGACCAAATTTAGATTAATTACTCCAGTCTTGGTCGTTTTTAATTCCATTTGGAAACCTATTATAGTGAATAACTCTTATGTGAACTTTTATAAAATCTGGTGTCTGTGGTTCCTGTGTTTGGATAAATCCAGTTAAATTTGTTTCAATGTAGCATGAGTCTATAGTTTTTATATATCATACGTCTGTCGTGTCCAGAGAAATCAGGTGCCCAGAGCTGGCAACTGGAAGACCCATCACCATGAGGCAGCGATGTCACTCTCTTCATGGCCAACTTGATAACGGCATAATGCAGGATTGATCTTTACACGTGTGTGTGTGTGACGTGTGCGTGTGTATGGACTTGGATGGCTCTTCGAAGGAAATCTTTTTAAGGAAACCTACAAACTCCTTTACTGGGTTAATGGGAGCATCAGAGGAAGATTCCAGAAGGAAACATAAACCTAGGGAGACAAGATGAAAACTGAGAGCTTTAGCCACCCCCTTCAGGGGGAGAATGTCTCTTTTTTTGTCAACTGGGAACCATTTGGGTTTGCTGATAATGGTGACAGACAGATGCAGATATAGACTATGCCATAACTTACAAGATTGTCTCTGATACTGTGAAATCAGAATTGGATTTTCTAAACGCTAATAAAGCCTACACTCTGGGTACCTCACTTCTACTCCCCTTCCAAGGATTTATACCTAATTTTGTATTCATCATTTAGCCTCTGTTTTTTCAAAGAGAGCCTTCCAAATTGTGAGCATTAAACCCCTCACAGTGCTTGGATCCACCTTTGTATGGAATTGTGAGTCCTTAAGAAAAAGTGCCAGTCCTTCTTTTTTTCTCCAAAGAATCTGTGTTGATTCCTAGAAATGTGGCAGCTGATAAGCATGAAGGAGGAGTCGCTGGGACAGGCCATGGAGCCTGAGAACCCTGAAGATCAAAGGCAGGCAAATAACTGCTGTGGGAAGGGCGTGAATTTCCCACAAAGTGTTTTGTGAACATTTACGTAACTTCTTTTGTGTTTTGCTACTAATGTAGTCATTTGCTTCCATAGCCGTTTTGGGTAATATTACCAATATGAACTCATAAGCCGTTCATTTACTTTTGAGATGAAAAATGTTCTTCTTTCAGAGCATCTTGCTTGCCATAATAATAGGTGAAGTTGAGCACAGTGACCTCATGGCTCTGGAATGAACGAAAAATCACAATTCACACTTAACTCCTAGTTTTTTTTAAACGAAAAAAGAAATAAATTATCATCCTCAAAGTGTAATTTTTAAAGTTCCTTTTTTATGTACCTAATATGTCTGGGCCAAATTTAATCCATCTACTCAACCATGTCCATTCCTAATCATAACTCACATAGAAAACGTAAAAGACAGAAGCTAAGACAAAACTTGTCCTTATAATATGCATGTTTTTTTCATGGCTGAGATGGGGGGGGGGTTCAATGAGTTAAGTTACTGAATTCTAAATACTTTAGAATTATGCTGTTAATTGTATTTATAGCTAACATATGGTATTAACTTTGATGTAATTTGCATTTTGGGGGACTTTCCAGAATGATAAAACGATTTTGGGCCAGGCACGGTGGCTCACGCTTGTAATCCAAACACTTTGGGAGGCCGAGGTGGGAGGATCACTTGAGGTCAGGAGTTCGAGACCAGCCTGGTCAACATGGTGAAACCCCGTCTCTACTAAAGATACAAAAATTAGCCAGGCACAGTGGCATGTGCCTGTAATCCCAGTTTCTCGGGAGGCTGAGGCAGGAGAATCGCTTGAACCTGGGAGGCGGAGGTTGCGGTGAACCAAGATGGCACCACTGCACTCCAGCCTGGGTGACAGAGCGAGACTGTGTCTCAAAAAAAAAACAAAAAACTTTTGCAATTTGACTTGAGTAATGATAACATGCATGCATACATTTTTTATCACACTAAACATAGAGTCGGTGCATTTTACTATGCAGACTTCCACAAAGAAAATCTGAATGCTACTTGCAAAAAACAGTTTTTGCAGTTTCTTTTTCCTTTTAACTTTTTAAAAGGTTATTACACTTTTTTTTTTTTAATTTGTAACTCTTTCAAACTTTAGGAATTCTTTGACCATGTGAAAAAACTTTGGGACGATGAAGGCGTGAAGGCATGCTTTGAGAGATCCAACGAATACCAGCTGATTGACTGTGCACAATAGTAAGTTGTGTCCTGTACAAGTTACAGGGCCCTTTGAAGAATATGATTGCATGCATGATTATGCTGCCTTCTCAGTACTGAAGTTTCTTGAGTGCAAGGAATGAATAATTAACCTTTTATGACAGAAATCAACTTTTAAAATGAGACATGTTTAGTAGATGGAAAATTGAAAATCCAGTAAGAATCAATGTTTCTGAGAACCAGAAAGTTTCGTTCATTTTGTCCTGATTGTTTTCAGTTCTCTTCATTTTTTGACTTTTACATAGAGCTATATGCATATTGGTAAGTTAAAGTGAACTTCCATGGTTATTGTTATGTTTTGATTTTGGAGCAGGGGCCTCAAATTATATTTTAAAATAATACGAACCTTGTGATCAAGGTCAGGCTCTTAAAGTAATGTGATCATTCTGTACACATTAGAAGTATACCAGAAGGCTGGGCCCGATGGCTCACACCTGTAATTCCAGCACTTTGGGAGGCCAAGGCAGGCGGATCACCTGAGGTCAGGAGTTCGAGACCAGCCTGGCCAACATGGTGAAACCCCGTCTCTACTAAAAATACAAAAATTAGCTAGGCGTGGTGGTGGGTGCCTGTAATCCCAGCTACTCGGGAGGCTGAGGCAGGAGAATCACTTGAACCTGGGAGGCGGAGGTTGCAGTGAGCTGAGATTGCGCCCTTGCACTCTGGCCTGGGCGACAGATGAGACTCTGTCTCAAAAAAAAAAAAAAAAAAAAGGAAAAGGACACTTGGTGCCAGGGCTGGCTCATTGTTTTTCCCTGAAACACTTACTTTTCCATTTTGTTTTGCTATGTTAGATATATTCTATTGCTATTAGAAAATAATGGTCCTTAGAACAATGTTAAATTATTAAGAAGTTCTAGATATGTTTGCTGTTTTGATAATTAAAAATTGTAGTTGACTAGTTGTTTTATGTAAAGCTGTGGATAGCAAGAAATGAAAAATTTTACATTTTAAATCTCTAAACTCTAAAAATTCATATACATAGAAGAGATTCCATAGCATAAAATCTGGGAATTCATAGTATTTGGAACCAATCAGTGGAGCTGCATTGTGAATGTTGATTTCCAGGAGGGAGTGGTTGTGTTGGCCCAAGCTCCTGCTTACTAGGTTCTACTTCCACTCACCATCCCCCATGGGATGGGCCTGAAGCACCCAGCGAAGCCCAGAGAGCCAGGCTCCAAGGGGCCCATGGCAAGGGCCAGAGGAGGAGGAGGAGCGGGGAGGGGGAAGGAAGAGGAGGAGGAGGAGCGGGGAGGGGGAAGGAAGAGGAGGAGGAGGAGCGGGGAGCGGGAAGGAAGAGGAGGAGGAGGAGCGGGGAGGGGGAAGGAAGAGGAGGAGGAGGAGGAGGAGGAGACACTAAGCATGGCTGGGGAAAGAAAGAGTGCTCATAAAGAAGTGAGGGAGGTCAGTGGGGCCAGACACCCCCAGGGCTGAAGACCACAGCAAGGAACTTGGGTTTTCTTTCAGCTACAGCAACCAGCCATCCCAGCCATAGGCTCCAAGCATGTGGTTGTCAGGGAAAGTAGATTGCAGAAGGCAGAGACCCTGTGGGGTGCCTTGGGTTGGGCTGGGGTAGCCATGCAGGTGAGTGCTGGAAACTGAAGGGCAGAACTAGCTGGTGGACTTAATGAGGAAAGGGATCCAGGAGGGTACAGGGTGAACCACGGTGCCATTTACTGCAAAGGGGACATCTAGGAGACTTAGGGAAGAGATCCAGCTCTGATTTGGAGAAGTTGAGTTTGAGATGCCAAATGGAGAGCCATGTGGAGGCATCGAGCAGTCAGTCTGTTGTCAGAGCCTGGAGCTCGGAAGAGAGGCAGATGGCCCCAGTGTACCGGTCATCAGCTACTGATGGTATGCAGAGCCTGGGAATCCAGAGCACACGAGGAGTGCCCGCAGAGAGGCAAGGGCTCTGGGCCTGAGAAAGTTCAGCTTCAGACAAGGAAGAGCCTCACAGCACATCTGGGAGAGAGGGAGTGCCCAGCAGAGGGCACAGGTCGTCCGGGCCAGATGCTGGAGAGACCCGGAAGGAGGAGGGCTGATGGTCCTAGTAAGATTGTACTTAACCTCCTTCTTACCTTGTCCAAGGACAGGATGTCCCATGCTCAGTCCGCAGGCATGTGGTGAGCGCGCTTGGCAAGGCAAAGTATAGTAAAGCATCGAGAATGGAGCGCACACCTGCTGCAAACACCCTCAGAGGACCGTAGAAAGGGTTAGCCACCTCCATTATACACTAAAGAAAGTATTTACTCATGAAAATTTTTAATTAATGAAAAAAGTATTTAAAATGTCCTGGCCGGGCATGATGGCTCATGCCTGTAATCCCAGCACTTTGGTAGGCCGAGGAGGGTGGATCACCTGAGGTCAGGAGTTCAAGACCAGCCTGGCCAACATGGTGAAAACCTCATCTCTACTAAAAATACAAAAATTAGCCAGGCATGGTGCTGGACACCTGTAATCCCAGCTACTCGGAGGTTGAGGCAGGAGAATCGCTCGAACTTGGGAGGCGGAGGTGGCAGTGAGCCGAGATTGTACACCTGCACTCCAGCCTGAGTGACAGAGCAAGGCTCGTCTCAAAAAAATGAAAATTAAAAAATTAAAAATGTCCTGTTTCCTGCCATGCACGACAAGTCCTTCAAGATTTTCTTTAAATAGCTGGGTGTGGTGGCTCACACCTGTAATCCCAGCACTTTGGGAGGCCGAGATGGGCAGATCACGAGGTCAGGAGATCGAGACCATCCTGGCTAACACAGTGAAACCCCGTCTCTACTAAAAATACAAAAAATTAGCCGGGCGTGGTGGCCGGCACCTGTAGTCCCAGCTACTCTGGAGGCTGAGGCAGGGGAATGGCGTGAACCCGGGAGGCGGAGCTTGCAGTGAGCCGAGATCGCGCCACTGCACTCCAGCCTGGGCGACAGAGCGAGACTCCGTCTCAAGGAAAAAAAAAAAAAAAAAAGATTTTCCTTAAATAATGTTTGTAAATTGGCCCTGCCCTTGAGTTTACATTTGTGAATACAGTTCTGTGGTTGCTCTCATGTTATTTGGTTGCTTTCGGTTTGGATGTGGGAGTTTGGAAAGGCTCTCAGGGGAACTCCAATGCAGTCTGAGCAGCCTTGGGAGGCTTGCAGGTGCTGAAAAGGCCTTTTATCTTTTCCTCTTACTCTCACTCACTCTTTCTGCAATACTTCAATCGTTAAGCAGTCATTTAAGGCACAATAGAAGCTGGGCATGGTGGCACATGCCTGTGGTCCCAGCTACTCAGGAGGCTGAGGTGGGAGGATCCCTTGAGCCCAGGAGTTGGAGGCTGCCGTGAGCTATCATTGTGCCACACACTCCAGCCTGGGCGACAGAGTGAGACCCTGTCTCAAAAATAAAAAGACACAATAGAATTATGTTAAACTCACGTGCTTTAGAGGTGGGAAGAATATACCAGGAAAATGCTAGCAACTGGAATTTCTAAAGCAGTTCTTAATAATATTAAAATTCATACACCTCTGCATTTGAAGCTGTTGTGGAATATGCGTTCTATCATCCTTTTTCAGTATTTCAGTATTTATTGGACAAAGACTGGCCTTGGAGAACACCACAGTTCTGCTCAATGCCACATTAGAAATTTTTCTGTTGTAAAAAAAAAAAATGGACAAGTTATTCCTGCATCACCGTAGTAATAGAATTAATAATTTGATTTAAAATAGAATATGTGAAAATAAATCATGGAAAAAGAAATGGTGTGAGCTTGGCAATAGGCAGATCGGAATTCAGATTCTGGCCCCACCCCCGACCACTGTGTGAGACTTTGGGCAAATTACTTTTATGGGAAAATTAACAGGATCTATTCTCATATGGTTGTGGGATTAAATAAGTAGATATCCAAAGTCCTCAAAATAGTGCCTGGCACTTAGTAAGCACTAGGTAAGTGTTATCTCTTGCTAGAATGTGACTGATACAGAAACTGACACCTAGAGAGGTGCCTACGATCACAGTTACCCAGGAACAGATGAGACCACAGCCAAAATCTGCTATTTCTTTTAGATTTATTCCTTCAAATTACAGAAAGCCACAGATAAAAACTGCCTTGTGAGCGAGGCCCCAGGGCCTCAGGCCAAGACTCCCTTCTAGGCTTGTCAGGAATAAAACACCTTTAGCCAAAGCCTCTGTTTCAGCTTTCTGAACCCTGGGCCTGACAGAATTACAGAAACTGGTTCCCCCTTGAGGCCTCACTATCCTAGGCTAATTGTAACTTCTCCCGTTTAGCTCGTTTCACCCATTTTAATACATACAGGAATCATGTGGAGCAATAACCTTTGCATCCTAATAACTATCTTGTTTTTCCTATAGGGTCAGATTCTGGAATTGAGGGATGAGGGATTTCAAAAACAACTAACATTTCAATAAATCTGTTAGACCAACATAGAGCTGCCAAATTCTTTTACTTTGCCAAATAAGATGTTAGAAAAAATAAAAGCTGCTCCCATCTCCCACCACCGTCACTTCATAAAAGAAAGGACATTTCAAAATCAGGCCAGTAACAGGACATGTCTCAGACCACAGTCTGAGTGCAGTCCTCAGACCACGAGACTCGTGTGTCTTGTTCAGCCTACTAGGTTTTGAATTCCCCAGGGAATGTGTCTCATTCATATTTAAATGCCCAGCTCCTAGGTGGGTGTTCTTGTATAAAGTCAGCGCTCAGTCAACGGGCGCAGTAGCTCACGCCTGTAATCCCAGCACTTTGGGAGGCCGAGGCGGGTAGATCACTTGAGGTCAGGAGTTCGAGACCAACCTGACAAACATGGTGAAACCCCGTCTCTACTAAAAATACAAAAATTTGCTGGGCATGGTGGCACACACCTGTAATTCCAGCTACTCAGGAAGCTGAGGCAGGAGAATTGCTTGAACCTGGGAGGCAGAGGTTTCAGTGAGCTGAAATCCGTGTACTCCAGCCTGGGCAAGAGAGCAAGACTCCATCTCAAAAAATAAATAAGTAAATAAAGTCAGTGCTCAGTCGGTGCTATCTGAAATATGTGAACTGACCAAAAAAGAGCCAGTATTTGATGTGGTATTAACGGAAACAGCCAACCCTCATCTCCTTGACGGGTCCGTACTCACTCGCCTTTCCCCATGCTGATTCCCACTATTCCTGCGTGTTTTCCATTTTCTTTACATCTAAATTGCTCTTGGAAAAGCTCTGACTTAAATCTTGGTGTGACAGTAAGTCACTGTGTCACCTTGCTCAACAGAATTGCATCTTTTTTTTTTTTTTTTTTTTTGAGGCGGAGTTTCGCTCTTGTTGCCCAGGCTGGAGTGCAATGGCACGATCTTGGCTCACCACAACCTCCACCTCCCGGGTTCAAGCGATTCTCCTGCCTCAGCCTCAGAATTGCATCTTGAACCCTAGTGCTTATGAAGAAGGTAATAATTCTAAGACCTCTTAAAGTCATTTATTCCATGGCAGGAGTCATGGGAGTCTTTTGGGCTTCTCAGTGATGCTGAAATTGTTAGGGCCTCAGGAGGCCAGGCTGCCAATTAAGAGAATCCAGTAGTTCCTCAAAAGGTTCAACATCGAATTACCCAGCAATTCCACTCCTAGGTGTAAACCCAAGAGAATTAAAAAC
Organism: Homo sapiens; assembly: GCF_000001405.40. NCBI lineage: Eukaryota > Metazoa > Chordata > Mammalia > Primates > Hominidae > Homo > Homo sapiens. Next base: position 11,830,649 of record NC_000018.10, read on the forward strand.
ATACCTCCATACAAAAACTGGTAGATGGATGTTCATAGCAATATTTGTCATCATAACTAAAAGGTGAAAACAACCGAAATGTTCATCAAATGAAGAATGTATAGACAAAACGTGATACATCCACACAATGGAATATTACTCGGCAATGAAAAGGAATAAAGTGCTGACACATACTACAACATGGATGAACCTTGAAAACATCACACTAAGTGAAAGAAATAAGACACAAAAAAGACACATATTATATGATTACATGTATATGAAATGACCAGAATAGGTAAATCTACAGAGACAGAAGTCAAGTAGTGGTTTCTAGGGAATGGGGAGAGGGGGAACTTAAGAGTGACTGCTAATGGATGATGGAGGGTTTCTCTTTGGGATAATGAGCAAGTTCTGGAATTGGATAGTGGTGATAGTTGCACAATTTTGTGAATATACTGAAACCATGGAATTGCATACATCAAAATGGTGAGTTTTGTCTTATTTGAAATTATAAGTTATGTAAATTATATCTTGATTTAAAAAAAAAATGACAGGAGAGGGAAGAATCCAGGGCAGGAAAGGCAATGGGAGCTCTGTGGTCAGGCCTGGCCATGGGCACGGTCTAGGGGAGGACTCATGTGAAGACAGAGATGCTGCCTTGTCCTTCAGGCCTCCTTGGTGAGTCAGCGGTCCTCTTCTGAAGTACAGGTTAAGGTCAGAATATGTGTTTATAAGGCCTGCTTCTTCATACTTGACCCACCGAAAGTACATGCCCCCACACACTCTCTCCAAGCCTGCAAATATGTGTGCGGATAGGGACCTCCAAAACTGTAAAGCACCCATGAAAAAAGTCTAAGGCTGTGAAGATCTGTGTTGTGCTGCTTGGCATGCAAGGAATGGAAACTTACCAAGTGACTTCAAGAAAAGGGGGGTTTTCTCCTGAGGATCTGGAAGCTGGTATTGAGCCAAAGGCCCTATGGGGAAAAGTATTCTGTTCTTGCCTTCAGGCGTTTCAACTTTGCCATCCCTGTTTACTCCACTCGTACCTTGTCCACTCCGTAATCTGCAGCCCAATTCCAGAGGGAGCAGGGGAGATGGGCTTTGCTAAGGCCAGGCCAATTCTTACCTAGCCTTGTCCCGTCAAACAGGCCCACTGGCCAGTTGCTGGGGCTCACTTGACCCAGTCGGTGGCCATTTGTGTGTCCCTGAGCAGGTGCTGTGGTGAGGCAGGGCCAGCCAGGTGGCACTGAGCAGCTGCAGGACTGATGTGATTGCAGGACTGTGAGAATAATTATTATCACTGAGCCTTAAATACTGTGTTTTCTGTAAAAGTGAGTGTCCTTGAAGCATTGAGCAAGCTGTGCAAATTACCAGAGATTATATTTTATATTGAATTTCCCAGTTCCTACTGTGAAAATTTAAAAACAACCTCTACTGAATTATCCCCCAAAATGCATTTCCTCTAAGTCCTAATACTAAGTGATTATGTAACCATGGAAACGGTTATTTTGGGAGAAAGAAAATCAGAGAGAATTGGATCTTTAGCATAGCTTTATAAAATCGGACTTTGCTTAATGGAACTTTAAACTCCACAGCTCACAGAGTGTAGGTTCTTATGCTCAGTACGACACATGATAAGCTCCTTTAGGGTACATCCATTTCAATAATTGGTTTTTGAATTCTCTAAGGAGAGACACTATCCCAGAAAAAAAGAAAAGAGCAGCGAAAAAAGTCAAGTGATTTTTCTGCTGCAGTCCCAGATCTGTTTTCTGTCATCTTTCAGGAGTTTTCTTGACCCCATTGGCCCTCTTTGGCACTGATTTGATCCTATGGCTGTCAAGTCCTGGAATACTCAGCTTTCAGGACAATCTGGAAATTATTAGCACAAATGAAATTTCAACTTCAAAGTTAATTTTTTGAAGGTCATTTTAAAATGAAAGGAATTGACCTGGCGCGGTGGCTCACACCCGTAATCCCAGCACTTTGGGAGGCCGAGGTGGGCTAATCACCTGAGGTCAGGAGTTTGAGACCAGCCTGGCCAACGTGGTGAAACCCCATCTCTACTAAAATTGCAGAAATTAGCCGGGCATGGTGGTGCACGCGCCTTTAATCCCAGCTACTCGGGAGGCTGAGGCAGGAGAATTGCTTGAACCCGGGAGGCAGAGGTTTCAGTGAGCCGAGACCACGCCATTGCACTCCAGTCTGGGTGACAAGAGTGAAACTCCATCTCAAAATAAATAAATAAATAAATAAAAATTTTAAAAAATGAGATGAAAGGAACTATAATTTTAAATTATGCATATTACTGTATATACTGTTGAACTTATTAAATATATAGCAGCCACCTAGATGCATGTACATATTCTTCTTACCTCTCATTTTGATCTCTATCTCTAGCCAAATTTATTTTCAGATTTTTTTTTTTTCGAGTCATTCTGTCACCCAGGCTGGAGTGCAGTGGCGCGATCTCCACTCACTGCAACCTCAGCCTCCCAGGTTCAAGAGATTCTCCCACCTCAGCCTCCCTAGTAGCTGGAATTACAGGGGCCCGCCACCACTCCTGGCTAATTTTTGTATTTTTAGTAGAGATGAGGTTTCACAATATTGGCCAGGCTGGTCTCGAACTCCTGACCCAAGTGTTCTCCCCACCTTGGCTCCCAAAGTGCTGGGATTACAGGCATGAACCACTGTGCCCCGCCTCTCAGATTTGTTTTCTAGAGCTGCAAAATTGGAAATGTTCCTGTTTATGAGCACTACAATAACATTTACTTTAGCTATGAAAAATAAATGTAGCAGCAGGGACTAGGTAGGTAGACCAGATGTCTCTGTGTGTGGCCATCAGCCCCTGTTACATGTTTCTTTTATTCTCCTCTAGAAACCCTTGCCCTGAGACATCCAGAAGAAAATTTTTAGTGGGATTACCACAAATGTTTTTGTGTGTAAAACCTGTTTTTAAAATATCTCAGAAAATCTACTTACTTGGGTGGAGAACTGCAGTGGCTTCCCATTCCTTATCTAACGTAACCCTCAGACTTCCTATACAGAAAGGATGCCTGGAACAGGATGGCCTTCAGGGCCTGGCCTCTCTGCCCAGCACATACATCACAGGAATCTCCAATCATGGCGTGAAAATCAGGACCTTCAAACTATAAAACAAAAATCACATTTTTGATGCCTTAGAGCTGGATTTTTCAGTATTTCTTAGAAATGGAACGCTTCGTCACACGGAACTGTATGGAATGCCACTAGCAAAGAGGGAGAAGACAAGTCCCCTGGTGAGGAGCCGGAGCCCTTGTATTCGCTTCTGCCTGCTGCTGTGTGGCCCCTCTGTTGCCTCCAAATGTGAGGCTCCCCGGGGTGCGGTTTAAAAACTAGTGCCCGTTTTCAAAATTCATACCAGCAGAACCAAATGCAATTTATAGCCAATGCCAAAGCAAAGTGGTATTTTATTAAAATAAATATATGAAACCAAAGTGAAAATTTAATAAAGTAAAATTTAGTTTACATATTCACATTTGTAACATTTACTTATTATAAACAAACCTAAAGATCTCTATGGCTATATTGATAAGAACAAAATTGGAATTCAGTGGTCTTAGATGACGGTTGAGTTTTTCGCTGGACTCAACATCCAGCTTATTCCTGCTAGGGAGGGGCGTGTGGGAACATCCTGACATATGCAGATGAGTTGTTGCAAATGGTAGCAAAAATGGGGTCTTTTGTTAAGGTTGCCTTGTAATTACAAGAAACATTTTAAGTTAAATGATGTAGAAATGTGAAAAGGAGAATCATAAGAAATTTTCTTCTGGCTGGGCACAGTGGCTCACGCCTGTAATTCCAGCACTTTGGGAGGCCAAGGTGGGAGGATTGCTTGAGCCCAGGAGTTCAAGACCAGCCTGGGTCTCTAGTGTCTACAAAAAAAAAAATACCCCCAAAAATTAGCTAAGTGGGGTGGTGTGTACCTGTAGTCCCAGCTACTTGGGTGGCTGAGACAGGAGGATTGCTGGAGCCTTGGAGTTTGAGGCTACAGTGAGCCAAGACTGTGCCACTGCATTCCAGCCAGGACAACAGAGTGAGACTCTGTCTCAAAAAACAAAGAAAGAAATTTTGTTCCAAGTTGAATTCTTAACAGTCTCTAACAGCTCTTCACATTCTTTAACACAAATGTGACATCTGATAAACGTTATATTTATAGCGTTGGGTTATGGGTTACGTTGTCCCCTGTGAGAACATGGCAGTTGCTCTGTGAGGAGAGCTTGGGCCCTGCAGGTGAGCCCCAGCTCAAGTGGCCTTGGGCAAAGCAGGGTGTGCATCCTCTGTGCCTCTTAGGGACTCGCTTCTACCGTAAGACTATTCAACAGGTGCTGCATTGTCTACAAAAATGACCAGAACCTCCTTCCAAACAACACATTTGAAAGAAGTTGAAAATATGTGCATAATATTTTTATGGGAATTTGAGCTACACAGATAGATGCATTTTTCAAAACTCAGCAGATATACACTTAAGATTTCTGTTTCATTGGACATGCATTTTACATTGAAAGAAAAAGCCATGAAGAAATATTGATTCTTAGATAACATTCTGTGAGCTGCAGTATTTCAGAGGGAGTGTACTGCTGTCTTCCCTTTTTTTGAAATACATCAAAAATAAGATGGGTTGAGGAATGGATACATGGATAGATCTGTGATTTTTTTTTTAAGTACAATAAAATGAAGCTGGGCACAGTGGTGTTTGCCTGTAATTTCAGCTACTCAGGAGACTGAGGCAGGAGGTTCACTCGAGCCTAGGAGTTCAAGGCCAGCCTAGGCAATGTAGCAAGAACCTGTCTCTAAAAAGAAAAAAAAAAGCCTAAAAGTACAGTAAAACGAAAATGTCAGAATCTAAATAGTAGGTATTCAAGTGTTCACTACAAAATTATTTCTAATTTATTTTATGTTTGAAATTTTTATAATAAAATGTAGGGGGAATAAAGAAAAATATGTATATGTAAAGCTGTGATCAGAAGCTTACAGAAAAATAAATTACATAGTAGCACAGGTTAATAAATTGACAGTACCCTACAAATTACAGTGTGAAATGTAAGACGTGTGTGTCAGGTTTTATCACAATACTTTTGTTTGCTGAATTCTTTGAAACACTTCCAAGGAATCCAGGGAACTCAGGGAAAACAACTAAGTACTGTACTACTATTAATAAAGGTACAGTTTCAGAATTATTTAAGACGTGCGTCCCACCAGGCGAGGTGGCTCACATCTGTAATCCCAGCACTTTGGGAGGCCAAGGCAGGAGTACTGCTTGAGTCCAAAAGTTTGAGACCAGCCTGGGTAACATGTTGAGACCTCGTCTCTACAAATAATTTTTAAAAATTAGCTGGGCATAGTGCCACACACCTGTAGTCCCAGCTACTCCAGAGGCTGAGTTGGGAGGATTACTTTAGCCCAGGAGTCAAGGCTGCAGTGAGTAATGATCATGCCACTGCACTCCAGCTTAAGTGACAGGGTGAGGCCCTGTCGCAAAAAATAATACTAATAGGCCGGCTGTAGTGGCTTATGCCTGTAAAATCCCAGCACTTTGGGAGGCCGAGGTGGGCGGATCCCCTGAGGTTGGGAGGTCGCGACCAGCCTGACCAACATAGAGAAACCCTGTCTCTATTAAAAATACAAAATTAGCTGGGCATGGTGGCGCATGTCTGTAATCCCAGCTACTCAGGAGGCTGAGACAGGAGAATCACTTGGACCTGGGAGGCGGAGGTTGTGGTGAGCCGAGATCACACCATTGCACTCCAGCCTGGGCAACAAGAGCAAAACTCTTATCTCAAAAAATAATAATAATAAATAATAATAATAAAGAGGTGTGTGCTCTGTATTGCTTAGTACCCAAGTGTAGCTGTAAGATAGCTCATATTTATTGAAACTTGCCCTGTGGAGGCACATTTTATGCACATTAGATGAACTAACATAGTAATCCTCACACTAACCCAATGAGTTCATTATCTTTATTTTGCAGATGAGGATATAAAGGCACATAAGATTACATAAGACTACACAATACCAACTATTACTTGATTGATCCAGGATTTCAAATTTTAAACCTAAAGATTATGAGAGACTACTTTAGATTAAAAGTTCACCAAGCATTCTGTGAGCATCAGATGCATGCTAGACACTGCCAGCCACTGAATGACAAAGATGAATGAGGCATGGACCTATGCATTTGAAGGAGATTGCCTCAGGGACATCCTTTTTCTCAGATTCTGAAGGAACTGTCATCAACTTCACATCTCCATCCACTTCATATCTTGAACCTAGTTTTCCAATGAAAGCCAGGATAGCTTTTTCTTGAGATGGAGTCTCGCTCTGTCACCCAGGCTGGAGTGCAGTGGCACAGTTTTGGCTCACTGAAACCTCCACCTCCTGGGTTCAAGCTATTCTCCTGCCTCAGCCTGCTGAGTAACTGGGATTACAGGCACATGCCACCACGCCCAGTTAATTTTTGTATTTTTAGACATGCCACCACGCCCAGTTAATTTTTGTATTTTTAGTAGTGCTGGCGTTTCACCATGTTGGGCAGGCTGGTCTCGAACTCCTGGCCCACCTCGGCCTCCCAAAGTGCTGGGATTACAGGCGTGAACCACCACACTCAGCCCAGGATAGCTTTTGATGTACATATAGAGGTCCTTATGATTCAAGAAAGTGAAAAAACAAGCTCATAGAAGGGGGAAAATGTTTATAAATCATGCATCTGATAAAGGACTTGTATCTAGAATCATAAAGAACTCTTACAAATCAATAATAACATAAGTAAACCGATTTTTAAATCAGCAAAGGATCTAAATAGACATCTCCCAAGTAAGATAGATGAATGGCTAATCAGCCACGAAAAGATGCTAAACATCTTTAGCTGTTAGGAAAATGCAAAGCAAAACCACAGTGACATTCCACTTCATAACCCTAGGGTGGCTGTGCCTAAAAAGTCAGATAAAACAAGTGTTGCTGAGGATGTGAAGAAATTGGGATCCTCATATACTGCTGGTGGGAATGTAAAATAGTCCAGCCACTTTGGAAAACAAACTGGTAGTTCTAAAAAACGTTAAACACAGTTGCCATATGGCCCACCAATTCCACTCCCAAGTGTATGTCCAAGAGAATTGAAAATATACATCCATGCAAAAACTTCTAGGCAAATACTCATAGCAGCATTATTCATAATAATCAAAATGTGTAAACAGGCTGGGCATGGTGGCTCACACCTGTAATCCCAGCACTTTGGAGGCCAAGGTGAGTGGATCACTTGAGCTCAGGAGTTTGAGACCAGCCTTGGCAACATGGTGAAATCCCTTCTTACGAAAAATTATCCAGGCATGGTGATGCGCACTGGTAGTCCCAGCTACTTGGGGGGCCGAGGCGGGAGGATTGCTTGAGCCCAGGAGGTCGAGGCTTCAGTGAGCCAAGATTGCATCACTGCACTCCAGCCTAGGTGACAAAATGAGACCCAGTCTCAAAAAAAAGCGTTAACGACCCAAATGCCCATCAGCCGATGAGTGGATAAACAAAATGTGACGCATCCACACGATAGAATGTTATTCAGTTACAAAAAGAAATGAAGTCCTGATGCATGCTACAACATGGATGATCCTTGAAAACATTATGCTAAGTCAAAGCCACCAGACACAAAAGACCACATATGGTATCATTTCATTTATATGAAATGTCCAGAATAGGTGTATCTACAGAGACAGAGTAGACGAATGTTGCATGGAGCCAGGTGGACTTGGGGGATGAGGAATCGCTTTAATGTGTACAGAGTTTCCTCTTGGAGTGATGAAAATGTTCTAAAAGTGATTGATGGTTGCACAACTTTGAATATACAACAAAAAAGTCATTGAATTGTGCATCTTAATCAAGACTCCCTGTTGCAACTGGCTTGTGAGAGCTTTACTTGGACACTTCAGTAAAATTAATTTGGAGACTCCTGATCATTCGAGTCTGCCTAATTTCAGGGCCTTCTGATTTAATACCAAGTGGGTAAGATGCATTATGTTTCATCCATGTGCCACGCATGGTGACAGTGTGGGGATGCTTCTGAGAGGATGCGGTATGAGATCCATAGCATTTCAGATTGTTCATGTACTTACTTTGTCTTTTTAAAAATCAGTTTAAGAGAGAAAGGCGGAAGAAATGAAATAGAAAAGCAAAAAATACTGATTCAAAATACAGTACCCATACTGAAAATATGTCTTAAAAATCTCTTCTAAAAGACTATCTTTGTGGAAATTGGCAGGTAATTTCTAAGTTGTTTCCATAGGATTTGGAGTTGTTCTTCTCCATGCAGTGCGTGACACAGTAACATATAAATATGAGATGTTATAGCATATATCACTACTTCATTCCTTTCAATAGTTGAACCACATGAATGAACAACTAAATCTAACCAAATTTTGTAAACTGTTCATTATGATGGGCTAACTGACATGAAATTATTGTGTACCACTGTGCCTAGAACAATGCCTGGCATATAATAGGTGTTTAATAAACTTGTTACATGAATAGATTTTTGTGTTATCACTGTTCTTTTTCTGCTCTCTCTACCATTCATAGCCCAGTATTCCTATGTATACAAAATTAATTTTTGGCTGGGTACAGTGGCTCACGCCTGTAATCTCAACACTTTGGGAGGCCAAGGCAGGAGGATCACTTGAGCCTAGGAGTTTGAGAGCAGCCTGGGCATCTTGGCGAGACCTCATCTCTACTAAAAGTAAAAAAAAAAAAAAATTAGCTGGGCCATGGTGGTGTGCACCTGTGGTCCCAGCTCCTTGATATGGTGAAAGCGGGAGGATTGCTTGAGTCTAGAGTTTGAGGCTGCAGTAAGCCATGATCAAGTCACTGCACTCCAGCCTGGGTGGCAGAGCAAGACCTTGCCTCAAAAAAAAAAAAAAAAATTTTTTTTCTTTAAAGCTCAGATAGACGTAAGCATAATATCTCTTCATAGCAGCATTATTCACAATTGGGCAAAAAGTGGAAACAACCCAAGTGTCATCAGCTGACAAATGGATAAACAAAATGTGGTGTATCCCTACAATGGAATATGATTCCACCGCAAAAAGGAATGAGGAGCTGAACTGTGCTACAGCACAGCCTCCTTTAGAGCACAAGCGTTCTAGCTCAGAGAAAAGCGAAAGCTGTAATCGTGCATTGTGTGAGCACTTCCTTCGTCCCAGTGAACAATAATAATGTGTTCACAATATCAAGGAATGTAATGAAAGCTTTTCAAATAGAACTTAAGGTATAAGGAAGCTGCTCTTTGATAATTTCATATCAAAGAAAGCATTCAAAAAAGGAAGAAAGTAAAACCTTTCTTAGGGTAGTGCATGCATTAGCGGTTAGAATTAAATATCTTTATTTCACCAAACTCCCTTGATCACATAATAACTAGGATCCATGATATCAACAAAAGCTACCTTTGAACTATGGCATTATTCTATTAACTGACTTAAGGAACTCTCCACACAAATAGAATTTCCATTTACTTACAATTTTATTCATGTGACAACAATTAAGTGCATGGGATGCTCGTATTTCTCATTCTATTCGATATTTGTGAAAATGCAGTGCTCTGCATTATTTCTGTGAAGAAAGAATGAAAGATTCCTTATCCAGCTACTGAGGCAGGTAGTCATTGCTAAGAAAGAAACTGCTTTGCCATGACTTTCTGCCAGGATACATGCAGTGACTAAATATATCTTCTAAGATAGACAAGACTTAACAGATCGTTTTGCCAAAAAAGGAAATTTTTTATTAACCTCAATTGAACATGTTTAATGACATCCCAGATCTCTTTTAAAATAGGAGACTCAGCAGAGGTGAACACTGATGCAAAGGTCAGTTTCTCATTCCAGCTCTTCCTTTGAAACATAGTGTGACCTGAGCAAATCTGTGTGTTTGGTATCTGGGGCACCCCCTCTGAGAAAGCTCTTTATCTAGGAGTCCTCAGACTTCCCTTTGTTACCCTTTGTTGACCACGTGCTTCTCATAGTTAGCGTTCTTCCCTGGAATGATCTACAGGAGACCTGGTGGACGTATTCGGGAATGCTGTGACAGATTCAGTCAATGTACACAGTCATAGCTGCAGAGAAGAGGAAGCACCCGGAGGCCTCCAGTGAGCAAGAGCCATGTTGAATGCACTTTGTCCTTCTTTCTTTGATTTAGTTCACGTAAATGACATTGAGGAATTTGCTTTTTCTTTTCTTTTTTTTTTTTTTTTTGAGACACAGTCTCACTCTGTCGCCCAGACTGGAGTCAGTGCTACGATCACAGCTCACTGCGGCCTGGACCTCCCAGGCTCAAGTGACCTCCCACCTCAGCCACCTGAATAGCCAAGATCACAGATGTGCACCACGATGCCCAGCTAATTTTTTGTATTTTTAGTAGAGACGAGGTTTCGCCGTGTTGCCCAGGCTGGTCTTGAACTCCTGGGCTCAAGCAACCTGCCCACCTCGGCCTCCCAAAGTGTTAGGATTACAGGCATGAACCACCGCACCCAGCCTTCATCAGCTTTCAATTCTCTTTTAACCCCTAAACTAATCTTAAAATACACTGTCTCCTACAAATATGTTAAGATTTACTATGAAGTATTGTTTTTCAGATGGCAGTCACAGCTACAATTTATTATATTTAGGGCAAGGTTAATCATGATTATTTGAAGACAGCTTTGTGGTTCCCGGAAAAGATATACCTGCTAGGGCCGGGCACGGTGGCCTATAATCCCAGCACTTTCGGAGGCCAAGTTGGGCAGATCACCTGGGGTCAGGAGTTCAAGACCAGCCTGGCCAAAATGGTGAAACCCTGCCTTTACTAAAAATACAAAAATTAGTCGGGCATGGTGACGCATGCTGTAATCCCAGCTACTCTGGAGGCTAAGGCAGGAGAATCGCTTGAACCTGGGAGGCAGAGGTTGCAGTGAGCCAATATCCTGCCACTGCACTTCAGCCTGGGCAACAGAGTAAGGGTCTGTCTCAAAAAAAAAAAAAAAAAAGAAAGAAAGAAAGAAATACCTGCTAGAATTCCTCATTCATCAGATTTATGGAGGAAGCTCTGTGAGCACCTCTGCTTCCCAACTGCGGGGATCCTTCCATGAGAAGAAATTCTGGGGAAGATAAAAACCTCTGCTTTATGGAATGTTACAAATGCATCAGGTTTGCATAGGGAATTACTTACCTATCCCCCATACTGTTCATTCTCTAGCCTGAAACTCAGTAAATGTTTGTGGAATATACGTATGAACTGGAAGATTGTAGCCCAACTCCATCAAATAACGAAAGAAAACATATGTTATATTTTAGTTCAGATTTTTTTTTTTTTTGAGACGGAGTTTCGCTGTTGTTGCCCAGGCTGAAGTGCAATGGTGCAATCTCGACTCACCTCAACCTTCGCCTCCCGGGTTCAAGCAATTCTCCTGCCTCAGCCTCCCGAGTAGCTGGGATTACAGGCATGTGCTATCATGCCCAGTTAATTTTGTATATGTTTTTTTTTTAGTAGAGACAGGGTTTCTCCATGTTGGTCAGGCTGGTCTCGAATTCCCGACCTCAGGTGATACACCTGCCTTGGCCTCCCAAATTGCTGGGATTACAGGCATGAGCCACCGCGCTCGGCCTAGTTCAGATATCTTATATCTAATGACTTGGTGTAGCGGCCCCCAGCCTTTTTGGCACCAGGGACTGGTTTCGTGGAAAACTATTTTTCCATGGACCGTGGTGGGGTGGATGGTTTCAAGATGAATCCAGTGCATTACGTTTACTGTGCTCTTCTATTACGATTACGTTGTAATATATAATGAAATAATTATATAACTCACCATAATGTAGAATCAGTGGGACCCCTGAGCTTGTTTTCCTGCAACTAGATGGTCCCATCTGGGGGTGATGGGAGACAGTGACAGATCATCAGGCATTCGATTCTCATAAGGAGCATGCAACCTAGATCCCTCACATGCAAAGTTTACAATAGGGTTCGTGCTCCTATGAGAATCTAATGCCATCGCTGATATGACAGGAGGTGGAGCTCAAGTGGTAATGCGATTGATGGGGAACAGCTGTAAATACAGATGACGTTTTGCTTGCTGGCTGGCACTCACCTCCTGCTGTGTGGCCTGGTTCACACAGCATGAGAATGTGGCCTAGGGTTTGGAGACCCCTGACTTAGTTCATACTCATTGTAAAGTTAGCACTTCTTTTAAAAACATTCATCTTTGGCCTTCTTTCAACTGTTGACTATTTGATTGTTGACTGTTTCACTGTTGAGTGACTTTAGGGTGTTGACTGTTTCAGAAGAAACTGAATGCTATTATGGTACATTATAAAGGTACAAAAGTGATAAGTATTCTGCTTTGTTAGAGGATTTTTCACATTCTAAAGAGATGTTAAGGCCAGGCACAGTGGCTCATGCCTGTAATCTCAACATGTTGGGAGGCCAAGGTGAAAAGATCCCTTGAGCCCAGGAGTTTGAGGCTACATTGGACTATGATTGTGCCACTGTACTGCAGCTGAACAACAAAGCAAGACCCTGTCGCTAAAAAAAAAAAGAAAAAAGGGGCTGGGTGTGGTGGCTCACGCCTGTAATCCTAGCACTTTGGGAGGCCAAGGTGGGTGGATCACCTGAGGTCAGGAATTCAAGACCAGCCTGACCAATATGGTTTCACCTACTAAAAATAGAAAATATGTAAAATTTTTTACTACTAAAAATACAAAAATTAGCGGAGAGTGGTGGTGCACACCTGTAATCCCAGCTACTCAGGAGGCTGAGGCAGGATAATCACTTGAAGCAGGGAGGTGGAGGTTGCAGTGAGCTGAGATCGCACCACTGCACTCCAGCCTGGGCGACAGAGCAAGACTCTGTCTCAAAAATAAATAAATAGATAAGAAGAAAAGAAAAAAAGGAAAGAAATAAAGAGATGTTAAAAATAAATTATTTCTAGTAGGACTCACCAAGTTAAGTTATATTTGATTTCTAATACCATTTTGCTTCCTAACGAAAGACAGTAGCTTAAACTAACAAAATCGTTATGTCACCAGGCACAGTGGCTCACACCTGTAATCCCAGCACTTTGGGAGGCCGAGGTGGGCAGATCACCTGAGGTCGGGAGTTTGAGACCAGCCTGACTAACATGGATAAACCCCATCTCTACTAAAAATACAAAATTAGCAGGGCATGGTGGTGCATGCCTGTAATCCCAGCTACTTGGGAGGCTGAGGCAGGAGAATCGCTTGAACCTGGGAGGCAGAGGTTTCAGTGAGCCGAGATTGTGCCATTGCACTCCAGCCTGGGCAACGGGAGTGAAACTCCATCTCAAAAAAAAACAAAAAACTTTATGTTTTGGCCGAAAAGTTTAATTACAGTTATTCCTTGACGAAAAGAAATGGCCAAGATTAGCCTTCCATGGACACTAATGGCTAATGACTCCTTACTTTACATGAAGTGTGTGGGTTAGACTAGAATTGAAGGGATTTTAAATTGAAAGGTTCTCAGGGCCGGGCACAGTGGCTCACGCCTGTAATCCCAGCACTTTGAGAGGCCGAGGCAGGCAGATCACCTGAGGTCAGGAGTTTGAGGCCAGCCTGGCCAACACAGTGAAACCCTGTCTCTACTAAAAATGCAAAAATTAGCTGGGCGTGGTGGCGGGCGCCTGTAGTCCCAGCTACTCAGGAGGCTGAGGCAGGAGAATCGCTTGAACCCGGGAAGCAGAGGTTGCAGTGAGCCGAGATCACACCACTGCACTCCAACCTGGGTGACAAGAGCGAAACTCTATCTCAAAATAAATAAATAAATAGGTTCTCAGGATACATGGTTCCTGGAACCAGTGCTCTCCATTCTGTGGCCATGGCCGTTTTAAATCACTTGTGCCTTAAACTTAATCTAATTGAGACATGATGCTAAGTAAAAGCTGGGTCTAAGGCAGATCAATCACAGCATCAATTAAGGGTACGAGTGAGTCAGCTGCACACACATGTCCCCGGGAACAGCAGTGAAGAAGAAAAATGCTTTTTCCCTCCACCACCATCTACCAATACTCAATGCAGACTAGCCCTGGGAAGAGCTCCTGACTTCTCACAATCTGTTCCCATCATGAACAGAAGGTGCTCCCCGAGGAGGACGAGAGAAGATTTTAATGTGCAACAAAATTAACTGGCCAATTTGTACATTCGCCATTTTTATTTTTTATTTATTTATTTTTTGATTTATTTTATTTTATTTTATTTGAGATGGAGTTTCACTCTTGTTGCCCAGGCTGGAGTGCAATGATGTGATCTTGGCTCACTGCAACCTCCGCCTCCTGGGTTCAAGCGGTTCTCCTGCCTCAGCCTCCCAAGTAGCTGGGACTACAGGCATGTGCCACCACACCCGGCTGATTTTTGTATTTTTAGTAAAGACAGGGTTTCACCATGTTAGCCAGGCTGGTCTCAATCTCCTGACCTTGTGATCCGCCCACCTCAGCCTCCCAAAGTGCTGGGATTACAGATGTGAGCCACCACGCCCAGCCTCGCTATTTTTAACTTATAGATTGTAAGCTTAATGTTCAGGTTAAACATAAAAATTACGTAAGAACAACTGGCTTCCATATTCCTTCAGAGGTGGGATTTGTACCGTATTACGCCAGACGCAATCCTGTCCTTCTATCTTCAGGTTTGTAATAGTAAAATCATTTTCCATCCAGAAGCATGTTTTCAGAATAAACTATGTTTCCCAGTAGTCAACCAGACAGCTGTGAGATATGGCAAAATGCTGTGTGCAGGAGAGTGCACTTTTCTTGAAAATAAAAAAAAAAGTAGCATAATAAAGACTGCTAACAAATAATAAGAACACAGATTGGAAAGAGGAATATATCGTGTGTTTCATAGACCTAACAATATTTCACGTGTTTGGTTCCCTGCCATATTGCTTGAGTTTGTACGTTAGTTTGTAGGAACCTGACCAAAGGAGTAGATTTTCCTCCTACAAAATGCTCTCCAACTAGAGGAGTCAGAGAGAAATGGGCCCAGTTGAGGCAGAGGTAGCTTGCGCCACTCCGGGTAACAGAGTGACACCCTGAAGGAAAGAAATAAAGGAAGGAAGGGAGGGAGGGAGAGAGGGAAGGAAGGAAGAGAAAAGAGAGAGAGAGAGAGAGAAAGAGAGAGGGAGGGAGAGGGGGAGAGAGACAGAGAGAGAAGGGGCCCAGTCAGCCTTCTCAGTTTTGCTGTGTCAGCTCTATATGGTCTTCACAATATTTGCAAATATCCAATACAAACTGCCAGGAAAACGCCACTTAAATAATACATTTTTTTCTCTTAGTAAGTCTTGTTTCAGGGATTTTTTAAGTTAAGCGGTTTTGAGTGGCCCTCTCTGGTGATCTGACCTGATGAGGGATTATTACCCACTGTTAGATCATAGGCCTTATTTTTTCCAGCTTTATAAATGAGGAAATTGAGGCCAGAAAAGAGAGGCATCCCGTACCAGCCTTAGAGGGACAGGTGTGTTGAGATTTCATTTTCAGCTTCTCAAAGTGGTAAGTTGTTCAGTGTAAAGAAGGAGGAGGAGAATCACTGTGTTGCTAAATGAGTGAATGCCAACTTCGACTAACATGGAAGTTAGGTTTCTCATAACAGTATTAACTCACCACATCACCAAGAGGAATAATAAACCGTGCATTTAAACTGCAGATGGAGGAATGCAGAATTCTGTTTACATGCTGCTGTTCTATTTCTTTCTCTTTCTTATTTTTATTTTTAAATCGACATCATTTTTTTATATATAAATATATAAATACATATATAAATATATAAATATAAATATATATATAAATATACACACACACACACACACACACACACACAGACTCACTCTGTCAGCCAGGCTGGAATACAGTGGCATGATTATAGCTCATTGTAGTCTCGAACTCCTGGACACAGAGATCCTCCCACCTCAGCATCCCAAGTAGCTGGGACTACAGGCACATGCTACCATGCCCAGCTAATTTTTATTTTTTATTTTTTGTAGAGACCGGGTCTTGCCATCTTGTCCAGGCTGTTGTTAACATATTTTGAGGGACAGTGACTTTGGTTTTGTTTTGTTGTTGTTGTTTTTGAGACAGGATCTTGTTCTGTCACCCCGAATGGAGTGCAGTGGGGCCATCATAGCCCACTGCAACCTCAAACTCCTGGGCCGCCTCATCCTCCCAAAGTGTTGTGATTACAGGCATCGGCCATCACACCCAGCCCTGGACAGTGACTTTGAAATTTCCCAAGGCTTGAGGAGTCTCAGCGTTTTTAATTCTAGCTGTGTTCCCAAATAAAAAGGTGATGCAGAGGAAAATATATATATACATACATTTAATACATGTGTAATAAATTAATATTATATATGTATGTAATGTATAATATATATATACATATATGTAATGTATTCCTCAAAATGGTCACCAAGTGAATATGTATCCAATGCCATTTCCTTTGGCTACATTCATATATTCCTACATTCAACAGAAATTTATTGGGTATCTGTTTTCCAGAGGTTGAATAGTACCAGGTATAGGTAGTCAACCAGAGGTCACCATGCCACACCTAATAGGAAAGCCTGCTGCTCAGCAAACACAAATATATGCAAAAAATGCAAACTGTGATAAGTAGGAGGAGCCCTTAGTTTGAGATATAACATTTCAAAATCACCAGAAACATACTGATGAGAATCCAGAAATAGTTTAACTCACAAGAGAAAGTTATTTTTCACATCTTTTATTTTCTTTTTTTTTTTTTTGAGTGACTTCAGACTTAGCAAATGATTCTTTTCCAGTGAAGTAAAACTGAATGTCCTGCTTAAATATTTTCATTTTAACCACTTGTATTATTTCAAAGTAAGGAAAGAAATCAGCCAGATGTGCCAAATGATAGCATATTTTTCTTCCCCATTTCATGATAAAAATAATTAACTGGTTTGACCCGCAGCTTTCTAGAAATGTCTGCACTTTAATCAAAAATTTCTTTTTTTTTCACTAAGAAAATTTGGCTATGGGACTTGCAAGGTTTCAATGTTAACGTGGTAGTTGCTAAACAATTCCAGTCATTATAAACTGTATGTTCTGTTTTCACATCTGTATTGGGTCCAAAACATTTTCACGTACAATTAGCATGGTTGTAGGACCAAAACCTCCTTTAATAATAATCCCAAAATAATCTTCCTTTTGCTAGATACACAAAAAGAGAAAGCATACCAAGCTGAAACAGACCCTGAAGGTTGTCAACCTCAATGGAATATAAAGAATGGAAAAAACTTAGAGCCAGGGTAGATGCAGATTCAGATACCACGGTGGTCAGAGATAATTCTTCCAAATCCAACTCGAATGACAAGGTAGATGGAGGTGCCAGTAGTAAATGGGAATGAGCAGATTTGGGGGAAAGGACTGAGTTCAGTCACTTTGAGGAGTTGCCAATCAGTCTTGGGCCACAGAGCGCCCAGCACCAAGGAGACAGCTGGGCATATGGGTTTGGAGCTCAGAAGCAAATCTCTCCGTGGAAATGTGAACATGAGAGCAGTTAGCTATGGATCCTATTGAACACCGTGGAAATGGCTGGGGTGTTGATAAGAGAAAGAAGAGGGCAGGGCTGGGGAACTGTCAGGGAGAGGAGGAGAACAGCCTTCTCTTCAGAATTCTAGTCAGCCCTGGTCTCTCTGGGAAGATGGCTTCTGGAACTCCACCTATACCTTCTCTCCAGCACAGAAAGTAGAGGTGTCATCATCCAAGGAATGTAGCTTCAGGTGATGGCAACTTCTTTTAGCAACCATACTTTTTCTTTTTTTTTCTTTTCTTTTTTTTTTTTTGAGAAGGAGTCTCTCTCTGTCACCCAGGCTGTAGTGCACTGGCGTGATCTCAGCTCACTGCAACCTCCACCTTTCCAGTTCAAGCGATTCTCCTGTCTCAGCCTTCCAAGTGGCTGGGATTACAGGCATGCACCACCACACCCAGCTAATTTTTGTATTTTTAGTAGAGACGGGCTTTCCCCATGTTGGCCAGGCTGGTCTTGAACCCCTGGCCTCAAGCGATCCACCCACCTCAGCCCCCCAAAGTGCTAGGATTACATTCCTGAGCCACCATGCCCAGTCAACAACCACACTTTATAAAGTTCATATTAACTTTGCAGTCAATGCAACTCTGTCTTCTCAAAAAAACAGCTGGAAAGTCAACTTCTTTCTTTAGGCTACATGATGATCATTATTTTATTCTTATTAATTCATGTTCATTGGATTCCCCATTGCCTTATTACTGGTCCCAATACATCCATGGAATCCGGTTTCTAACACTTACCTAATGTGTGGGTTCAGGCAAGTTTCTTAGCTCTCTGTGCTTCCTTTTCATTACCTGTGAACTGGAGACATTTATAGTATCTACTTCATAGGGTTTGCGAAGCTGAAATGAGTTAATTTATGTAAAGTGCCCAGAACAATGTCTGGTGCATAAGTACTTTATTAATGTTAGTTGTCATTATCATCATCATCTATCGGAGTCTCTCATGATTATATTCCAAACCATCTCACCTAGTCAGAATTTGTCATTAAGAAAACTATGGGCTGGGCACGGTGGCCCACGCCTATAATCCCAGCACTTTGGAATGCCAAGGTGGGCAGATCAACTGAGGTCAGGAGTTCGAGGCCAGCCTGACCAACATGGCGAAACCCCAGCTGTACTGAAAATACAAAAATTAGCCGGTAGTGCTGGCGTGTGCCTGTAATCTCAGCTACTCGGGAGACTGAGGCAGGAGAATCGCGTGAACCCAGAAGGGGGAGGCTGCAGTGAGCCAAGATCACACTACTGCACTCCAGCCTGAGTGACAAAGCAAGATTTCATCTCAAAAAAAAAAAAAAAAAAAAGAAAGAAAAGAAAAAAGAAAACTATGGAGCATGACATGGAAGCTGGATAAGAAACTTGTTTGCAAACTCCAAGAAAAACCAGGACCTAAAAGAAGGGAAGAGTGGAATGGAGGGTGAGCAGAGTAGGGGGCCTAAGCTCTCTATATCCACTTTGAACAGATTTCTTCCCCTTTTTTTTGGTTGTTTATATTCCATTTCTAGAAAAGTTTCATTTGGAAAAAGGGTTCTACTGCTTTGCGGGGCAAAAAGGAACCATAGCTAAGCTGCTAACTAGGGTAACATCCTATCCCCTCTGAAATACAATTAAATTCAGCAACGCCATCTGGATTCAGTGGCTGCTGTGTGCAGAGCGCCTGCTGGGCTCCATGGAGAGGGGAAGGAATCAGTGTCTGCATCCAAGTAGTTCACACTGTAACAGGTGACCTATACACACAGACCCCTTGCCAGGCAATGTGCCCTGTAGTATGGCCACACAGAGGAGGAGTCCTGGGGAGGCTCCATGGTGAAGGTGGCTTTTGAAGGACTGGCAGGGTGTCAATAGGCAGAGATGCATGGACACTAAAATCCAGGCAACAGGAACAGCATAGCCACAGGACCGGGCGTCAGTCACATTCTCCCCGCTGGCCGAATGACGCAAATAATGCTCAAATTCCATGCTGCGGTTTGCTTTGACTGGCGGAGGTGGAGGGGCGCGAAAGACGAGCCAGCATGCTGCACAGCAGGTTTAGCCTCCATGCCCGGGGTTTGGAGCAAGAGAGTGAAAACATCAGAGCTATGTCTTCAGAAGGTCTTGTGTTGTGAAACTGACTGGCAAGCTATCACAGGAAGCTAAGCGAGGTGGCAGGCTGCTAGATTAAAATGATCTCTAAACAGAATTCGCTCTCAGAGTTCATTTTCAGCCTACCTCATTAGGGCAGATTTGGTCTTCTCACATTGTTATTGCTGTATCGGAGGAATCTTTCTAAAGAGAAAAGTGACAGCACACATTGCTGCCATTTGAAAGCCAGCATTTTTAAAGGGCGTAATACATAGTGACAGTTTTGATGTATGCCCGTGGGTGTGGGTCCTGATATCTCAACATACTCTGCCTGCATAATTTAAAATGACAGTTTAGCCTGTCAAACTTAAATGTGAGTGAAGTTCCTTGGATATTTATAAAACATCAAAAAGACAGAATGGTGTCAGCAAAAGATGGGTCTTTTTATTACTAAACCACGGGACGATTTTTGGATAATTGCTGGCAACTCACCTAGAAGCTGAACTTCCAGACAAAGTATAAATTTGGTGGTGCCACAGTTTTGAAGATTATTTTCACTCAATGCAATAAAAGGATATTACAGAACTCTAGCACAAATTGTAGTCAAAGATGGAGACGCGTCAATGACCCGTTTGTTTTTAATGTGTTTTAATGTTTTTGTTTTTAATGTATCCATGGTTTCCAGTTCCCCTGAGAAAGTGGAAATTACCCATGCTAATAAAGCAAGCGTTAGTGCGAAGACCTAGCTGATGTTTGGCTGGTTTTTAGCCCGCTAGCCAGTCACCCTTTATAAAGCCTGCCAAGTTTGGAGCGTGGGTAATTTTACACGCGGGTCTCCACAGATCCTGTCTACTTCGGTAGATTTATTACTAGGAAAGTGCGTGGGGGCACTAATTTTTGTGAATTGACTAATGCGTTAGAATTTTAAAAACCGGGTAGAACGCAGCGCAGGAAGCGAGCGTTCCCCGCCGCAGCGCCGGAGCGTCCAGCCAGAATCCCCCTGCATGCGCAGCCCCTGGCGTCTTACGTCCCACAGGCCCCACCCCGGCGCCTTCCGTCCCGCAGGCTCCGCCTTTGGCGCTGGGCTCTGACGTCACCACCTGCGCCGCTCACAGTAGAAACAGGAAGTGGGACCAAAACAAAGGAGCGGCGGCCGGGAGCGGACTTACCTTACCTTCTCTGCCTTCGGCGCGCTTCTCAGCCGGGCCGCCGACCCAAAGGAGCCGTCCGACTATGTCTAACATGGAGAAACACCTGTTCAACCTGAAGTTCGCGGCCAAAGAACTGAGTAGGAGTGCCAAAAAATGCGATAAGGAGGAAAAGGCCGAAAAGGCCAAAATTAAAAAGGCCATTCAGAAGGGCAACATGGAAGTTGCGAGGATACACGCCGAAAATGCCATCCGCCAGAAGAACCAGGCGGTGAATTTCTTGAGAATGAGTGCGCGAGTCGATGCAGTGGCTGCCAGGGTCCAGACGGCGGTGACGATGGGCAAGGTGACCAAGTCGATGGCTGGTGTGGTTAAGTCGATGGATGCGACATTGAAGACCATGAATCTGGAGAAGATTTCTGCTTTGATGGACAAATTCGAGCACCAGTTTGAGACTCTGGACGTCCAGACGCAGCAAATGGAAGACACGATGAGCAGCACGACGACGCTCACCACTCCCCAGAACCAAGTGGATATGCTGCTCCAGGAAATGGCAGATGAGGCGGGCCTCGACCTCAACATGGAGCTGCCGCAGGGCCAGACCGGCTCCGTGGGCACGAGCGTGGCTTCGGCGGAGCAGGATGAACTGTCTCAGAGACTGGCCCGCCTTCGGGATCAAGTGTGACGGCAGAACCCGCTCTGAGGTTTCCTGGCCATAGCCACCCTTTGAAATGCTCTCTGTGTGTTAGAGAGATACTATACCCTAGAAACTCTGAACACGCCAGAATGCTGAAATGCCCTTCTACCTTTGGGTTTACAGCCCCCTCCACATAAATTAAGAAATTCAGTATTTCTGCACTCTTAGCTGGATTCTAAAGTTCTGTATAGCTCGTAATGATGGTATTTTTATAGCAGCCTTTTAACAGAACTAGTTAATTTCGTGTATATGAATCTTTCTCGAAGATCTGGTCAAAACTGTATTCAGTTTCCTGCCCAGAATGATCAGATTGAAGGTGGTTGGTTTTTATTATTATTTAGTGTGATTGATAGTATCTAGAATGGCAGGTGGTGCATAAAAGTTAAAGAGAGGGGAAAGATTACTTAGTTTGGTTATACAGTTATAAACACCATGCAGTGTATTCGGTGGACTGTGCTATTTCTGTTTATCCTTTGGGTTTTGGTTTTTGTTTTTTTTTTTTTTGCCTTCACAGTGAGACTGCAAATGATTGTTCTCATAACGTATATTATTAATAAATGTGGTCCTATAATTTATACTGAAATTACCTTAGGATATTTTTGCATAATACTCTCTTACTGCTTACATTCTATAAATTTTTCACGTGATAATTGTCTTTGCGTAACTGGGAAAAATGCCGAATAACTTCCTTTATTATCTGGAAAAATTAAATTTGTTCATTTATATTTTCTACTTACTAAATTGAGTTTTTAAAAAGACTTAGTGTGACATTTGACAGTGTCTTTCAAACGAACTTCTCTAACAAGTTTATAGTTATTTTCCTGTTTCAACACTATTAGAAGTCTTATAAATTATGCTAATTAGCATGGCAGTCATGTTACACACTCTTAACATTGCCAAAGAACTGTTGATTTCGTTTGAGAAAACCCTAGGACTGTGTGTGTGTAGGTTTTGTTTTGATTTTAACAACCAAAAATAGAAATAAAATTAGAACTGCGTTTTAAGTTCTAATTTGCATTTATTAATTTGTCCAAAAGCAAGAACTCTTGGAAATCCTTGAAAATATAAGCTGGAATGTTTTACTTAGCCATGCAAGTCATTTATGTATACATCCAGCCAGCTGGAAATCTGAGAAGTAAAGAGGTAGGACTGGAAGGAAGGAGAAAGCTTGAGTCTTTAAGGCTAGAGCCCAGCTGTGCTGCCTGCCATCTTCTCAGGAATGGCAGTGCGTATTTTCTGGCTGAAAAGTAAAGCATGTATCCACCGCTTTCTCATAGCCTCGAAACATGGAGAAAAGCAACTTGCTTTTGCCTTGGCAAGCATGCTAACCTAAGTTAATTCAAGTTTTTTTTAACTTACCCTTTCCTTCACTGGAAGATTTTTCCATAAGAGAATTCCATTGTTTCAGAAAATAATTATAGGGGCCCTTCCAAGTTCTTTGAAAGATTCATAACCAACTATTCACTATTATAACATGTTTCCCAGTGTAAATGAGTAAGGAAAAAAAAAGTGTAACAGGTGCGTGCAGATGAGGAGTGACCCTCATATTTAAGTTATTTTATATTTGACTGGACATTGTTCAGAAGTGTGCTTTAAGGGACACTTGTTAGTTGTCTGCCCAGCATCTCTCAAGAATATCCCTCCTGTCCTCCACATGGTTGTGCAGGGCCATGTGTGAAGACAGCATGAGTCTTAACCCCTCTTTTATTTTATTTTTGAGACAGAGTCTCGCTCTGTTGCCCAGGCTGGAGTGCTGTGGCGCGATCTCTGCTCACTGCAACCTCCACCTCCCGGGTTCAAGTGATTCTCCTGCCTCAGCCTGCCGAGTAGCTGGAATTACAGGTGTGCACCACCATGCCCAGCTAGTTTTTTTGTATTTTTAGTAGAGACAGGGTTTCACTATGTTGGCCAGGCTGGTCTTGAACTCCTGACCTCAGGTGATCCGCCCACCTCAGCCTCCCAAAGTGCTGGGATTACAGGCATGAGCCACTGCACCTGGCCTTAACCCCTCTTTAGATTGGAAAAAATAATTACAACTTTAAAAATAGCTTAGTGTTGAACCCTTTGGTAAACTAAAGACCCTTTTATAATGCACATATTCCCAACAAAATTAATATATTTTGTGAGATTAAACAATGCTTGTATATGCTTGAACTTTCTTAAAATATGTCCATGTCATACTATTATGAATGTACATTTTTATGAGTCATAAATATTATTTTCAAAAGCACTACAGGCCCATGAATTACTTCCTCACTTTTGCAGTTGATTACTGAAATGTAAATCACAAGAATTTGTCAATTAAATCATTTTAAACTGCATGTTATTGGATGTGAGTGTGCATCCTGTTTTAAAAAACACTTAAGAAAAAAGAATTGCGGGGCACAGTGGCTCACGCCTGTAATCCCAGCACTTTGGGAGGCTGAGGTGGGCAGATCACCTGAGGTCAGGAGTTTGAGACTAGCCTGACCAACATGGAGAAACCCCGCCTCTACTAAAAATATGAAATTAGCTGGGCGTGGTGCTGCACACCTGTAATCTCAGCTACTCAGGAGGCTGAGGCAGGAGAATTGCTTGAACCTGGGAGGCGGAGGTTGAGGTGAGCCAAGATTGCGCCATTGCACTCTAGCCTGCGCAACAAGGATGAAACTCAGTCTCAAAAAAAGGAAAAAAAAAAATTCTGAGGTAGATTTGGGTCAGAAAGCATGATATTTTTCCAAATTCACCCTCAGTCTTAGCACTTAAATTTTTGTTTGGTTAGTATGGCTTTTTCTTGCATATTTCTAGGATCCCTGGCTTATTTTTGTTGTTGCTGTTTTGAGACGGAGTCTCACTGTCGCCCAGGCTGAAGTGCCACCACGATCTCGGCTCACTGCTGCCTCCACCTCCCAGGTTCTAGCGATCCTCCTGCCTCAGCCCCCTGAGTAGCTGGGACTACAGATGCGCACCAACACACCTGGCTAATTTTTGTTTTTGTTGTTGTTGTTGTTGTTTTAGTAGAGTCGGGGTTTCACCATGTTGGCCAGGCTTGTCTCGGACTCCTGACCCTCAAGTGATCCGCCTGCCTCGGCCTCCCAAAGTGCTGGGATTACAGGCGTGAGCCACCGCGCCCGGTCCCCTGGCTTCTTCACTGTAATTGTTTCTTCATAACTACAAGATTTTTTTTCACATTGAAACTTCCCTACACCAAAGATGGATATAATTTACAAAAGTATCCAACTGAAACACATCAGGGAACTAGTTAACTAGTTAATCTTCCATTTAACTACTAGTTATATTTCTTCCTTTCATTTTTCCGCCTTCAAGTGCACAATTTCTAACATGGATTTAGGATTGAAAGAAAAAAGGTAGACTGGATTAATTCACAAAATACTTTCCTCTACTTTTAGTTTATTTCAGTTCAGGAACCCAGATGATACTGTGTGTGCTGCTGGGGAATTTTCTTACTAAAGCTGTTTCTTGCTGAAGGAATGCCAATGTATCTAGATGCCTTTTAAATACAGGCAGACCATGAGGTTTGGACACTGTGTGCCCGCCCTGCTGTCTTTGATTTGGAAAAGACTGCTGGGCCAGGTGCAGTGGCTCACGCCTGTAATCCCAACACTTTGGGAGGCCGAGGCAGGCAGATCATCTGAGGTTGGAAGTTCGAGACCAGCCTGACCAACATGAAGAAACCCCGTCTCTACTAAAAATACAAAATTAGCCGGGCATGGTGGCACATGCCTGTAATCCCAGCTACTTGGGAGGCTGAGGCAGGAGAATTGCTTAAACCCGGGAGGTGGAGGTTGCGGTGAGCCGAGATCGCGCCATTGCACTCCAGCCTGGGCAACAAGAGCGAAACTCCATCTCAAAAAAAAAAAAGTGCTGAAAATAAGCACCAGTCTGATAAGAGAACCTTATTAACTGAGCATAGTATCAGCATCAGCTGGCCAAGCACACTATAAAGCAGAAGGGAGGGACTTCCTCTGCAAAAACACAACATCCTCTTGGCAATTCTGTAGCCAAAGTCCAAAGCTCAAGATCTTTATAGCAAAAAGCTGCAAGCCAGTGGACACTAAGGAAACTGATGAGCAGACCCCTGTTTTTGTTTTTGTGTTGAATCAACTGACTGGAATTAGCAAAATGCTGTCTGGTTTACCTAGGTTTGTTTTTCTACATTAGATTGCAAATTCCATAGGGAGCCCGGGCCAGGCAATGTCTGTCATAGTGTCAGTCTCTGGGCCTGGTGTGGTGCCTCCCACAGTGGGCTCCTTGCACTGCATAGCAAACGTGTGCCTGGCCTGGGTGGTCACTCCTGATAGTGCCTCGAGCTTTCTGATGACAGCAGACAGGCAGGTAAAGCAGGCACCCTAAGCGCACAGAGTCCCAAGTATGGACACTCAAGAGCTGTGTCCTCTTCCTTCACAGCATTTGTCCACAATGAAATGTTTGCCTCTGTTCTTCAGGGTTTGTACATCCTCTCCCTGCTGAGAAATGCCAGGACAAACAATTCAGCAGTGTTTACTCAAAATGACAATACAGGTGGGGCGTGGTGGCTCACACCTGTAATCCCAGCACTTTGGGAGGCCGAGGTGGGCAGATCACCTGAGGTCAGGAGTTCGAGACCAGCCTGGCCAACAGGGTGAAACCCCGTCTCTACTAAAAATGCAAAAAAATAATTAGCCAGGCATGATGGTGCACACCTGTAATCCCAGCTACTTCGGGAGGCTGAGACAGGAGACTCCCTTGAACCCAGGAGGGGGAAGTTGCTGTGAGCCATGATTGTGCCACTGCACTCCAGCCTGGGTGACAGAGTGAGACTGTCTCAAAAAAATAAAAATAAATAGTTTTTTAAATTTAAAAACGTTTTAAATGACAATCCAGGGAAAGATTTAGTCCAAAACATGCATGCCATGTGGGGCTTCTTTCTAGAGATGAGAACATGCTTCTGCCCTTAAATGATATTCAGTACAGATAGGTAGATAAAACATACAAAGAAAAAGAAAAATGGACAAGGCGTACCCAGATGTTAAAAAAAAAAATCAAGAACACTTAAGATCAGGACTGTTTACACAGTTTATGTTATTTTATACCTCAACCTTTAAAAAGGATTAAATCACAGTATAAGGCAGCATGCCATGCTCACCAAATTGTGAAACAGTAAGTGCCGGAGGAAAGGGATATTGTGCTGTGTCATGGCAGTTAGAAGTGGCTTCCCAGAGCCAGCAGGGTTTAATCTCAGGTTTCAAAGGGGGAAAAAAAGCAGGAATGACACAGGATCTGAGAGGCCAAAAACTACAGGGAGTTTTGACTGGAGTGGAGGGTTCACGTGATGTTAAAAGAGACTGAAGGGGAGACTGGACAGACTGCAAAGGGCTGGAGGCCACATTAAAAGTGTGGACTTTACCCCATGGGAAGGAGGAAGCGCAGGAGTCATGAGAAATGATGGTTCAGGCAGAGATTAGAGCATAAAGCAGGGAGGTGGGGAAAGCCAAGAGGAACACGCTCTTGGATGACGAGTCACCATGAATCACTGATCACCTGGGACATGGTTCAGCTGCACATGCTGACGCAGTGGGTCTGCCAGTGACGCCGATATGCTGCGAGTCTGGGAACCCCTTTTAAGGAGCAGGGAATCTTAACTCTGGCTGTGCATTACAACTGCCTGGTACTTTGTCACCACGTGAGTAATGTTTTTCTCCACCAGTACGAACTCCTGGGCTCCAGTGATCCTGCTGCCTCAGCCTCCTGAGTATCTGGGATCCATCTATATTTTTATGTCTTGTAGATAAATATCATGAGTCAAATTTCATTAACATTGGGAAAAGTTTTTTACTTGCCTTGACAGATTTCCAATTGCTATATGTTTTCACACACAAAAAATTTTAAATACATGGAAATTCAGTTGGTACTTTTTTTCTCAGATCCAGTAGTTTGATTACAAAGGCATTTAACAGAATAGTTTTCATCTTTTCATGACTCTCCTTGTTCCTCTTCATGATCAATTCCATGGCCATAAGAATTCTTTGACGCCAACAACAGATGGGATATAAACAGTGCATTGTTACTTTTGCTAATATCAAACAGAAGGGGGATCTAAATGAAAATGAAAACATTTCTGCAAACATGAGTGTCCTCAGCTGTCACAGGAAATAATGAAAAAAAAATCAGAGTAAATTTCTTTTTAACTACTTCCTTATAGTGTCTACAATGCAAGTGATTTTTTACAATGCTAATTTGGTATAGTTTTGCACCTCTGCATCTAATAGTTGGAGTGAATAGTCTGCAAGGGATTTTTAGATCTGCTTAATTCTTCTGGTCAGCATGCAGTGGCATATTTAAGGAGGCAATGTTATAACCCTTTAAAATGTAATCATATGCAAAATTCTATGTATGATTTGGGAGACCCCTTTAAAATTCTCTCTATGTATGTAATCACAGAAGCCCCAATTTGAAAAAGTACTCCTGCAACATGCTTGGAAATATGCCAGTTGAAACAAGGATCAAGGCAGAAGGCTGGCAGAAATCTACCACTCTATTATTTATTCCTTAGAAAGTCTTTCAAAGAATTGGGGGCATATTCACATTTTGGGGTGAATATTCACATTTTATTTTCATTGCACAAACTTGAAATGCATGAACTCGGTACCATTCAGCATCAGCAACAAATCAGAAGCAGCTCTTGGAAATGTTCAATGAGACCTCCCACGTCTCACTTAGATCTCTGAGAATCAGAGCTGGAAGGACTCTGAATATCCATTTTGGAGGTTGGCGACAGGAGAAGACCCACCAGCCTCATCACTGTCAGCATCTCAAAGTCACTGGTCTTTCATAGTGCACAGGAAGATGCACTCACACGTCCTCTCATCACATCTCTCTAGCACTCCAGAGGCATTTTTTGGTTAACCATACTTCATTCTTTCTACTTAGACTAGTTATTATCATCTGAATACATTCACCACCTACCTCCAACCTATGTGCATCCCATTTTAAATAGGTTACTTCCTAAACTCTAACTATAGCCACAGGCTTCATATTTAATTTTCAGTTCCTTCCAGCTCTTTTCATCAGAGCGAATTCATTTCTGTATCCTTTGCTCTGGACCCTGTCAAAAGTTGCGACCATTTCTGATTACAACTGTTGTAGCCTGTGAGGGAAGCAGCCTTCTCACCCAGAAACCCATCTGACTGTCCAGCCCCAGTTCAGAGCTCCCGTCCCACCCCGGCAGAAACTTCTCCTACCTTCTCATGGATTCCAAGGTCTTTTTGCTCCTTTGTTGCTGGATGGTCAGGAACTCAGTGTGTCCTTCCACCACGCTCTTCACCCCACCACATTCCAGGCCAGCAACCACCATGCCAAAACTGCATTGTACTTTCCAAACCAGGCCTCAGGCAATGGCAGGGAATTCCTGCCTCCAGGCTCCCAAGTCTCTCCAGCTCCCAGAGGGTCCCTTCCCTTTGTTCCTTCCCCTCTGGAGCCAGCTCCACACCCTTGGCCAACTCACCAACCTTCTGGTGCGCAGTAGCACCTCCCAGAGCTTGCAGCACCTATTCCAAAGACACCACTGGCTGATCAGGGTCCCTTTGGCCTCTCAATAGCCCTGTCACCTGGGCCATACCTCTGCAGAGCCAGGAGCAGTTGACATTCTTTTTTTTTTTTTTGAGACGGAGTCTCACTCTATCGCCCAGGCTGGAGTGCAGTGGTGTGATCTCGGCTCACTACAACCTCTGCCTCCCGGGTTCAAGCGATTCTCCTGCCTCAGCCTCCCAAGTAGCTGGGATTACAGGCATGCGTGCCACCACACCTGGCTAATTTTTGTAGTTTTCGTAGAGACAGGGTTTCACAATGTTGGCTAGGTTGGTCTCAAACTCCTGACCTCAGGCGATCCACCCACCTCCACCTCCCAAAGTGCTGGGATTAAAGGCGTGCACCACTGCACCTGGCTAACATTCTTTAATGACTGCACACCAGACAATGCAGTCACAGACACCACTCCCATAGCCTGTTTCCCTTGGCTTCCAGGGAAATGACTCATTCATGACAGTTGAGGTCACAGTTGCCCCCACTGTTTCCTATCGCTATGAAAGGCCATCCCAAACACCAGCAGATCCACTCCTGCCCCTTTGTGTATTCTGCTTCTGGGTTACTTGCCCTGGGGGTGCCAAACCCAAGTTCATGGGTGAAGGCTGCCAAAATGTCATCCCATGGCCATGCCTCAGTTTTGGCCACTAGGGACTGTCTCTAGCTTTCCAAAAGGAAGGAGTTAAGATGTCCAAGGAAATTATGTAGTCTTACTGTCTTTGGCCAAGTGGTTCCTAAAATGGACCCCTTTTGACCTCTGTAGGGAAGGAAAAAGAACTTCCCTCTTTCCCATTAGGTTCTGTAGCTGAGTGAACTAACAAAGACGGATTAACAGGAGGAAAGCATACACATTTTATTTAATATTTTTACATGCACACGGGAACTTTCATAAGAAAAATGAAGACCCAAAGAAGCTGTTAGGACCGAGAGCTAATATACCCTTTTAACAAAAGATGATAAATTTATGGAGAAGTGACACAGGAGAAAGGTTCAAGTTTCTAGGGGCAGTCATTGTGGGGCAGTGACTAATGAAAGACAAGGGTTATTTTGGTGGGTTTGTACAGATCAGTTTCAGGGTGGACTCCGAACCCCTGGTGATAAGAACATTCTCCTCTTCCTGGTACAGGGCAGGCACGTTTCTTAGGGAAGATTTCATGACCTGCTTTTTGGGACAGAGCGGGAGGTCAGCCAGCCAGCCAGCCTTGCAGCTGAGGCTTCTCAAGTGCCTTCAGCTACAATTAGTCAACATGCTGAAGGGCTCATTGTGGGGTGGCGTTTTGTGTTCTGAACCGTTTCGTCTCCCTCTTGCCCACACTGAGGTTCACAGGCGCCTGCAGAGGAGCTGGTGTGGGAGGATGGGGAGATTGGGAGGCAACATCGCCTCCTCTGCATGAAATGCTCATGGGCACATGTCTGCTGCCTCTACCTACCAAAGGACAGAACCAGCCAACTGGCATGGCAGGCAGGGAGCCAGCGCAGCCTCCAGGCCGTCCATCCTCTCTCCTCAGTACCAGGGCCTCCCGTCAACGCCAGCACCAACAGAGAGCCTGGGCCCCCCCGACCCCTCCCTCCTGCTGGCTCTCCTTCTTCCTTCTAGGGTCCCTGCTGCCCCTCTGTCTCCAGAATTGTCCCCTGCTTGCCATTTAACCCATTCCCAGTGCTTGTTGGTCCCCGAGGGACCCAGCCTCTCAGCCCTCAATGGTCACCTGTCCCAGCCGCGGAAGGAGAAGGGGACAGAGGACACTGGTTCATTCCACCATATTTACTGGGGCCAGGCCTGCACTAGGTGCTGGGGACTCCCAGGTGGACAAGACAGAGACCTGCCCTGAGGGCCTAACATGTTAGTGGAGAAGATAAATAACAACAGATCAACCAAGAGTCAGTGGGAAACGTGCAGCCTGGATAGATGCCTTGGTAAAGCCAGGCTGGCACAGAGAGGGCGGGGGAGGCCTGTGCAGGGGCCGTGGTCACTCAGGAGAGGGAGCTCGGCGGCCTCCCAGCTCCCTCTCGGAAGGGTCATCACCCAAGAGCGGCGCACAGCCTTCCTTGGCTCCCATCCTGCCTTGTGTGGGACACAGTGGGCGCCAGGCAGATCTGACACCAACAGGCGTCGCCAGGTTTGCCAGCACACACACTCAAATATGCACACTCACGTTCTCGCTCTCGCACACTTTCCGCACATACTCTCACACTCACCCTTACACTTTTACACATTTACTCTTGCACACCACATACTCGCTCTCCACACTCAGTCGCTCTTACACATATTCACGCAGTCATACACACACACACACACACACACACACAACATCTGGATTTGATTAGGAAACTAAAGGGACATCTGTCACCTTCCATGTTTTGTTTACATTGCAACACATTCTTGTACTCGCTTAGCCTTGGACGGGAGGCTCCATGCTCTCTCCCAGTTTCTGAGTAGCTCCCACCCCCAGCGCTGTGGCAGTGGAGAAGAGAGGGGAGAGAAGGCAACATTAAAAAAAAGAAAAAAAAAGAATGCAGTTCTCCCTCCCTGGGTCAAGAATGTTGCATTATCTAGACAGATACAAATTCAGGAAACAAAGTAAGAACTCACTTCAGCTTCTTGGCCTGCCCCCATCCTTGCTGTACTTGGGTGATGTCCCATTAATTTCTCCCCAACCCCAGGGGAAAGTGGGCAGAGAACAGGCCTCAACCCTTGCTGGCTTTCTTTGCAGCTTCCTGGAAAGAATCGACAGCGTCAGCTTGGTTGACTACACACCCACAGACCAGGTATGTGGAATTAGGGTCCCCCACCACACACCAGAAACTTTGAGATTCATTTCCAATATGATTTAATGATTATTTCAGAATGAATTAAGGAAAAATCCTTAAGATACCTACTTTTTGCAAATTGTTTGTACTGCCCTGTGTGTGTGCGTGGATTGGTCATCAAACCTTGTGCCTTGCTCCCCTGACTCTAGCACTTAGTGATTATCAAAATTGCCAGCATGCAAATGAGTTTATCTGCAGATAAGGAATATGCCGTTCCTTTTCCTCCTGGAGCTGTCCTCAGGAAAGCGAAGTCTTTACTTCCTGGCTTCATAAACTATGCCCATTCTGTTTGTGGCCCTGGGCCTGGGGGGTCCCATATCACAGTGAACTTTCCAGGTGTGACCCAGAGCATCCCCTTTGGGTTGAGTCAAAAAAAAAGCACTCCACCATTTTTTTTTTTTTTTTGAAATGGAGTCTTGCTCTGTCGCCCAGACTGGAGTGCTATGTTGCAATCTCTGCTCACTGCAACCTCTGCCTCCCAAGTTCAAGCGATTCTCCTGCCTCAGCCTTCCAAGTAGCTGGGATTACAGGTGCTTGCCACCTCGCCCAGCTAATTTTTGTATTTTTAGTGGAGACAGGGTTTTGCCATGTTGGCCAGACTGGTCTCAAACTCCTGACCTCAAGTGATACACCTGCCTTGGCCTCCCAAAATGCTGGGATTACAGGCGTGAGCCACCGTGCCCAGCCCACTCCACCAATTCTTAAATAGCAGAGAGGGAATCTTTGTGCCCCTTCGACCCTCGGGCAGCTGCAGAGACTTGGAGAGCCCCCGGATTGCTCAATTCAGGAGACTTCAGGTGCTTCTAGAGCCAGTGAACCCCAAGGAAGTTAGAGGGATGTCTCTGTTCAAACCACACTCTCCAAACTTCCCCCAGAGTCTGTATTCCCTGCAAGGCCTTGGCCCTGGGCCCCCAAGGTGGGAGGTCTGAGGCCTGAGCTTCTCTCTCTCCCATGAAGTTTATCCTCTCTAAGGCTGATCCTGAGAGTTTGAAATTATCTGACAAAGCAATGGAGGCTTCCTCGTCTTGAGTCAGTCCCTCAACTAACTTACCTGTCCTAAACAGTTCTCGTTATACTAAAATGGGAGGACCACCTCCCATGTTCCAGAATTATTACAGAATGGCTGCTTCCTTAAAATCACATGGATTTGGGGGTCAGGAAAAAAAAAAACTCTGACATCTGCCAAATGTACCAGGGATGCCAGCTTTGTGAGGCTGCGTGGCTTTCTCGTCCCCTCGGGGTACCACATCTTTTATCTTGGAGGAAACAGAAATGTGCAGGGAAGAGAGAATAAATGAAATCAACTAGCATCCAGTTCATAAGGCTGAAGACTTGTGAGTGCAGAGTTACACTTCCTTTGGTTTCTCACCCAAGCCATCGTGAGTTTCACCCAAGCCAACAGAGCACCAGCAGGGATGTCCCTCTGGAATGCTGATGCCCTGACTGTGGTTGTCAGGTATATGTTAGTAAGATTCTTGCAGACATGATTTTAAGTCTTAAAACAAAAGCACAGTTATCAGGTCTCTTGGGGCCAAACCAACACATTAACTGTGGCTTTCTCTGGAGGATAAAACAGAGAACATTCGTCTGAGTTCTTTTTTTTTTTTTTTTTTTGAGACGGAGTCTCACTCGTCACCCAGGCTGGAATGCAATGGCGCGATCTCAGCTCCCTGCAACTTCTGCCTCTTGGGTTCAAGCGATTCTCCTGCCTCAGCTTCCCAAGTAGCTGGGATTACAGCTGCCTGTGACCACACCTGGCTAATTTGGTTTTTTTGTATTTTTAGTAGAGATAGGGTTTCACCGTGTTGGCCAGGCTGGTCTCAACTCCTGACCTCAGGTGATCTGCCCACCTCAGCCTCCCAAAGTGCTGGGATTACAGGCGTGAGTCACCATGCTCGGCCAATGTTGGTTCTTAATTGTTGTTTCCTTTACAGTGGAACAAATTATTTGAAAAATATTGATGAGGTATAGTTATACCCGGGCTTTACCTTGAAGAAGAACAGTAATGTAACTCAGCTTGTTTCCCTCTTCTTGTTCCCAGGACCTCCTCAGATGCAGAGTTCTGACATCTGGGATTTTTGAGACACGATTCCAAGTGGACAAAGTAAACTTCCAGTGAGTATGTTGTTAAGAGCTGCATGGCCCAGGGCCACATGATGTCCCAGAGCCGAAGGGCTGTGAGGTTTAAGGGGGCTTCATTCCTGAATGTGCATGGCAGCCCTTTCAGGTAAGAGCAGCTGGGGTGAAATTTGAACTCTAGCAAGAGTTGAAGTGTTGATTTTACTGCCTACTTTAAAGTAGAAATGAGGACACCTGAAAGGAAGGCAGTGTTTGCATCTGAGTTGTTGATTTGATTGGCCCTTTTTTTTAGATCAGGAGACTCATGAAATTTTGATCTTTCAGATGCACAGTCACAGGTTGAGAACTGAAATGAGCAGTTTATGTGTGTCTCCAGCCCATCTCTTGGGTTGCCCAACTGCAAACTCAGCCAAATGAGCTTACTTTCTTCATTTTGCTCCCTCATGATAAGACATTAATTCTCCCTCCACAAAGCTCTTTTCCATCCTCATAGCTATCACCCTAGTCCTGCTCCATCACTTCCCCCGCCCCTAGACTCTCTCGGCACAGCCCTGGCTTGTCTCCTGTCCCCTGGCTTACCCATTTCAGTCGCCCTTCTCAGTGCCACGAAATGAATCTTCCTACGGCACGGCCTGGATCGTGCTGTTCCTCTGCTGAAGAAGGTTCGGGGCTCACTACTGCTTGTGCACCGTATGACCCAAGCCCTCTGCCTATGACCAGCCCCGTCCCCAGGCCTGCTTTGTCCCCTGCCACCTGCCTCACCAGGCTGGGCTGTTGTCAGGACCCTTCCAGTTCTCCCAGCTTTTCCTGCCGTAGCGCTTCTGTTCATCTTGTCCTCTGAGCCTCAGATGCCACCTGTGCTAAGCAAACCCCACAAATCTATCAAAGCTTCCTTCAGGCCAGGCATAGTGATTCACGCCTGTAATCTCAGCACTTTGGGAGGCAAAGGCAGTAGGATTGCTTGAGACCGGGTGTTCAAGACCAGCCTGGGCAACATAGCAAGACCCTGTCTCTACCAAAAAAAAAAAAAAAAAATTAGCCAAGCTTGATGGCATACACCTGTGGTCCTAGCTACTCAGGAGGCTGAGGTGGGAGGATCTCTTAAGCCCAGGAATTCAAGGCTGCAGTGGGCCATGATTAGGCCATTTCACTCCAGCCTGGGTGACAGAGTAAGACCCTGTCTCTAAAAAAAAAAAAAAAAAAAAAGCATCCAAGCATCCCTCAAATCTCAGCCCATGGTGACCCCTTAGAATTCCCATTGCATATCTACTATGCAGCCATTGATGGTATACTGCCCTTTACCTTGCCCAGTCACCCTCAGCATGTCTGACTCGACTCTAAGGGACCTCAAGGGTGAGGTCCCTTAAAGCAAGAGTTTCATGATCTCCAGTGTGTTCTGAGACTCCTGCAGTGCCCAGCGCCCTCCTCAGTGCACAGGTGACAGACACCTACTTCCAGATTTCCCAAGAACCCTTCACATGGCCACTGTCAGGCTGGATAAAAGCCAGCTACATCTCTCTGCTGGGAGGCGCACAGTGCAGTATGGAGTTGGCGTGACTTGTGGTTTTGCCCACATCATAACCAAGTCCCTGGCATAGTGGAATTACTAACAATGAAGCTGTATCTCACATCTGTGATTTTGTTTGAAAGGATTCTGCTCATCAGCTCATCCATTTTCATCAAGTATCTCAGCGTGCCCCACGTGTGCTAATGTAAAGCGTACGGATTAAATTCTAATAGGATCAGCAACATACCCGCCCAGGACAAAAAAATCTAGCCCGTGTGGTCCTAAGGCACATGCATTATGTTTAGGGAGGGGAGAAATCTCAGAGGCAGGGAAGCCTGCGAAGGTTGGAAACATCCAGCAGAATCTGGGTAGGTAGAAACTCTCCCAGGGAGAAACGCCTTATGCGCTGAGCAGGGGCTGTGAGAAGAGGGGCCTGGGCCGGCCTGATGAAGTGCAGGGTGCAGCTGAGAAACTCTGAGAGAACTGGCTGAGGTCGCCTTGGCTGAGCGAGACCGGGAAGCAGCTCGGGCTGGGCAGAGCAGCCTGCACTGAATCCAGGCGTGATCAAGACCCAGTGCAGGTCACCAGGCAGAGGTGGCTAGAGATAAGATGCATGTAGTGTAGACAGATCAGCAAGGAGCCTTTCTCAATTCTCCATGGGAGGGAAGACACAGTGTCCTGAGAGCTGGAACAAATCACAGGAAGGATCTGCCCTGGGCAGTGACTTAGCCTGTACTCAGAGAGGCCTGAGTGTCTGAGCAGGTAACCTCTAGCATTACTGAGCTAGTAACCACTGGATTTATTAAGGACCTACTGTGGGACCTCAGACACTGCCGGCTGCTGTCTGCTTGATCTGTCACCCCTGTAGCCCCACTGTGGGGTGACTGAGGAGGGACTGCGGCTGAGAGAGGTGGAGCCACTTGCAGTCCAGGATCACACAGGGAGTGATGGTGCAGGCCAGTGACCCGAGCTTGACTCAAGACCCATGTGTGAACGCTGGAACCTGCTGATAGCAAAAGAGGAAAGCAAGCACGTTTGCCATTGTCCCCTGCTTCCCCCAAATAATTGTGTTCCTCTTGCTCTTCCACAGCATGTTTGATGTTGGTGGCCAGAGGGATGAGAGGAGAAAATGGATCCAGTGCTTTAACGGTGATTTTTTTATGCTCTCTCAAGAAAATAGGAGTGAATTCTAACACTCAGCACTGCTGTGCTTAACTATTCTTGAATTAGATAATCTCTAACTAATATGTAAAGTATAGCATTTATAGATTATGATGCTCCTTCCTTAGATACTAATCTCATTAAAAAAAGCATTTAAGGGCCTGACACGGTGGCTCACGCCCGTAATCCCAGCACCTTGGGAGGCCAAGGAGGGCGGATAACCTGAAGTCAGGAGTTCGAGACCAGCCTGGCCAACATGTCGAAACTGGGGCTCTGTTAAAAATACAAAAATTAGGCCGGGCGTGGTGGCTCATACCTGTAATCCCAGCACTTTGGGAGGCCGAGGCGGGCAGATCACGAGGTCAGGAGATCGAGACCATCCTGGCTAACGAGGTGAAACCCCGTCTGTACTAAAAATACAAAAAATTAGCCGGGTGCGGTGGTGGGTGCCTGTAGTCCCAGCTACTCAGGAGGCTGAGGCAGGAGAATGGCGTGAACCTGGGAGGCAGAGCTTGCAGTGAGCTGAGATCGCACCACTGCAGCAGTCCGGCCTGGGCAAAAGAGCGAGACTCTGTCAAAAAAAAATAATAATAATAAAAAAATTAGCCGGGTGTGGTGGCTCATGCCTGTAATCCCAGCACTTTGGGAGGCTGGGGTGGGTGGATCACCTGAGGTCAGGAGTTCAAGATCAGCCTGACCAACATAGTGAAACCCCGTCTCTACTAAAAATGCAAAAATTAGCCGGGTGTTATGGCGCACACCTTTAATCCCAGCTACTCGGGAGGCTGAGGCAGGAGAATCACCTGAACCCGGGAGGCAGAGGTTGCAGTGAGCCAAGATTGCGCCATTGCACTCCAGCCTGGGCAACAAGAGTGAAACTCTGTCTCGGAAGAAAATACAAAAATACAAAAATTAGCCAGGTGTGGTGACACATGCCTATAATCCTAGCTACTAGGGAGGCTGAGGCAGGAGAATCACTTGAACCTGGGAGGCGGAAGTTGCAGTGAGCCAAGATCATGCCATTGCACTCCAGCCTGGGAGACAAGAGTGAAACTCCATCTCAAAAAAAAAAAAGCACTTAAGCATCCCAAATTTACATGTGTCTTTTGGGGTGGGCTCTTCATCAAGTGCGTTACTGAAGCAACCAGTGGTGCGCGGCGCACCTGCAGGCTGTTCTGTGACTGAATAGTCCTATCACTGAATGAATGTTTTTGTGGAACTGAGTAGCTGCTGGGTGTGTACTTTCTTGTAACTCCACAGTGAGGATGTCTAACTGAGGTGCTTTCCTTTTTCTCCCCACCAAGATGTCACAGCTATCATTTACGTCGCAGCCTGCAGTAGCTACAACATGGTGATTCGAGAAGATAACAACACCAACAGGCTGAGAGAGTCCCTGGATCTTTTTGAAAGCATCTGGAACAACAGGTGACAAAAATAGCAAATTCAGTCTTACCATTGGATTGCAAATTTTCTTTTGTTAAAAATACGCTCAGGCCAGGCGTTGTGGCTCACACCTGTAATCTCAACACTGGGAGGCCGAGGCAGGTGTGTCACTTGAGCTCAGCAGTTGGAGACTAGCCTGGGCAACATGGAGAAACCCTGTCTCTACAAAAAATACAAAAATTAGCCAGGTGTGGTGGTGCACACCTGCCCAGTGACTCAGGAGCTTGAGGTAGGGGGATCACTTGAGCCCAGGAGGTAAGGGTTGCAATGAGCTGAGATCACACTACTGCACTCCTGCCTGGGCAACAGAGCAAGACCTTGTCTCAAAACACACACACATACCTACACCCACACCCACACACCCACACACTCTCTTTACTGATAAATCCAGAACCGTACGAAGTATCTCTTTTAGTTCATCTATTGTATAGATATACTTAAAATGTGGAATATTTTTTTTTATTATTTTTTTTTTATTTTGAGATAGAGTCTCGCTGTGTCACCCAGGCTGGAGTGCAGTGGCGCCATCTCGGCCCACTGCAAGCTCCACCTCCCGGGTTCATGCCATTCTCCTTCCTCAGCCTCCTGAGTAGCTGGGACTACAGGCGCCCTCCACCACACCCAGCTAATATTTTGTATTTTTAGTAGAGACCGGGTTTCACCATGTTAGCCAGGATGGTCTTGATCTCCTGACCTCGTGATCCACCCACCTCGGCCTCCCAAAGTGCTGGGATTACAGGCGTGAGCCACCGCACCCGGCCAATGTGGAGTATTCTTTGATGAAGTTCTGATAGTTCTTTGTCAAGAAAATTTAAGTCTCTGTTTTGAAAGGCTAAGATTATATTCGGCCTTCCATATCTTCAGGTTCCACATCTGCGGATTCAACCAACCACAGATTGAAAATATTCAAAAATAAATTTAAGATAGCAGTACAACAACAAAAAATAATACAAGATTACAGTGGCATACGCCTATAATCCCAGCACTTTGGGAGGCTGAGACGGGGGAATTGCTTGAGCTCAGGAATTGGAGACCAGTCTGGGCAACATGTTGAAACCCTGTCTCTACAAAAAATACAAAAATTAGGCATGGTGGGGCGCGCTTGTAGTCCCAGCTACTTGGGAAGCTGAGGCAGGAGGATCACTTGAGCCCAGGAGGCGGAGGTTACAGTAAGCTGCGATTGCATCACTGCACGTCAGTCTGGGCGACAGAGGGAGACTGTGTCTCAAAAAACGTAATTAATTAAAATAAAAAATTGAGCAAATAAAAAAATTGACTAAAAATAATACAAATAAACAATACAGTATAACAACTACTTACCTAGCTTTTACATCGTGTTAGGTATTTTAGGTAATTGGAGATGATTTAAGCATACGGGAGGATGTGCATGGTTTATATGCAAATACTACACCATTTCATATAAGGGAGCCTCCTCAAATTTTGGTTTTCACAGGGAGTCCTAGACCAATCCCCCACGGGTATCAAGGGATGACTCTATATCTAGGGTTCAAAATAGGTTTTGTTTGGTTTTTAAATTTTAGGAAGTACCAGTTTAGGGGCCGGGAACAGTGGCTCATGCCTGTAATCCCAGCACTTTGGGAGGCCAAGGCAGGAAGATCACCTGAGATCAGGAGTTCGAGACCAACCTGGCCAATATGGCGAAACCCCGTCTCTACTAAAACTACAAAAATTAGCCAGGAGTGGTGGTGGGCGCCTGTAATCCCAGCTACTCGGGAGGCTGAGGCAGGAGAATCGCTTGAACCCGGGAGGTGGAGGTTGCAGCGAGCTGAGATCGCACCACTGAACTCCAGCCTGGGCAACAGAGTGAGACTCTGTCTCAAAAAGTAAAAAAAAAAATTTTTTTAATTTTGAAAATAAATAAAGTACCAGTTTAGGACATCCACTAATAACTAGATGATCTCTAAGATCCCTTACAGCTCACAATCACCACATAATCATGTTTGAAACTACTAGCATTGCAGATTGGCAGAAGTGATTATTTCAGAAAGGAATATTTAGCGCGCACACACACAATACATACATATATAGTTAGAAATCAAAGTTTCTTCTGAAATATTTTGGAAGAAATATTACCAAGGAGGAGAGGAAACATAAGTTTACCTTATAAAAGTTTTGGATTATCAGAAAAGTGTTTTTGTATGAAATGTTCAACAACCATCCTCAAATTTGTGGTAATAAGACTGTTAATAGGAAAGAAACAGGGTCAGGAAATACCAGGTATACAGAAGGATACTATAGAGTTATTATGAATTTATTTATAAACACTATATGTGTAAGTGGGAAAATGACCACAATCTTCTTATAGGAAAAAGCTGATTTTAAAACACTATGATCTCGTTTTTAAGTATGTGTGAGGACAGAAAAAAACTTGGGCATGAAAACATAAAATTTCTGTAGTAATTGTTTCTGGGTATAATTACATTTGATTTTTTTCTGTATGTTTTTCTATAAGATTTGTTTTTACAAAGGTTATATATTTTATTACTAGAAGAAGCAGGTAAGCTATTTCCATTTGACGGGAAAGTGGATTGTGTGTGTGGGTTTTTCTTTCTTTTTTTTTTTTTTTGAGACAGAGTCTCGCTCTGTCCCCCAGGCTGGAGTGCAGTGGTGCAATCTCAGCTCACCACAACCTCCACCTCCCCAGTTCAAGCGATTCTCCTGCCTCAGCCTCCCGAGTAGCTGGGACTGCAGGCACGTGCCACCACGCCCAGCTACTTTTTGTATTTTTAGTAGAGACAGGGTTTCACAGTGTTGGTCAGGCTGGTCTCGAACTCCTGACCTCGTGATCTGCCCACCTCTGCCCCACAAAGTGCTGGGATTACAGGCGTGAGCCACCACACGTGGCCAAATTGTGTTATTAATTGATAGTAAGATTCCTGTAGACTAATCAGTTAGCTTGATTCCTTTGAAGTGATGGAGGCGGAAGAAGAACCAAGCCAGCTGCATGTTAAGCTCTGTGTTATTAGCTAATGAGTCATATATTACTTTGTTGTTGTTAACACTTTCACTTCTAATGTGAGTTTTCCGACCTTTTATTGGTAAATTACACCACAGAAATTCAAGTGAACTCATTACATAAGTAAATCTTAGCTTTGGTTCCAATAAATCTATATCCCCCATGGGACTGAATTAGAAAGTGCTTAACTACAGATTGAGTATCCCTTATCCGAAATGCTTGGGACCAAAAGTGTTTAAGATTTCTTGTTGTTGTTGTTTTTTGGAATAGTTGCATTATACTTACTAGTCCAGCATCCCTAATATGAAAATGCAAAGTGTCAAATGCTCCGACAAGCATTTCCTTCGAGCATCATGTCAGTGCTGAAAAAGTTTTGGATTTTGAAGCATTTTGGATTTTGTGTTTTTGGATTAGGGATGCTCAACCTGTACCTATATTTGTTTATCATTCTTTACAGATGGAATGAGGATACTGGTGTACTGAACTTTCTTGAATCCTATACATTTTTAGGAAGACGATGGTATTCTTTTAATTTAGCAACTTCTATGTTAGAGGCACTTTCATGTACTAGTGTATGTGAAATTTGTATGTTTATTTTTCCTTTTTTAGGTGGTTACGGACCATTTCTATCATCTTGTTCTTGAACAAACAAGATATGCTGGCAGAAAAAGTCTTGGCAGGGAAATCAAAAATTGAAGACTATTTCCCAGAATATGCAAATTATACTGTTCCTGAAGACGGTAAGATTTCAAAACACATTCTTATGATTGAGGAATAGAATTGTTTTATTAATAGTCCTGTAACTCTAATTCACATACCTCTGATGAATCAAAGAAATTCACTTTATTTAAATCAATTTTCTTTCTACTGCCCATATCCTAAAGTATTAGAGTGTTACAAGGTCCTATTTGTAATCGGATCCCATTTGTAAATGTTTCCGAGTTTGACTTTCCATTGAAACCGTGCAGCAGAAGAAAGAGCCATTTTGGGATGTGACTGTGTCATGCTGGTATGAGCTCTCCCTCTAGTGCCTTTGGCTGGGTGTGACATGACAGGTGCCTTGTTAGTCCTTGATACAGACCTTCTCACTTCACCCTCAGATGACCCTGCATGGTAGTTTCTATTATTTTTTCCCGTGGAAAGAGAGTCTGAGAGAGGAGAGATAGCGTGTTCAAAGCCACACGGGTAGAGTCATGCAGGCAAGGCAGTCCTTGCACCCTTTGTCCCCAAGCCCATGCTGGCAGCAGCCGCGCTTATCTGCTCCTGTCTCTAGCCTTGCTGTGGCTGCAGCCTTGGGGATTTCCAGCAGGGCCAGCAGCCATCCCAGGCCACCTGAGACTGAGGGGTTTCCGGGGCACGGGACCGTCAGTGCTAAAGCTGGGAAGGTAGACCAGGAAGAGTTGGTCACTCCGTTTCCAGTCGCTTACACTTCAGTTTCCAGTGAACACCAGGTCTACCAGAGGCTCATAGGAGTGATTTAAGGTGAAATAACACCGCTTCTTACATCTTGAATTCCAAACTAGAAAACGCAGAATAAAAGACACTTTCC
The DNA here is from genome assembly GCF_000001405.40 of Homo sapiens. NCBI lineage: Eukaryota > Metazoa > Chordata > Mammalia > Primates > Hominidae > Homo > Homo sapiens. The sequence continues at coordinate 11,873,208 of NC_000018.10, forward strand.
TGGAAAATATAGTTAAGATTTGGAAAATTTATTTTTTATCCTCAATGAAGAGGGAAAAGAAAACTTGCATTTGTCATTAAACTTTTTTGCTCCTTATGTTCAATGTTCTTTTCTCCCTCATGGGAGAGGCATTATATAAGTATATTCATAGTAAAATCCTGACCCTTGTGGGGCCTTCCAACAAAATCCTACTGCTATCACCTGTGTCATAAAGACCCGAAAAAAATTCCTACTGCTACATATTTCCTTATAGGAATAAATAATAGACATTGGAAATGGGCCTGAGCACCAGCTCTGCCTGTGGTCTCACCAGACCCAGCTGCTTTCATGAGCCACCAGCAGTCTCCGCACCCGCCAGAGGGTCACTCAGCGTGAGGTCAAGGTCCAGGCTCTTCCTGAGACCAAATCAAGTGGAAATCTCATTGCAGTTCATCACTGCCTTGCTCTACCCGCAGCCTGATGATGTGCTTTCCAGGACTGAGGCCGGGTGCCGCTTGCCCATGGCACATCATCAGAGCATGGCTTCTGCTGCGCTTTCTGTGGCTGGCATTGCCAGTTTCCCAGCAAGCTGGGTCTTTAATTCTCCCGCTAACCGCCTCTTGCCACCTCCTGTCACTCAGCTCAGGCAGTGGCTCGGCGGCCGGGGGGTCCTTCCAACAGGGTCTGCCTCCCCAGGCCCTTCCCTCTTTCCCTCCTCATGGCTGTGGTCCAGGCCCTCACTCCTCTCGTCTCAGCAGCTGCCACAGCTTCCTGCCTGACCTCCTGTAGCTGGTCACTCACCTTTCCAGAACATTCTGTGAACTACCAAAGTCACCCTTCTGAGACACAACCTTACCTGCTTAGGAGCACCAAGGAGAAGCACCACCACTGGCTGACAGCCAAGGCCACCTGCCCAGCCGCGGGTGCTGAAGGGCTTCCGTCCAGGGGCTGAGGGGACCCTGGCTTGCTGCCTCGGTGCCAGGCCCAGTGACTGCTCTTCACCCAGCAGCATGCGTCATCTCCATCTGTGCCCTGCCTCTCCCAAGAGACTCACCCATCCCTGAGCATCTGCAGCACCTGCTGGAAGCCTGGGACCACCATCAACTCCAACGTCAACTCTCACTTAGCAATTAAAAGGAACTAACAGTTGGTCCATGTGACGGCATGGGTTAAACTCACAGTAATTGTGCTGACAGAAAGAATCAAAGCAAAAACTACACACCATGTGAATGCATTTGTGTAAATGTCTAAAAAGTAAATTAGCTGGGCGTGGTGGTGTGCGCCTGTAGTCCCAGCTACTCGGGAGGCTGAGGCAGGAGAATCACTTGAACCCAGGAGGCGGAGGTTGCAGTGAGCCAAGATCGTGCCACTGCACTCCAGCCTGGGCGACAGAACAAGGCTCCGTCTCAAAAAAACAAAAAAAAAGCACTCCAGCCTGGGTGACGGAGTGAGACTTAGTCTCAAGAAAAAAAAAAAGAACTCCTCAGATGGTACACGGACACTCTGGGCATTCCAGAGTATGTCAGTGACCCCCACCCCCGCCAAGATAAATGACATGGGCGCTCCCCAGCCACTCCAGAACACAGCCCAGGCAGAGACCCACAGCGGTTGCTGCACCCTTCCCTCCCTCACTGGATGCTGCACCCACCCACCCCCCACAGCAGGTGCTGCGCCCTCCCCTGCCCATCACTGGGTGCTGCACCCTCCCTTCTATGAATCTGTGAGTAAGTGTCCTCACAGCCTCACACACCCTGCAACAGAGAAGGCAGAGAGTGGTAAGAACACTCAGCTGTGTCGCCTAGATCTCAGATTTCGTGGGGTTACAGAAAATAATGATAGGACCACATGAATGTGGACTCTTCCGGGGGAGAATGCCTCAGAAAGGCCTAGAGCTAGAGGGTCGGCCATAGTGATCTGGGTGCTCCGCATGCCTGAGTGGGGAGCAGGAACAGGGAAGGGGAGTCTCAGAAGAGGAGGCTGATGGAAGCTGAGAGGCAGTCCATGGAGGCCCTGCCAGTGCTGCCCCCAGGGAGGCCAGGGCCCAGCTCCTGTGCCTGGAGGCTCCGAGCTTTCCTCTCCCAACAGCTCTGCAGGGAGGGCAGCTCTGGGGCTCAGGCAGGTCAGTAGGATTTCTCCCCCACCCCAGCCTGTCTTGCTTGCGCTGCTGTAACAAAATACCTTAGGCTGGTGATAGGATTTAGATCTGTGTCCCTAACCAAATCTTTTGTGGAATTGTAATCCCCAGTGTTTGAGGTGGGGCCTGGTGGGAGGTGACTGGATCTTGGGGATGGATCATTTTTGAATGGTTTAGCACCATCCTCTTGACACTGTTTTCAAGATAGTGAATGGGTTCTGCAACAGCAGGTCATTTAACAGGGTGTAGCACCTCCCCCATCTCTCTCTCGCTCCTGCCCTGGCCACGTGAGATGTCTCACTCCCTGTGCATCTTCTGCCATGATTGGAAGCTTCCTGAGGCCTCCCCAGAAGCCTAGCAGATACCAGCATCGTGCTTCCCGTACAGCCTGCAGAACCATGAGCCAATTAAACCTCTGTTCTTTATAAATTACCCAGTCTCAGGTATGTCTTTATAGCAATGCAAGAATGGACTAACACAGCTGGATAATTTATGAACAACAGAAATGTATTAGTCACAGTACTGGAGGCTGAAATGTCAAAGATTAAGACACCGGCCGATTCAGTGTCTGGTAAGGGTTTCTCTGCTTCATAGATGGCACTGTCTCATTTCCTCCTCACATGGTGGAGAGGGTGAGGGGTCTCTCTCAGGCCTCTTACAAGGATATAATCCCATCCATGAAGGCGGAGCCCTCGTGACCTCATCACCTCTCAAAGGCTGCCCCTCTTGATATTGTTGCATTGGAGATTAGCAGTCAACATATGAATTTGGAGGAGACAAAAACATTGAGACCATAGCACCCCCAGAGAAAAGTTTTATCAGAGCAATAACTATTAAAATGATGTAGGAGAAGAGGGCAATGAAAATTACATGTTTGGCTGGGCGCAGTGACTCACGCTTGTAATCCCAGCACTTTGGGAGGCCAAGGTGGCCCTGAAGTCAGGAGTCTGAGACCAGACTGGCCAACATGGTGAAACCCTGTCTCTACAAAAATTAGCCAGTTGTGATGGCGGGTGCCCGTAATTCCAGCTAGTAGGGAGGCTGAGGTGGGAGAATCACTTGAACCGGGGAGGTGGAGGTTGCAGTGAGCCGAGATCATGCCACTGCACTCCAGCCTGGGCAAGAGAGTGAGACTCCGTCTCTTAAAAAAAAAAGTACATGTTTGTTTTTGCCTTGCTGTACATGTATTTTAATGCTGGGAATATACAGCAGTCTAACGTTGAAATTCCTTCTGTGTTTTCGTAGAGTTGTATCTTTGTTTCATGTTGCTTAAATAAAGTTCCATTTGTCATTTCTACAGCAACACCAGATGCAGGAGAAGATCCCAAAGTTACAAGAGCCAAGTTCTTTATCCGGGACCTGTTTTTGGTAAGCAATTTTGTTAACCTTTGTTTTTCTACCTCCCTTCTTAATCTTTTGTTTCTTACAATATGCAAATTACTCCTTGATGATCTCATTTAATCTTCCTTAACATTACGAGCGATGACAAAGGGTATGTTACTTTAATTTCACAGCTGAGCACACCGAGGTTCAGAGAGGTTAGATTTCTCACCCAAGGTCACACAGCTTCCAACCAGCAGAGCCTGGGTGAGAACACAGCGTTCCAGGGAATGGCACTTGGATGGGCTAGACTTCATTCACTTGTTGTATTTTCCAAAAAGGACAGCGTCCTTCAGCAGAGTCTAAGCACCCATACTCTTCCTCCATCCAAAAGCACTAACAGGCTGATGGTTTATGTAAAAATGGATGTGCTCAAATTCAGATATTTACTTTTTTTTCTTCAGCTTTTTGAGATTATTTCAAACTTACATATGAGGCAGAAGATTTGTACAAATAACTCCCATATACTCAGGCCGGGTGCGGTGGCTCATGCCTGTCATCCCAGCACTTTGGGAGGCTGAGGCAGATGGATCACCTGAGGTCAGGAGTTCGAGACTAGCCTGGCCAACATGGTGAAACCCCATCTCTACTAAAAATACAAAAAATTAGCTGGGTGTGGTGGCATGCGCCTGTAATCCCAGCTACTCTGGAGGCTGAGGCAGGAGAATTGCTGAAACCCAGGAGGCGGAGGTTGCGGTGAGCCGAGACCACACCACTGCACTCCAGCCTGGCCGACAGAGCGAGACTCTGTCTCAAACAAAACAAACAAAACTCCCATATAGTCTTTACCCAAATTGACCAATTGGCAAAAATTTGCCACATATGCTTTATCTGTCTATATGATTTTCTTTGAAATAACCTACAGCGTATAGCTAGCTGTGAGTTTTTACTCGCTTCAAACTATTACATGCCAAGGCATTCCCAAGGGCGATGTTCCCGGTAGTACTCCAAGTGCACTTAACACGTGTGGACAAGATCTTAGTCCAGGTAGCAGTAGGGCTGATCCTCGGCTGTGGGGCCTTTCCACGGGGACCGGCACTCCAGCCTGGCCTTTCACCACCCTTTTCCCGGCACACCCCTGTGGGATGACTCTTGAATCCTACAGTGAGTTAGAAAGTAACAATGAGGAGAAATCAAGGCCCCAGGGTGAGTTCAGAGGACAAGAGTTCCCCCAGAAGTGCATGGCCGTAAGTGCATGGCAATACCCAGAGAGCTTCTGCAGCTGAATAAATCTGGGACATGCTATGTTAAATACAGCAAGAGAGCCTTTACTTAAGCCAATTAATGTGCATTGCAAATCTCTTCAATAAGGGAATTTAGTTTGTAATAGCTCAAGGGATCCCTTTTTTAAGGAGCATTTTGTAAGACCATAGCACATAAAGACACAAGAAAATGCTGTTCTAATGAGAACTAAATGTTAATTAAGCATGCATATGTTGGGCATTTAAATGAAGATTAGAAACATCCAGGCCGGATGCAGTTGCTCATGGATGTAATCCCAACACTTTGGGAGGCCAAGGCAGGTGGATCACCTGAGGCCAGAAGTTCGAGATCAGCTAGACAACATATCGAGACCTCATCTCTACAAAAAATTTTAAAACGTACCTGGGTATGGTGGCACAGGCGTGTAGTCCCAGCTACTCAGGAGGCTGAGGTGGGAGGATCCCTTGAGCCTAGGAATTTGAGGTGGCAGTGAGCTATGATTGTGCCACTGCACCCCAACCTGGGTGACAGAGCAACACTCCATCTCAAAATAAAAACAAAAACAAAACTATTTGAAGCAACGACCTTTGTAATGACTCCATTCCCTTAATTTTAAAGCTCTAGACAGGGACAAATAGTCACACTATTACAGAAGAAAGCCTTTTTTAGTTTGTTTATTTGGGACATTGCTTCACACTGTCACCCAGGCTGCCTGGAGTGCAGTGGCAAGATCGTAGCTCACTGCAGCCTCCAACTCCTGGGCTCAAGCAACCCTCCTGCCTCAGCCTCCTGAGTAGCTGGGACTACAGGCACACACCACCGCACCCGGCTAATTTTTAAATTTTATAGAGATACAGCCTTGCTATGTTGGCCAGGCTGGTCTCGAACTCCTCGCCTCAAGTGATCCTCCTGCCTCCACCTCCCAAAGTGCTGGGATTACAGGTGTGAGCCACTGCACCCAGCCAAAAGCCTATTTTTCATCCATTCACTACACACTTACTGTGTATGTGCCAAATACCTCACCTGGTGCTTTGGGATTAAAAAGATATATAACTGGTTGGAGGAGTGGGGAGGGATAGCATTAGGAGATACACCTAATGTAAATGACGAGTTAATGGGTGCAGCACACCAACATGGCACATGTATACATATGTAACAAACCTGCACGTTGTGCACATGTATCCTAGAACTTACAGTATAATAAAATATATATATATTAAAAATATATATATATAACCTACTCATTTTAGTGTCCATAAGTTTTTTTTTTAATGCTCAAGAGAAGCCTGACTATTGCTAAAATAGGTCTATCCCCGTGAGGAGTTTCATACCTCATGACATCTTTAGGATACCCTTTCTGTGGTCCAAGCAGCTCTCTAAAGGCTGTTTCCCAGGATCGAAAAAGGAGTGGAGGGGATGAGGAGGAGGCCCAGGGATTCTCGTGGCACCAAGGAAGAAGGTGAGCTTCCACAGGACCTCTGTCTAAGTCTGCCCGGGCTGCCATAACAAAGTGCCGCAGAGGCTGAGTGTCTTAAACAGCAGAAATGTATTTCTCACAGCTCTGGAGGCTGGAAGTCTGAAATCAAGGTGCGGGGTCTTCCCTCGCACATGGCTGCATCCTCCTGGTTTCCTCTTCTCTCTAGGACACCAGTCATATTGCATTAGGGCCCACCCTAATGACCTCATTTTACCGTAATTGCCTCTGTAAAGGCCTTATCTCCAAATATAGTCACATCTGAGGTGCCAGTCGTCAGGGATTCCACACAACTTCAGGGAACACAATTTGGCCCTAACAGCCTGTCCCCACACCCACTGCACTTAGCTTCATAGTGCACATTAGCACATCACTGAGGTGGTCCCCACAAACCATGATTCGTAATGTCTAACCCTGTTTCTCAGGTACTTGATAACAGATCACTTTTCTCCCAGAAGGCAGCAAACGTTCCCCCGATAACCAGGGGACACCCTGCTTAGCAGATGCTAAACTGCCCCTGTGTGGAGGCCGCCACCGGGCCGCTGCACCGTCCAGTACAGAACCACTGGGCACATATGGACATTTAATTAAAACTAGCTGGCCGGGCGCGGTGGCTCACGCCTGTAATCCCAGCACTTTGGGAGGCCGAGGCAGGCGGATCATGAGGTCAGGAGTTCAAGACCAGCCTGACCAACATGGTGAAACCCCGTCTCTACTAAAAATACAAAAAGTAGCCAGGCGTGGTGGCGCACGCCTGTAATCCCAGCTACTCAGGAGGCTGAGGCAGGAGAATTGCTTGAACCCGGGAGGCAGAGGTTGCAGTGAGCCGAGATGGCACCACTGCACTCCAGCCTGGGGGACACAGCGAGACTCCATCTCAAACAAACAAAAAAACAAACAAGCTAATTAGGTGGGGCACAGTGGCTCATGCCTATAATCCCAGCACTTTGGGAGGCCGAGGTGGGCGGATCACTTGAGGTCAGGAGTTTGAGACCAGCCTGGCCAACATGGTGACACCCCGTCTCTACTAAAAATACAAAAATTAGCCAGGCGTGGGCACGGTGATGGACGCCTGTAATCTCAGCCACTTGAGAGGCTGAGGCAGGAGAATCCCTTGAACCTGGGAGGTGGAGGTTGCAGTGAGCCAAGACTGCACCACTGCACTCCAGCCTGGGCAACAGAGCTAGACTCAGTCTCAAAAATATATAAATAAACAAACAAAATAAAATTAGCTAATTAGAAATCAGCCCCTTGGTGGTATCAGCTAGATAGCGACTATCATATTGGCAGGGCAGATAGTGGACATTCCCATTGTCACAGAAAACTCTGTTCAGACCTTCCTTTTTGGAAGCTCCTCCCTTGACTTGCCTGCCGGGGCTTTCTCTGACCTATCCGTGCTGCTTCAGCCTCCTGGGGGCAATGATAAGGGTGAGGTTATCTGGGTCCTCGGCCGATGCTTGCATTGAGACCATTCCTGCCTCTAAGTGCTCCCATGCAAAACAAGCAGGCCACTGTCACCAAAGCCTCCAGCACCTGCTCAGCGTGGCCTAGTCCTTCCCCAGAGTACATGCTGGGGCCGCGCAGGGCTAGTGCACACGCTCTCTCTTGCAGAGGATCAGCACGGCCACCGGTGACGGCAAACATTACTGCTACCCGCACTTCACCTGCGCCGTGGACACAGAGAACATCCGCAGGGTGTTCAACGACTGCCGCGACATCATCCAGCGGATGCACCTCAAGCAGTATGAGCTCTTGTGAGGATGCTGCCGCCACCCTGCGACGGAGCGGCGCCCCGGACTGCCTGACTGCCAGCCCCATGCCATGGTAGGAGGCAGAGTCTCTAGTTCCATCTCGCTGCCGTCTGTCCCGTTCTGTGTCGACCACCAAGCCTCTGGCTACCTCTGTCCCCTCAGGTTTGGTTGTGTAGCTTCTGTTGTCATTGAATACGGCCTCCCGCAGCATCCCACCCCCAAACCACCGACTCTCATTGCCGACACTGCAGCAGAATCTCTCCGGGTGGGAGCCCCATTATTCATTCTCCCTTTATTGATTCATCGAGGAGAACTTGGTAGATGGGGAGAAAACACAGTTGGTTTTTTTTTCCACGTTATCAACCGTGACTGCAAGAGCGTTCGTGCAGTGCCCTGAGCCACGGCCGTCTCTGATTCTCCCTTTATGAAGCTGCAGGCTGACGAGAGATGGTCCCTTCCCATTGGCCTTAGCCCAAGACTTGGAGTCGACCCCAAGCGACAGAGTGACCAGAAACCCTTTTACAGTCACATTCAGAGTCGCTGCTGGCCTCAGGCATTTGAATTAGAGCTACTTTGAGCCTCTTAGGCAGAAAACCTACCACATTCACTACTGCAAAATGTGTCCTGTCTAAAAATGATTCTCTAAACTTTCCCTATACTTAGGCATAGTCTTCTTTCTTAGATTCTCTTTGTTGTTGTCCCTATTGCTGGTTTATTACACTGTACAGACCACAAAATGTAATATTCTTTTGTATAACTACTAAAGAAAAATCCTTGTAGATCTTTGTGCCTTCACCATGGCTATCTATACCTGTACATGAAATGTGTTTGTATTGTGCTGAAGAGCTTAATGTCAACATTACCTGCTGCTTACTCTGAAAAAAGGAATGAATGGTAGCTGTAGAATTTAGGATATTTTATCAGGTTGGCACTTTATAAAATACTCCCTGATTTAAAAAATTGTAAGTTATACACGTTAATCATCCACATTCTATCGACAATGTACCAACATCACAAGCTGTTGCAACCACCTGCTGTTACTTCTCTGAGCTGTAAAAACCTGAACTCAATTCAGGGGTACAAATTGCAATCTAATCTTTTCAGGGAACCAGGGATTTTTTTCTCTCTCTCTAGACAATATGTTTCCTCATTAGTCTGCTAATGAAACACTTCTTCAAGTTCCCCAAGTGGGAACAGGTCCATCATTCCCTTAGTCAAAACTTTGGACACAGGCTACGTCATACAAGTAAGCAAACAGTAAGAGAAAAACAAAATGTGGCCAGGCGCGGTGGCTCACGCCTGTAATCCCAGCACTTTGGGAGGCCGAGGCAGGCGGATCACGAGGCCAGGAGATCAAGACCATCCTGGCTAACATGGCGAAACCCTGTCTCTACCAAAAATACAAAAATTAGCCAGGCGTGGTGGCGGGCACCTGTAATCTCAGCTACTCGAGAGGCTGAGGCAGGAGAATCTCTTGAACCTGGGAGGTGGAGATTGCAGTGAGCCGAGGTCGTGCCATCGCACTCCAGCCTGGACATCAAAGTGAGACTCAGGCCAAAAAAAAAAAAAAAAAAAACCTTGACGTGTCAATGTTTGTGTCTGGCCTAGGAGAATGAGGATGACAGCTTCACTTGCCTTTTGAAGAAGAAACATTACAAAACCTTAATCTGAAGTATAAAGTCAAAAGATACGGCTCTTTCTCACACTTGCAAGACTTACAAATACAGCCTCAAACATTATGACACACCAACAATATCTAGAAAGTAAGAACTGGTGTAGCAATGATGCTTCATATTCTAGCTGTAGCCACAGAGTTGAGGGTAGTTTTTGTAGGTCTAAAATAATAATCTATAAAGATGTCCAAAGTTAAATTTTCAACAATACAAATCTAGAGAAGTGACAGCCTACATTACTTCATTATTACTCTTCTTTTAGTCTTTAGTCTTTAATATTTTAAAGTTTACTCTATAAATCAGCATTTTGTAATCCTTTATAAACTCATCCAGATTTAAATGCTACTTTTTCATGAAGAAAGGATAACTTTATAGACAGTCAGTGCAACACACACATTTTATCTCATCACCGTCTTACTGCCTCCCCATCCACTGTCTCATAAAGCCCTCAGCTGAACTAAGATAAATAATACAATGGAAATTATTTTCAGTTCCCCTTGCACTGTCAAAGTAAAACAAGAAAACTGAAAAGCTGCACCCCCAGCAAGAAAGGGAAGTATGCTGTTGTATGCATCATTACTCAACAATTACCCTCTAACTAAACATCCTGTTTAAGAGTTTAATTCAAACAACAGCCAGACTGTTAAGAAAAAAAACAAAAAGAATAACTTTTATCTGGCTTACAATTATTAAAGCATTTATTTTCAGGTACCAAAAGCCATATCCCATTCCACTTTTTAAGTTTCTTTTGATCACTGACAGGCATTAACAGATGTAGCAACGTGGTCTCCTATAGAGAAAATTACACTTATCTAAAAATCTGATTCCATTAATTGATCAAGTATAAAAATCTACGAAAACAATATGTTCTGCACATCACATCTGTACTTTTTTTTTTTTAAATATATTTTTTGAGACGGAGTCTCACTCTGTTGCCCAGGCTGGAGTGCAGTGGCATGATCTTGGCTCACTGCAACCTCCGCCTCCCGGGCTCAAGGGATTCTCCTGCCTCAGCCTCAGCTGGTATTATAGGCACTTGCTACCATGCTTGGCTAATTTTTGTATTTCTAGCGGAGACGAGGTTTCACCATGTTGGCCAGGCTGGTCTTGAACTCCTGACCTCAAGTGATCCACCCGCCTCAGCCTCCCAAAGTGCTGGGATTACAGGTGTGAGCCACTGTGCCCGGCCACATCTGTACTTTTAAGGGTACAGCTTTACAGTACATAGGAATTTGAGAACCACTTCACAGGAAGAGGGAAACAGCCCAATATTTATTTATGTATACACATAATCCCAAGTGTGTGCTGGGGCCACCAGGCCCTTCCTGGGGGAACAAGGACTGTCGTGCATGTGAGTGACGACATTAATAGCATTTACATACTGTACAGATGCAACCTTTGATGATACATATATTTGATAAAAATGAGAAAACAGATTTGTTGTAGAGTACCTGTCCACTTTTATAGCATGAGAACAGTACAATCAACTATTTATTTTGCAGTTACTCATTTCAGTGATTGAGAATTTCTGTGCTGTGCAGAGAGACGGCCTGTAATTGGTCTCATCATCCACTTGATTCTAACATGATCTCTGCCCAAAGTTCCATTTCTTGGGCTTTGATATTTATAATGGCGCCTGCTCTTCATCTTGTCTTACGCTTTCCGAGCAAGTTCAAACCAGAAAGAAAAGGTGAGGCTAGAAGCCCAAAGTGAGTGAGTGTGAGGACCACAAGGAAGCCCACCACTCCACAGTAGATGATCAAAACCACATCCTCACGTGGGAGGTAGCACTTGGAGAGGGTGTAGTCTGTGGGCGTGATGCTACCCTGGAAAGGAGAAGGGAAAGTTATGCTGAGAGCACCAGGCACACGTTGAACACCGCAGTCTTAGAAACAGCAGAGGGAAGACTGCCTTCTCAGGTCCCCCTCAGGTGAGGCAGGGAACGGGCCCTCCTCACCTGAGACCAAGGGGGCCCAGCCTTCTCCCTGCACAGCTCACCCCCGACCAGCCCAGGCTCCAGCAGGAGAGACAAGTAAGGCCCAAGTGTGCCTGAGTGGAAAATGTCTGGGACACTGACCTGTCAAAACTGGCCCCTGGCTCACTGGGTTCCCATCAAATATAGTGGGGGATCCATAACAGAGATTCAGAGAGGCACCGTGGAGTTCCAGGGTCATCGGTCAGCGAGGAACAAGGAGGGAAAGGTGTCTTCCTGCCCCTTGATGCTCAACTAAGCATCTGTTCCCTAGAAATACATGTGTCCAGGTCGTCTCCATGGGCTTTTCTTTGCAGATACTTTTATGTGGAACAACAGTGGCAAATGTTTTCATTTACTTTGAATTTGAAAATGTTAGGGTTTCCTCCACCTTTTTATGAAGTAAAAGAACCTGTCGTACCAGCATCATGAGCTGGATGCAGGAGCCCATGGCTGAAAGGAGTTAAAACGCCCAGTGGTCATTAAGTGAAACATCTTTTATCAACCTGCAAAAGCTGCAGCGTTCTCTGCCAGGTCAAATGGGCATGTTTAGAAAATAAGAGAAGATGGCTGAGTATAGCTAATGAATAAATGGTTGTTTCTTTAGAAAATTAAACACACACAGAGTGTAAGAGGAGAGGATACGGCCCTCCCTGAAGGATAAAGTCCACCTGGACGGTGCCCTGCCCTCGCTTCTCACATTAACTGCCCAGGAATGTCATGCTGATTGGTTCCCGGAAGGGTGTTTGGCAAGGGGCAGTGTATGGAGCTACGTGTAGAAGGAGAGAAATTTGTGTGTGGCTTTTGTAAATTTTGACCGATTGCAGCAATTAAATAGTTGATTACTGTGTTGATTTAAATACTTATGAAAGCTTTCAGACAAAAATAAACTTTCACGTTACCATGATGAAACTGGGGTTGTTTCTGTTCCTCCAACTGAAAGATGGGACGCTGAGCTCGGGGACTCGGCCCCCGTGGTGCACCTCGCAGGCGCTGTGCGTGTGGCCACTGAGAACCAGGCGCGGCTGGAGCCACCACAGCAGCTGACAGTGGCCGAGAAGACAGCAAAGCAGGCTGTTAGCTCATCCTCAACCAGGCTCTCACCGCTCAGCAGACGGCCGCTGGCCATCGCTTCTTTCCTTAAATTACATACTAAATCCTTATTTTGAAGGACTGGTTTATTTTTTTCCTTAAAAATCCTTTGGTTTATTTACACTAAATCAAAGGTAAGGTCAGCCCTTTGTTCTCATCCCAGATTTTATATACTTTTTACGGTATTTTATCTTTATAAATATTTTATACATTTATCTTATAAATATTTCTTATATTTATATATTATGTATAATGTAATATGTATTATATAAATCTATATAAGAAAATGCATTTTAATTTTAATTAAGTCCCTAAAAAATTGACTTTTCAGTTCCATTCACATTTCTAAATACATTTAAGTTGGTGAAAAACTCTGAATACAAAGAATAGCTGAGACTATTACTGACTTGAGGGTAGGAAACAGAAGTAGGTTTACTGGAAAAAAAAAAAGCGATTAAATGAAAATCTGAGATACTGTGAAAGCCAGGCCTCCACCCCTGTCCCCCCAGGTGATAACTAAGTCATGAACGTTTCAGCAAACACCTGCTCTAGCCTGGGCACTCTGCTTGTTGACATGCAAGGTGATGAGAGTCACACTGTGACATGAATTAGCATCACGACACCCTGGCAAACCTTTTGTGATGCCTCCCGTGAAAGCACGTCATAGTTCTCCTTAAATGGGATGTCCCTTTCCTCTGCAGGAGCAGCGTCTTCCCCAGAACAGTTAGCATCACTTCTCCGATACAGAGGATAATGCTGTCCGGGGTGGAGAGAGGAGTTCAGGCGGCTATCGTGAAACCACAGGCTGCCTGCTGTCTGCCATGAGCCCTTTCCTCCCCCAGCTCACCTGCAGGAGGACAGGGGCAGACGTGGGCAGCAGAGGCCCAGGTCCACACCGGCTGGAGCCACGTGCCTGCTGGGTACAAGTCAGGCCATTAATCCGCACACCTGACCCTCATCAAAGGGCAAGAAGCGCTAGGGGGCTGAGTGAGCAACCGAAGCGGAGCAACACGGGACAGAAGGCACCTGTGGCATTCAGATGCTCTCCTACCTCTCGGGAGCAGTTCAGTCTGTGAGAAACTTCAATGAGCTCTGCTTCTGTTTCAGAGCAGATGCCACAGCCATCCCCGTTCAGCGCCACGCTGTTGACCATCACAAAGCTGAAGCGGAGGGAAACGCAGGTGAGGCCGCTGGGGGTATCAGTGCTTTCTTTTCCCTACTGTTCCCATGAAAAGAAAGCTAAGCATCCAGTGCAAAGAAACAAGCCCAGAGCAGCTTTCAATCCCACCCAGAATAATTTGGTGTATTTTTAAATATGAGTCAATATTAACAAAAATAGCATTACTGGGAGTTCTGTCTAAGACACGATCGAAGGGTTTTTGACCCTAAACTTGTGAGAAATCCCAGATTACAGAAGCTCTGCAGTTAGACTATGTCTAAGCTCATCCTCCAACCAGAACCTCATCTGTTACAGCGCCTCTTCCATGCAGGGCTAAGAACCCTATGCCCACCCCATCAGCTGGTTGTGAGGATTCAATGAAATGACATGGCAGGTGTTTAGAACACAGCCTGCCACTAGAAAGTACTCAGTACGTGTCAGATATTGTGACTAACAGGTAGAGGGAACCACAGAGTGCATCAGTGACATACAGACACACACAGCAAGTAAGGCAGAGGGTAGGGTGCCGGTTAGAGCTAACTGGGTATGGATAATCCCAAACTAGGGTAATAACAAAGTCCATTGTGGTTAGACTCAGCAGCCACATTTTTTTAAAGACTCCCACTAAATACGGTTTTATCTCCTACATGCATACCATCTTGGAATGACGAAAGTACCTGTCAGTAAAGACTGCTTGAAATTTAACTCGTTTTAGAGATAAGGAGTGGAGTTATCAAGTGATCAGCAGTATGATAAGCTGTTTGAAGTGTCTTAAACACACACTTAGAGGGAAATAATTCAAACTGTATCATGCTTCTATTATGAGTCAGCAGAGAAAGCCACCTACTAGAGACTCTGCCTTCCTGGCAGAGGGAAAGGTGAGCATTGGTGGTGAAGCCACTGGACAGAAATGACCTCACCTGCAGACCTGCTGTGTCCAAGGTCAACAGAGTGCTGGGCACCCACAGGAAGGACAAGATTAAAAGAGAAAAGGCTTCCACTCCCACCTGTTTTCTCCACCGCGTCTATAATCAGTATAGAGTATAGAGTCCTGTCCACTGTGCTGCAGCCACATACACAGCCCAGAAAGGATGTAGAGATGGGCACTGAGGTGGCCTCGCAGAGCGGGAGCTGCTCATGGTCAGGCTAAGGGTCAGGATGCTCTGGTCTAAAAGCCCAGGCCAATGGAGATGGGTGGCACAGAGCTACAGAGGAACTGTGACACACTTGCCACCAAATCCCATAGTAGTTATGACACCATAACTACGAGAACAGTCTTTGTAACGTGAAATTAGTATATTTTGATCAAATAAAGACTCTTTTACAAAGTGGGCTGATGAAATTTGTGCTACCCAGAGACAGTGCAGACAGAAAGACTATCATTCCCACAGTGGCTGGGCAGAGTCATAAACTGACCGATTCATTATGGGGTTGTCAAGGAAAACCAGGGTGGTTTGAGGTTTCCCATCTATCGGCTCCCATGGTGAGCACCAGCAAGGACAGCCTAAGGCACTGCTGTTTAAAGATCATAAACCAGGCTAAACAGAACGCAGGTAGATGATAGATCCCAGTATGGCAGGCACCTTTAAAAAATGAAGTTTCCAAGGACTAAAGGTCTTGGAAGAATTTACAAATAATACTCACTTAATGCCTTTCCAAGAAAACAGTCTTTCAGAGCTGAACACTTTCTCAAAGCGTTCTACTTTGTATGTGTTCATCCTATATTCAATTGTGAGAAGAAACATTTTTCAGGACAAGCCATTTTAGAAACTCCTAGAGTCATCATGAACACAAAATAACTTTCAACACTTGAGTTTCAGACTAGCATTATTAGTTAAGGGCTCTACCTGGCCCCAGGATAGCAAAGCTCAAATTTTAGTTCCACTACTTACTATGAAGCCTGGGGCAAGTTACTCAGCTGCCCAGGGCCTCAGATTCCACATTGGTACCGTAGGTAAAACAACAGGACCATGGTAAAGATTAATGTGTTAATATATGGAAGTAAAGTACTTGAAACAGATGGCACATTATAAGCACTAGAGCACTATATAAATGTTAGCTATTAAAGTCTAAATGATCTTGGTTTTTCGTTCCCAAAGACAATAATTGGCCATTAAATGTACATTTCAAGTTAGATGTTTCCCAAGGGCACATACAATTCATTCATTCCACAGATATTTGTTGAGGGTGTACTATGCACCAAGTAAAAACCCCTTAAAGAGTTTAATATCCCAGAGCTCACATCTTTTGAAGAAAACAAATTTCAAGACAGCACAAATAGGGCTTTCACCTGAATTCCAACAGATTTAGAATTACAGTTAACAAGAGCTCTCAGGGTGCAGGGCTTTTGTGAACTACTTACTCATAATGGAAGCCAATGTCATGGTTTCCAGCAACTACCTTCAGCTGTACATGACTTGGGTGTCTGAACATTTTCTGAAACCGCTCCACATCATCCGCCCAGGCCTGAGGGAAAAAGAATCACTGCTGAGAGCCAGAGAACCATCTCTGCCCTGTGGCTAAAAAAACAGGATCCCTATTTTGTTTTGCTTTTTTTTGAGACGAGTCTGGCTCTGTCTCCAGGCTGAAGTGCAGTGGTGCGATCTCTGCTCACTGCAACCTCCATCTCCCACATTCAAGCGATTCTCCTGCCTCAGCCTCTGGAGTAGCTGGGATTACAGGCACATGCCACCATGCCCGGCTAACTTATTTTGTGTGTGTGTATTTTTAGTAGAGACAGGGTTTCACCATGTTAGCCAGGATTGTCTCGATCTCCTGACCTCGTGATCCGCCCGCCTCAGCCTCCCAAAGTGCTGGGATTACAGGTATGAGCCAACGCACCCAGCCAATGATCCCTATTTTGATGTGAGAAGTGAATGAATTCCCCTGTTCAAATCAGATGCCCATAAAGATGATGTAGAACTTTTTTTTTTTTTGAGATGGAGTCTCGCTCTGTTGCCCAGGCTGGAGTGCAGTGGCACGATCTCGGCTCACTGCAAGCTCTGCCTCCGGGGTTCACGCCATTCTCCTGCCTCAGCCTCCTGAGTAGCTGGAACTACAGGCGCCCGCCACCACGCCCGACTAATTTTTTGTATTTTTAGTAGAGACGGGGTTTCACTGTGTTAGCCAGGATGGTCGCGATCTCCTGACCTCATGATCCGCCCGCCTCGGCCTCCCAAAGTGCTGGGATTACAGGCGTGAGCCACCACACTTGGCCATAATATGTCTTTTTTAAAATTACAATTAATACTTACTGTTATTTAATTTGATGCCAAGTTTTTGTTTTATTTTGTTGTTTTTTTGAGACAGGGTCTCACTATGTCACCCAGGATGGAGTGCAGTGGCCATGATCTTGGCTCACTGGAACCTCTGCCTCCAGTGTTCAAGTGATTCTTATGCCTCAGTCACCTGAGTAGCTGGGATTACAGGCGTGTACCACCATGCCCAGCTAATTTTTGTATTTTTAGTAGACACAGGGTTTCGCCATGTTGGCCAGGCTGGTCTCGAACTCCTCACCTCAAGTGATCCACCTGCCTCAGCCTCCCAAAGTGCTAGGATTACAGGCATAAGCCACCAAGCTCAGCCTAATGCCAAATTTTTAAATGGTATCCTCTCCCATCTTAAAACAATAACTGGCAATCCCAAAAAATATTTGGTTCATACACCTATTATTTCAAGATCCCCTGAAGACCATTCATAGACCCTGGTGGAGAAATGCTTCAGATCTGGGCATGCTATAAGAACAGGCTCTGACAAAATGTCCAGTAAGTTCTTCATGTGTCTCAACTAAGACAAGGATGAGAACATCTTTAAAGGTGGCATTCCCCTATGGCTACAACTGTGGAAACCAGAACTAATGAGATGTGGGAGAAAGAAAGACAAAAAATACTTATTGTAAAAAATTTTTCAAAATTATTCTGATACTTGCTTTAACTATTAAAACTTCAGAGTTATGTTAGTGTAGTTCTTATTTTATAAAGCTAAAAATATCAATTGTACAAACACCCTAGGGTAGGGAAAAAAAACAAAAAAAACCTCTATTCTAGATAGTAACCAACTTTATCCTAAATGTTGTAAATCTGGCAAAACTTAAGGAAATATGCTGGATAGAGTCCTTGAATACATTTACAAAGATTCCACTTTAACAAATAACATTTAAAGTTAGATGGCTAGGTGCGGTGCCTCACGCCTATAATCCCAGCACTTTGGGAGGCTGAAGCAGGCGGATCACTTGAAGTCAGGAGTTTGAGACCAGCCTGGCCAACATGATGAAACCTGTCTCTACTAAAAATACAAAAATTAGCTGGGTGTGGTGGCGGGTGCCTGTAATCCCAACTACTCGAGGAGGCTGAGGCAGGAGAATCACTTGAACCAGGGAGGCAGAGGTTGTAGTAAGCTGAGATCACGCCACTGCACTCCAGACTTGGTGACAGAGCAAGACACCAGCTGAAAAAAATAAAAAAATATAAAGTTAGAGTAACATAAAATCAGAATAACAGACATAGAAAAACATAAAATGTTGCCCTTAATTTGGAAAAGCAACATATCTATCCAACCTCATTTTGTAACTAGTTGTTTTTACATATAACATTTCCACTATCTCACATTTAATTATAGCCTAGATAATAACAAACATTGCAACTCTGTAAACTGGTTCCTATCAACTCTGAAACAAGACTTCTCTTGTGCAGCTATTGAATTGTCCTAGGAAATGCCAGTAAGGTTTTTTGGATTTTTGTTGTGGGGTTTTTTTTGTTTTGTTTTGTTTTTGTTTGGGTTGTTTGTCTTCCTTGATTTTTATCTTGATTTTTTGAGACAGCGTCTCACTCTGTCACCCAGGATGGAATGCAGTGGTGCACAGCTGACTGTGGCCTTGACCTCCCAGGCTCAAGCGATCCTCCCACTTCAGCCTCCTGAGTAGCGGCGTGCACCATCACGCCTGGCTGATTTTTGTATTTTTTGTAGAAACAGCACTAAGTTGCCCAGGCTGGTTTTGAATTCCTGGGCTCAAACGATCCTCCTGCCTTGGACTAGGTCTGGCGCAGCGGCTCACGCCTATAATCCCAGCACTTTGGGAGGCCAAGGTGGGCAGATTGCCTGAGCTCAGGAGTTCGAGACCAGCCTGGGCAACACAGTGAAACCCCATCTCTACTAAAATACAAAAAATTATCAGGGCATGGTGGTGTGTGCCTGTAATCTCAGCTACTCGAGAGGTTGAGGAGGGAGAATCGCTTGAACCCAGAAGGCGGAGGTTGCAGTGAGCCAAAATCACACCACTGCACTGCAGCCTGGGTGACAGAGTGAGACTCCATCCCCCATAGCACCAAAAAGAAAAAAAAAAAAAAAAGAAAAAGAAAAAGAAAGGGCAGGCACGGTGGCTCATGCCCGTAATCCCAGCACATTGGGAGGCCGAGGTGGGCAGATCACCTGAGGTCAGGAGTTTGAGACCAGCCTGACCAACATGGAGAAACCCTGTCCCTACTAAAAATACAAAATTAGCCGGGCGTGGTGACACAGGAAATGCCTGTAATCCTAGCACACAGGAGGCTGAGGCAGGACAATCGCTTGAACCTGGGAGGCAGAGGTTGCAGTGAGCTGAGATTGCGCCATTGCACTCCAGCCTGGGCAACGAGTGAAACTCCATCTCAAAAAAAAAAAAAAAATCCTCCTGCCTTGGCCTTCCAAAGTGCTGGTACTACGGGCATGTGATGAAGTTTTTTATACTATACCCCAAATTGAAGATTTTCCAAAAACCATTAGTGACTGAACATTTTTAAGCAGCAAGAACAGCTCATGTCTTCATTCGTTTTGTTCCAAGGATATAATAAGCAAAACACTGTGACAACTAAGGTGAGAACAGCTTTTCTCTTTGGTTTGTGGAAAGTCTTATATTACCCCAATACCCAGGCAGGGGTCTCAGCCCCCTCTGAAAGCAGAGGATCCTCACATCAAGTCCCCAGCGCTCCTTCTGCATCTCTCATTCAGAAAAAAGAAAATCAGAGGAGAATAGCAAGTCTCTTTTGCAGCACGATTCTCATAATGTCATGGTTCAATAAGAGTGTGAAATTAAATGTACATTTCAATATGTATTTTGCAATTTCGGTGACAACTGAAATAACATCTATCTTGCCCGTTTCTCCCTTTCCCAAGAGGTTCACAAAACAGTGTATTCCAACTAAATGATATCTGGCTAATCGACATATTTCCTACATAGACAAATGTTTACAATTAGCCAACCTAACTCAAGATTGAGTTGTTCTAATAATCTTAGATAGCCTATGAATTCTAATCATCTTCCAAATAGCCTACGCATTTTTAATATCAGTAGTAAGTACAACTTCCATAAAATCTCCAGCTCAAGCTGACACTGATTCGTGGATTCTCTGGGATACTTGTGCTGGACCTCACAGCAGGATGAGGGCACCTGGAACACAGAGTCCTACCTCAGGGGTGCTCCACTTCCCTTCATCAAAGATATCCCCCAGGATGAAGACGACTTCCGGCTGCAGCAACCACAGAGCTGTCTGGAACGCTCTCTCCATCTGCCATTCCCTTGATGCCAATAGGAAAAAGTAAGGCATCAGTCTCTTTCCTAGGTGGAGGCTACTTCTGTATTATGCACCATTTAAACAGCAAACTAAATGGTTCCACTCTCCTTCTTCCAGAGCCCCACTCTTGCATTCCCATCCCTGGCTTGAAGGGCCAAAGAGTCCATATCTGATTAAAGGTGGGGAATTAAGTATCAGAGAAGAGTCCGGCCATCCCTTCCACACACCCCAGACACTGTGGTGTGCAGGAACAGGCCCCACTCTGCACCCTGCAGCCATCACTCGGTCAAGACAGCAACTGGGATCTGAGAGAGCCTAATGCAGCTTCCAAAGATGCTCAATGTAGACTGATTTTGTACCACACAGAGGAGATTATTGTATCTAGCTTAATTTTAGCTTCTTATTAAAGGGACTTCAACTTCCTTCTTTGCTTCCAAGTTGGAGGGGAGATGACAAGAGAAATAGGCTAGCTAATATCAAAACAGGAACCAATATCAAAACAGGAAATCCTGGAGATTTCAGACATGCGAGTAATCCTCCCAGAGGTAAGACAAGCAAATGAAAAGAGCCTGGAGGCTGGGTATGGTGGCTCATGCCTGTAATCCCAGCACTTTGGGAGGCCGAGGTGGGCAGATCATAAAGTTAGGAGTTCAAGAGCAGCCTGGCCAATATCATGAAACCCTGTCTCTACTAAAAATACAAAAAACCAGCCATGCATGGTGGCATGCGCCTGTGGTACCAGCTACTTGGGAGGCTGAGGCAGGAGAATTGCTTGAACCCAGGAGGCGGAGGTTGCAGTAAGCTGAGATCATGACACTGCACTCACTCCAGCCTGGGTGACAGAGCGAGACTCCATCTCAAAAAAAAAAAAAAAAAAAAAAAACAGCCTGGGATCTGCAATCTGACAGATGATGGCTTAACATCCCAGCTCAATCCATTGAAAAGCTGTGAGGCTTTGAAAAAATTGCCTATTCTGATGCCCAGTGTCTTCATTGGTAAATGGCGATTTTATTTTATTTTATTTATTTATTTTTTGAGATGCAGTTTCGCTCTTGTTGCCCAGGCTGGAGTACAATGGTGTGATCTCGGCTCAATGCGACCTCTGCCTCCCCGTTTCAAATGATTCTTCCGCCTCAGCCTCCCAAGTAGCTGGGATTACAGGCATGTGCCACCACACCCAGCTAATTTTGTATATTTAGTAGAGACGGGGTTTCTCCATGTTGGTCAGGCTGGTCTCGAACTCCTGACCTCTGGTGATCCACCCGCCTCAGCCTCCCAAAAGTGCTGGGATTACAGGCATGAGCCACCACACCCGGCCGGCCGGTAAATGGGGATTTTAAACCCTACTTGCACAGGATAGTTACAGGGTTAAATAAGACAGCATTTGTAAAGCATGGCACAGGCACACAGCAGGTGCTCAAAAATGTCAGTGTTTGCTCAGCCCTCCCCGTCTTCAACCTAACCAAATCCAGCCTATGTCATTTTTCTAAGGAATCCAAACCTTTCCTCCTTTTTAAGGCATTTTCCTGGCTGCTCCTCCTCTACAAAAGGGAAATGCTATGTCCTGGGATATATAAATAGGGGAAAGTAGGCTGGGTGCAGTGACTCACACCTGTAATTTCAATGCTTTGGGAGGCCAAGGAGGGAGGATCACTTGAGGCCAGGAGTTCAAAACCAGCATGGGCAACACAGCAAAACTCCATCTCTACAAAAAAGTAAAAATTAGCTGGGCGTAGTGGCACAAGCCTGTTGTCCTAGCTACTTGGGAGACTGCAGTGAGCTATGATCCTACTACTGCCCTCCAGCCTGGGCAACAGAGCTAGACCCCATTTTAATCAGTCAATGTAATTTCTGGTCAGAGGAAGATTTTTAGATCCCAAGTGAACTGAATGGTACACATCACCCCTGAAAGGCTTTTTACCCAAGATCTCTCTCAAAATACATTTCTCCGTTTTTCTTATTTTATTTTACTTTTTTTTTTTTAGAGACAGGCTCTTGCTCTGTCGCCCAGGCTGGACTGCAGTGCCATGGTCATAGCTCACTGGAGGCTCAAACTCTGGTGCTCAAAGTAGCTCAAGCGATCCTCCTGCCTCAGCCTGCTGAGTCACTAGGACTACAAGCGGGCATAAAGAGCAAAAATTAGCTATTTTTGGTTTTTGTTTATTGTTTTTTTGTAGAAATGAGGTCTTGCCACGTTGCCCAGGCTGGTCTCAAATTCCTGGCCTCAAGCAGTTCTTCACCTCCACCTCCTAAAGTGCTGGGATTACAGGCGTGAAGCACTGCACCCAGCTTCTCAGTCTCTCTTGATTTAATGTTATTCACCATGGGAAGTAAAAATCTAGAAACAGCAGCAGGAAGAAGGTACAGAAGGCTACTTGGCGAGACCAGACATCAATCAGGATCAATTTGTAAGACCAAGACACTGCAGGCCCCCCACCGGCCCTTCTTGAGCTCATGCCTCCTTTGGTTAAAACTCTTAGTAAAAAGGTATAGCTGCTCTTTCATTATTCTTATTCTTTATTCTTTTTTTTTTTTTTTTTTTTTTTTGAGATGGAATCTTGCTCTGTTGCCCAGGCTGGAGTGCAGTGGTGCAATCTCAGCTCACTGCAACCTCTGCCTCCCAGGTTTAAGCGATTCTCCTGCCTCTGCCTCCGGAGTAGCTGAGATTACAGGCGCCCGCCATCATGCTCAGCTAATTTTTCTATTTTTAGTAGAGATGGAGTTGCACCATGTTGGCCAGGCTGGTCTTGAACTCCTGACCTCAGGTGATCCACCTGCCTTGGCCTCCCAAAGTGCTGGGATTACAGGCGTGAGCCAGTGCACCTGGCCTAAAAATAATTTGTTTAAAAAGCTTCCTGGTGAAAAAAACAATGGACCATGCAGGGGCAGGTGTGAGTTGGAAAGATAGGACCTGATCCTTCCCCAGGGTGACAGCCACAAATCTGCTCTGCTCCTCTGCTGCCTAGAGGAGGCTGAAACCCAATAGGCTCAAAGTTACACAGCAATGAAGGTGAGATGGGACCACCAACCCACATCTGTGTCCTCCCCTGCCCAGGGGACCAGTCCCAGGCACCAGGCATTGTGTAGCATCTTGTTGTCATTGCGTGGCACATCTTGTGATGTTTCTTGTCTTAATCCAGTTACAAACAAGGAGGCAGGGGCTCAGAGGGGCCCTAACAACTTGTCCAAAGTCACAAAGCGATGTGGCCCAGATCTGACTCCCAAATTATGGGGCCCTGTATATATCCTCAGTAAATGGTAAATTCAAGGAAAAGTCAAATGTCCCTAAATGTCCTCCTTTGAGAGGAAAATAACTAAGAGTAACCTAAAGCCATAAGCCTTGCCTATGAGGAGAGGGCTATACCGTTTTGCCTACAGAATTTTAGAAAGATTCCTGATTTTACCTCTTACCTTCGTAATTTGTCCAGCCAGTGGCCTAGGAATTCCCCAAGCAAATGGGTGTCAGCCAAAAACATGGCTTTGAGCACAGGCTCACGTGTGGTCTGTTCACCATCAGAGGCTGTGGTTTTCACTTCAGGCCAATTACACTGAAAGATCGCTAAGTAATAGATTAAAAATTCACAAAATAGAAGCACAGCAAAGACAACAGCTATGAGTTTCAACAGCAATGAACTCTTCCTCTTTAATGGATGAAAATTCTGTCTTCCAAACCCCAATTCGATCATCGCCATTTCTCAAGCAACAACAAATCCATCAAGGGTTCACCACGAGAAAACTGCAGAGCCCTGGGGAGGGTGATGGCATTCAGGTCTTAGCTGGGCACCTACGGGAAAAGGAAAAGAATTCAGTTATGTTCCCTAATAATACAGGTATCACGACCTCCCTCTATTAAGAACTAATGAGTTACATAATCCTATCTACATTTCCAAATTAATCGTCTTATACTTTTACAATAATAATATGCCAGATTACTAATAAGGAAAACAACTGACCTCTCTGACTCCTTCAAGCTCTCCATACCTCCGTATGTCAGAATAAAGCTATTAGAATGCTTTTCTCACCAAGATGATAAAGTTTCATTAATATTCTAGAAATCATCAAATGGGAATCCATGAGAATGATGTGTGTCAAGGTAGGAGACATAATGGGAAAATTCAGTATTATTTAAGTGTAATTTTGACTCCCAGGATTCCCCACCACCCCTCCTTGACCTTAAAAATCAACAGGTCACAAGCCGCCTGTAATGTGTTGCTTTTGGTGTTAATTCATCACTTTTCTACTCTGCTTTTCCACAAAATAAGTGAATATTCATGGACAATGTGCTTCAAAGATCCAAGGAATTCATTCCACATTGGACCCAGAGGCCAGGATCTGACAGTGAAACCACCTTTGCAAAATTATAACAGTAACAGAAATCTGACATAGTTGACTCCATCTTGTTTCTGACTGCCAAGATGTCCTTGGTCATTCCTGGATATAGGCCAAGCTAACTTTGGGAGAAATTTGGTTTATAGGTTTTTGTTTGTTTGTTTTGTTTTGTTTTGTTTTGTTTTTGAAATGGGGTCTCCCCTGTCACCCAGGCTGGAGTGCAGTGGTGTGATCTGGGCTCACTGCAACCTCCGCCTCCTGGGTTCAAGTGATTCTCATGCCTCGGCCTCCCAAGTAGCTGGGATTGCAGGCACTCGTCACCACGTCCAGCTAATTTTTGTATTTTTTTTAGCAGAGACGGTTTTTCGCCATGTTGGCCAGGCTAGTCTCAAACTCCTGACCTCAAATGAACCACCTGCCTCAACCTCCCAAAGTGCTGGGATTACAGGCGTGAGCCACTTTGCCAGGCCAGTTTATAGTTTAACTTTGAAGCAAGGATGATGATAATAGTCTACTCCCTGTTCTGAGGCTGAAACCACCTTTGAAAACTAATGAAAGGTATCGAGATTAGGATTAGGGGAGGGGCTTGAATTCTGCTGAATGTAGTTTCTATAATCCCTAAATGCTCAGGAGTCATGAGGCCAGAGGTAACAAAGATTTGTGACTTCCTTCAATTTCTCCTATAAATAACATCACTATTGTAGATCCTAAGATTGGTCTTTTGACATATTTTTCAGACTTTCGGGCAACTGATTTACCCTACCTGACTGACCCTGCTGGGACCCATATTTCATGGCTCAACTGATCCTATGACCCCACCCAGAAGTGGACTCAGCACACAAGGACTGTTTTCCACATCCCTATGATTTCATTCCCAACCAATCAACAACTCCTATTCCCCAGCTCCCTGCCCACAAAATTGTCCATAAAAACCCTAACTTCTGAGATTCAGAGAAACTGATTTGAGTAATAATTCCATCTCTCAGTGGCCAGCCTTCATTAATTAAACTTTTTTTTTTTTTCTGAGACAGAATCTCACTCTGTCACCCAGGCTGGAGTGCAATGGCACAATGTCAGCTCACTGCAACCTCTGCCTCCCAGGTTCAAGTGATTCTCATGCCTCAGCCTCCCGAGTAGCTGGGATTACAGGTGTGTGCCACCACGCCCAGCTAATTTTGTTTTTTTGTATTTTTAGTAGAGATGGGGTGTTGCCATGCTGCCCAGGCTAGTCTTGAACTCCTGAGCTCAAGTGATTCACCCGCCTCAGCTTCCCAAAGTGCTAGGATTACAGGCATGAGCCACCGTGCCCAGCCCAGCCCAAACTACTTATTTACTGCAGTACCATAGTCTCAGTGAATGGTTTTGTCTGTGCAGTGGGCAGGAAGAACCTGTGGGTGATTGCAACAGAGCCACCATCTGTGAATATGAATATTGAGTACTGCAACCAGATTATATGTTTTCACAAAAATGGGTTTCCCCCTGCAAATGTGCCTTAAAACTCTGGATGGCCTTCTTTTATAAGCTATTTATGTATAGTGGCTTCTGTAAGGGAACCTTCAAAATTTTTATGGATTCATCCCAAATCTTGGATGAGCTTTGCATCCTGTAAAGAAAGCATCTATTTTGGAGACCTCTGAAGAGAAAAGTTGGTAAAAGGCTGCCCTGAGATAGGCTATAAATGGTGGCATTCTACTTCCAGGTTCTTCAACTGCGCTCAAGATGAGCATCTGAGAAGGGCGGTGACCTTCCCAGGGAGGGTATAGGGAGTTCAGATGTCAGAGAAGCCCCAGAAGTCTTACGGGGTGGGAGCTTTGGGAGACACTGACCAGAGACCCTAACTGAACCAATAAAAAAATAAAGTCCCTTTCTAGGAAGATGATTTTCTAACATGAATCTAGGAACTTCATGTCACACGTAGGCATGGAGTCAAGAACCACCTCATTTCCCCAGGGTCTAAAATCACCTCTGTGAAATGCATCCTCAGAACTCTACATTTGCATAGGGAAATTAAGAATAACCCCCATTCCTGGCTGGGTGCAGTGGCTCACCCCTGTAATCCCAGCAGTTTGGGAGGCCGAGGCGGGTGGATCACCTGACATCAGGAGTTCGAGACCAGCCTGGCCCACATGGTGAAACCCTGTCTCTACTAAAAATACAAAAATTAGGCTGGGCACAGTGGCTCAAGCCTGTAATCCAGCACTTTGGGAGGCCAAGGTGGGCGGATCACCTGAGGTCAGGAGTTCGAGACTAGCCTGGCCAACCTGGCAAAACCCCATCTCTACTAAAAGTACAAAAATTAGCCAGGGTGATGGTGTGCACCTGTAATCCTAGCTACTCAGGAGGCTGAGGGCAAGAGAATCTCTTGAACCTGGGAGGCGGAGGTTGCAGTGGGCCAAGATCACGCCATTGCACTGCAGCCTCGGTGACAGAGAAAGACTCCGTCTCAAAAAAAAAATTAGCTGGGCGTGGTGGTGGGCGTCTGTAGTCCCATCTACGCGGGAGGCTGAGGCAGAAGAATCACTTAAACCCAGGACCTGGAGGTTGCAGTGAGCTGAGATCATGCCATTGCACTCCAGACTGGGTAACAAGAGCAAAACTCCATCTCAAAAAAATAAAATAAAATAACCCCCATTCCCTATAAGAGTCCCTAGCTTGTTTTACACTGGTGTCTATAAGCAACCATTAAGATGTGGAAAACCTTTAAACCTTACCTAAAGAAAAATAAGCCAGGCACAGTGGCTCACACCTGTAATCCCAGCACTTTGGGAGGCCAAGGTGGGCAGATCACGAGGTCAGGAGATCGAGACCATCCTGGCTAACACGGTGAAACCCCATCTCTACTAAAAATACAAAAAATTAGCCAGGCGTGGTGGCAGACGCCTGTAGTCCCAGCTACTCGGGAGGATGAGGCAGGAGAATGGCGTGAACCCAGGAGGCAAAGCCTGCAGTGAGCCGAGATTGCGCCACTGCACTCCAGCCTGGGCGACAGAGCAAGACTCCGTCTCATTAAAAAAAAAAAAAAAGTAAGAGAAAAAGAAAAATAAATAGGTGTGAAAATGTACTTTGAGCCATTATCAAAAGTTTAAAACCTAACGGAAAAATTGGCAATACCTTCAGAAACTGATAAATGAAGAAATCTTCTCATAAGTATTCTAATGGAGCATTGGCAATGGGTATGTGGTACTATTAAGTATTCATTACTATTTCTGGCTTTTCAGAAGATGAAAGGGTAGGCAATGGTGAAATGGACGGCCCTTCCATTGGGGACTGTCATTCCTCTGTTTCATTAGAATGGCATTACCTATATTAACTCTTGATTTATTTATTTATTTATTTTTATTTTTTTGAGACAGAGTTTCTCTCCCATCACCCAGGCTGGAGTGCAGTGGTGTGCTCTCAGCTCACTACAACCTCCACCTCCTGGGCTCAAGCAATCCTCCTACCTGAGCCTCCCAAGTAGCTGAGACTACAGATGTGTACCACCACACCCAGTTAATTTTCATATTATTAGTAGAGATGGAGTTTCACCACATTGGCCAGACTGGTATCGAACTCCTGGCCTCAGGTGATCCACCCGCCTCGGCCTCCCAAAGTACTAGGATTACAGGCGTGAGCCACTGTGCCCAGACTAAGTACTTAATTTAAAAGGGAACAGCTGGCCTGGCACAGTGGCTCACAGCCGTAATCCCAGCACTTTGGGAGGCCAAGGCAGGTGGATCACCTGAGGTCAGGAGTTCAAGACCAACCTGGCCAATGTGGTGAAACCTCATCTCCACTAAATACAAAAATTAGGCAGGTGTGGTGGTGCATGCCTGTAATCCCAGCTACTAGGGAGGCTGAGGCAGGAGAATCGCTTGAATCCAGGAGGTGGAGGTTGCAGTGAGCCGAGATCGTGCCACTGCACTCCACCCTGGGCAACAGAGTGAGACTCCATCTCAAAATAAATAAATAAAGGGGGAACGGCAAACAAATACTGGATTTTAACTATGTCCTTTCAGACAGAGAGGTCAAAAGCAGCCTTGCATATCATCTGGAGTCAACTGCTCTTGCTGAAATTCTCCTCCAAAACCCCACAACATCTTTATCAGCTGGTCAAGCTGTACTTTATCTTCTTCACTTAGAACTTTTGTCACCTCTCTTTTCTCTAAGGCAAACCACACATGCCGCATAATCGCAGTCACAACATACCTTTATCTTCCAACTGGGGACAGCTTTGAGTGAAAAATATCACTAATAAAAATTAAAACAGGGCAATGGTGTAAACCAGGACTGTCCCAGACAACTCAGGATGTGCAGCCACCCTGTGCTGCCTGTGCTTACTCTGACATAGAGGAGAAGCAGCAGTGCCTGTTTGCAGTCACCCACCTCATCTGTAAGAAACTTCGGAATGGACTGCACAAGTGGCAGGAACCATGCACCAGTATGGTGAAGGGCCTGGGTTCTCTGCTGGAGAGCCTCTGAGGGATAAATAACAGGTTCCTTAACGCCAGGCAATTTCCTTTGTTGTGATTAAATCAAATATGTCAAAGGCAGCCATTCGATCTTACTATCTCATTTTTCTTTCAAAAGGCCTAGAATCTCCTAAAATCCTAAAAGCTAAACCCAAAACCATAGCTGAAACTTTCTAACACCTTATGTTTCCTCCAGCTGTACAGAACTAGTTGAGAGGGAAGGAATGCTGACCTTCTGGGGCAGGCTGAGGAGTCTTCCAGTATGCAAACCCTTGCTGTTTGGTAGGTTTCTGGTTTCCCAAGATGAAATACCAGAATGACACCTTGATAATTCCTCTTCTACACCCCCTTCTCTTCATCAGAGTGAGCCTTGTTTGAGCAGTTATGACTAAGAGGCGCAAAAAGCATCAGTGAGTGGTGAGCAGGCTGGAGACAAGGCTGGCTGACAGCCCAAAGTGAGGCTCAGGGCAGGATAGGATGCAAAACTGCAGTCCTCCAGCTTCCCTGGATGAAGAGAGCAGGACAGAGGACATAGAGACAGCCTGTGGGTTTGCACTTCCAGGCAACCTGGGCTCTCCCTGCCCCAACTCCCCACTGAGCTCACTCAGCATGGCCTCTTACTCCTTGCAGATAAGCGACCTTACTGCAAACAAACCGGGTTAGAGGGGAGTTCTGGCGCTTCCCTCAAACTTCTGTGTTCTTGTTACAGATAGGCAGGCATGAGCGGGGCAGGTGAGGGCTCTTCCCACCTACCAGGAATGTCAGGTGATCACCAGGTGCCCATTCAACAGTTAACATATTGCCTCTCTAAAAACGATCATTTAGCAGCCAGCGCCAAGGAGAGACAATCTCCTGAGGGTCCACAGCTGCCACATTAAAGTGTTAATTAAATGCAGATGCCAGAGAGGGGCAACTTCCTGGGCATACACATCAGGAGACAAAATGGCAGAGTATGACCTTCTGGGGGCACTCCACAGGAAAAAGAAAGCCACAGATGGGCATGCGTACAACTTCCTAAACACACTGCTCATGCTCACCTCCCAAGCTTAAGAAGGGCACTGTGCATGCAGGCAGCCCACCCTAAGGGATGAATCATGGAGAAGGGAGGGGTGCAAGACGCCAGAAGTGGGTCAGCCTATAAAGTCCTAGGATTACGGTTAAACACTGCACTTGGCTGGGCACGGTGGCTCACGCCTGTAATCCCAGCACTTTGGGAGGCCGAGGCGGGCGGATCACAAGGTTAGGAGATCGAGACCATCCTGGCTAACACAGTGAAACCCCATCTCTACTAAAAATACAAAAAATTAGCCGGGCGTGGTTGCAGGTGCCTATAGTCCCAGCTACTCAGGAGGCTGAGGCAGGAGAATGGCGTGAACCCAGGAGGCGGAGCTTGCAGTGAACCGAGATCGCGCCATTGCACTCCAGCCTGGGGGACAGAGCGAGACTCCGTCTCAAAAAAACAAAAAAACAAAAACAAAAACAAAAAACACTGCACTTGACCTTCACATTGCCCTCTTGGGTCTCTTCCAAATGTACTTTTCTTTCTTTCCTGCTCTAAAGCTTTTTAATAACTTTCACTCCTGCTCAGAAACTTGCCTCAGTCTCTTTTTCTGCCTTATGCCCCTCAGTGGAATTATTTTTTTCTGAGCAGGCAAGAATTGAGGTTGCTGCAGATCTGTATGGATTTGCCACTTGTAAATCAAATACCTTCTACCCCTAACATTCTTTTTTCCAAAAATGAATTTAAAATATCCTACACAGAGCCATTCAACCAGAGGAAGACTTGGAAGGAAAGAAGGAAGGAGGACAGTAGAAAAGGAGAGAAGAGCAGAAGGGGATGGGGGAGCAAACAGGACAGAGAAAGAGAGCAAGCAAGCTGGCTGGCACTGTTACATATTTTCCTGAGAAGACCCTAATAACCATGTGAAGCAGCTATCTGGTATAACATAATCTTTTTTATTTATTTATTTATTTTTTTTTGAGACAAGGTCTCGCCCTGTCACCCACGCTGGAGTACAGTAGTGTGATCCCAGCTCAGTGCAACCTCCGCCTCCTGGACTCAAGCTATCCTCCCACTTCAGCCTCTGGAGCAGCTGGGATTACAGGTGAGTGTGTGCCACCACGCCCCACCAATTTTTGCATTTTTTGTAGAGACAGGGTTTCACCATGTCGCTTAGGCTGGTGGCAAACTCCTAGGCTCAAGTGATCCACTGGCCTCGGCCTCCCAAAATACTGGGATTACAGACATGAGCCACTGCGCCCAGCCCAACATGATCATTTTTTAAAAGATAAGAGTGGCTGTGCGGGGCATGGTGGCTCATGCCTGTAATCCCAGCACTTTGGGAGACAAAGGCAGGTGGACCATTTGAGGCCAGGAGTTCAAGACCAGCCTAGCCAACATGGTGAAACCCCATCTCTACTAAATATATTTAATACAAAAATTAGCCGGGTGTGGTTGAGTGAGCGTGTAATCTCAGCTACTTGGGAGGTTGAGGCACAAGAATCACTTGAACCCAGGAGGCGGAGGTTGCAGTGAGCCGAGATTTCACCATAGCACTCCAGCCTAGGCGACAGAGCGAGACTCCATCTCAAAAAAAAAGAAGAAAAAAAAAGATAACAGAACAAAAACCTATTTAGAAAACTTTTGACAGCAGATCCTTAAACAGAACACCTTCTGGGCAGGTGGCTCACACCCTGTAATCCCAGCACTTTGGGAGGTGGAGGCAGGGAGATCACTTGAGGCCAGGAGTTCAAGACCATCCTGGCCAACATGGCAAAACCCCGTCTCTACTAAAAATACAAAAATTAGCCTAGTGTAGTAGTGCACACCTGTAATCCCAGCTACTCAGGAGGCTGAGGCAGGAAAATCAGTTGAACCTGGGAGGCAGAGCTTGCAATGAGCAGAGATTGGGCCACTGCACTCCAGTCTGGGCGACAGAGGGAGACTGTCTCAAAACAAAACAAAACAAAACAAAAAAAAACAACAAAAAACACCTTTTGCTCAAATCTTGGGAAATTCCTTTTCTTCCTCTACCAAAGACTCATTGAATTAGCATTCCCAAGGTTGTCTTCAATGTTATGGCCAAAACATGCCCTCTTTTCCTACCTGAAATGAAGACAGAATAACTTGTAGGCCTGATAGGGTGGGGGAAGAGATTCCTTCTCTCCCCAGAAATGGCACCAGCATTAGGTAATGAGGCTTCACTCCTACCGGACGGCTTGCTTCCCAAGGGTATAAATTGACTTGTTTCACTCACTTGCTGGGCCAAACCTTACCCCAGCCTCCTCATTTTCTGCCTCCCCATTTTCTGACTCAGCTGAAGGAAACCTGCTGACCACCAGCACCTGGGAGCTCTGCAGACACCCCCACCCCGGTGAGCCCTACCTTTTTGTCAGGAAAGAGGAAACCGTGAGAGCTCTGTGAGGAGTTAGCCACTTGTTCCTTGGTGAGTATTTTATCTTGCATGCTGTGAATACCACCAGCAGAGAGGGCAGCTATGCTGAATTGGAAAGTAGCCAAATGGCAGCGCTGCTCTGTGACCTTGTGCCAGCCACTTACCCCTCCTGAACCTCACAACCCGCAGTGTCCACCTCAGTGCTTCTGTGAGGATAGAAAAAAAATCAGAGCCTAGTCCTCAGCCTTAAAATTCAAAATTTCTTAAAGTGTTACTGTTTTCACTCCCAAGTTCAATTTATCAGTCTTATTAAGATCATCAAACGATAACCCAGCAGGAACAGTGTACAGCTTCCACAAGACAGTTCAGGCTGGCCTAGGATGGAAAGGCAGAGATGCACCTCTCTGGTACCTCCAGACATATCCGTAAAATATGGAAGCTAGATTATATATTACCTATAATTTTCCAGGAAAATCACCAAGTCACCTCATCTTTTAAAGACAGAGAGATTGGTACGAGGCTCTAAGTTGGCATCTGCTCCCCAAAATCAGAATTCATTTATCTGAAATGAAACCAAAAATGTGTGTTTTGTCAGTGAGTGAGCTTTCATTTAGTTAACTATTAACAGGAAACCTGACCAACTTTGAAAGTAAAAAAGAAGCTGAGAAGCTAAAGAAACAAGACATTGGGTTAGTGGCCAAGAATACCTATCTTGAATTACAATATAAAATACCTGTATTTATATATAAATTATATAAAACATTTCTGCCCAACATGTGTGAATAATCACTGCAAGCCATAATTGGGAGCCAAATATTTTATCTTTAGGCTGGGCGCAGTGGCTCATGCCTGTAATCCCAGCACTTTGAGAGGCCGAGGTGGGTGATCACCTGAGGTCGGGAGTTCAAGACCAGCCTGACCAACATGGAGAAACCCCGTCTCTACTAAAAATACAAAATCAGCCAGGGTAGTGGCACATGCCTGTAATCCCAGCTACTCGGGAGGCTGAGGCAGGAGAATCGCTTGAATGCGGGAGGCGGAGGTTGTAGTGAGCCGAGATCGCGCCATTGCACTCCAGCCTGGGCAACAAGAGCGAAACTCCGTCTCAAAAAAAAAAAAAAAAAATTTATCTTTGAACTTTTCAATTTGTATTTATTTATTTATTTATTTTTAGAGATAGGGTCTCACTCCACCGCCCATTGTAAATCAAAAATGAAATCCTAAGACCCCTCAACCATCTGCATGGACCCCACCAAGGGCATTCCAGAGTTAACCTTGTTTTAGGTTGTTTTAAGCAAAACTTGTTTAGGCCATGATGGGAAGTGGGGGTGGAACTTGACACATTTCATCCTCCTCCCTTTTAGAATTCAGGAAAAGCAGACCAGCATTTAACATGCTGGACACTTAACTTACCTGGAGGCTTCATCTGCATGATAAAACTTCAGTCTCCACAGCCTCTTATTGTAACCCAAACATTCCTTTCCATTGATAATAAATCTTTCAACCAAATGCCAATCAGAAAATTTTCAATCTACCTATAACCCGGAAACCCCCGACCCACCCACCTCCTCAGCTGTCATACCTTTATGGACCGAACCAATGTACATCTTAATCTTACATGTATTTGACTGATGACTCATGGCTCCCCTAAAATGCATAAAACCACACTGGGCCCCGACCACCTTGCGTACGCGTTCTCAGGGTCTCCAAATGGCTGTGTCACCAGCCATGGTCACTCATATTTGGCTCAGAATTAATCCCTTCAAATATTTTATAGAGTTTTGACTTTTTGTCAACCGCAGGCTGCGTCACAGCTCGCTGCAGCCCCAAACTCCTGCGCTGAAGCGATCCTTTCCCCCACAACTTCTCGAGTAGCAGGGACTTCAGGTGCGTGCCACTACACCTGGCTTTTTTTTTTTTTTTTTTTGGTACTTTTGTTGTTATGGTGGGGGCGGGGGACTTGCTATGTTGCCCAGGCTGGTCTCGCATCTCTGGGATCAAGCCATCCTCCCACTTCAGCGTCCCAGAGTGCTGGAATTACAGGCCTAAGCAACGGCACCCAGCCTATCTTTTAATTTTTAACTTCAAAGTTATCGTTAAAAATCTAATCCCCCCAAAATATGAAAAAAATACTTAATATGCACTGACCTGTAGTTTTTCTCTAATTCACTATCTTAAATATATTAATTGCAATCTCATCAACTGCGACTTGCATTTGAAATTTTCCACCTTAAACGGTATTTTTTGATAAGATGGATTTTTTAAAAAATCTACACCAGCAAACTAGAGTGAGAGACCCCTGCAAAGTAATACATGGGCCTTAAGTCACCGAGATTTTCCAGCAAATAATTTGCAGAATGCTGTTTTTCCTAGGTTAACTTGCAATCCTAACACGGAAGGAGGTTCCGTTTTTAGAAGTTTAAATGTTGTCACACGGGCGCAAGAATACATACAACAGCCATGCTTTCCAGCTCTGCGCACAACGCCAGGCAGATGGGGAGCACCGGGCGGTGCGGGAGCCCTTTCACCAGGGCAGGGTGGCTTCGGTGGCCGAGGGACCCGGGAACTGCAGCCGGAGCCGGCGCGCACCCAGCCAACTTCCTGTTTCCGCGGTAGCGCGCGGGCCTGTCACTGAAGCCCCGCCCCGGCGACCTCAGGCGGGCGGGGAAGACCGAGTCTTCCCGGAGCCGCTTCGTCCGCCCGGCGCCGGAGTCCCACGGCCGGTTTGCGGAAGCGGGTCGTCTGAAGGGGCCCGGCGGGTGGCTCCCGGGTCTCCGCGGCCTGTGATCCCCAGAGCGGACAACCGCAGCTGGGGCTCCGTGCGCAACTCGGAGTAAAGGCCGGAACCTACGCTCGGCGGCCGCGTCCCGGCCCCTAGCGCCCTCCGCGAAGTGCCTGGCAGGCTCGGCAGTCTGAGTGTCGCGTTACAGAGTCCCCTGGGCAGTCACCGCTGAAGGGCGGGGGACGCGGGAAAGGCATTTTGGGGACACAGGAGAGCTGCGAGGGCGAAGCACGGGCGAGCTGTCGTTAGGGCCCAGGAAAGGCCCGTTGCGGGGCGCACAGGCGGGCAGGGGAACTCGCGCCCCGCGCCGCGCGCCCGGCCTCCTGACGCCAGGGCCGGCTTCTGAGCACAGCCACCGCGGCGGCCGGGGGCGGCCACTGCTCCCCGCGAGCCCGCTTCCGCGCCCCAGAAGCCCCCAGAGCCCGCGTCCGAGCTCCAGGCCTTGGAGGAGCCAGGCGGGCAGCTGACAGCCCCGGAGCCGCTCCCGGGTTCCGCGCGCGGTGGCAGCCAGGCCGTGCCTCCCCGTTCCCCTCCCGCGCCGCGCTGCCCCTCCGGGACCCACCAGGCCTGGCTGCGCCTCTTTCCTCTCCTCCCCCGGAGCCTTGGAAAGTGCCCTCCAGAGATGTGCTTAGGAAGTGTGTGATGAATAAAGGAGACAATCAGGATAACTATAATATTTATTATGCACTTGCTTTTTTCTCACTGATGTTACTAATTTTAATGGTGTAGCGCGGCGCGTTCCAGTTTTCTAAGTGCTCTCACATCCGTTCAAAAAATCCTCAAAATAAGCCTGTATATTAAAAGCAGGAGCCATTATTTCATATTTCAAGAAGTAAACATGCTCAGAGTAATAATCCACATAGAGCCTTCCAACCAGTCAATTCTGGTACATTTTCACAAATCTATGAGTGTGGTTAATACACGGAGATGTGGTTTGAGGAATTATATAGGACACAGCCAGCAAAATGCCTGGTATACAATAAGTATGCGGTAAATGGTTATTATTATTAAGAATATTGTAATATCTTCAGATATGATCAGGTGAACAACTTTGACATAATCGAAACTGGGACAGCCTGATTCCATAAACACACTAATATGGCACCGTGGATTGTTTGCAGCCTCACCTCTAAAGTATTCTCTCTGACTAACAAAGAAAGGGAAACTAGAACCAGTTAAGCTTATAACACTAATCACAGGCTAAAGGAAATACAGGGGCCAAATGAACCCATTAGATTACACCACCAGGAAGTAATCTGCCAAATCCAGAATGTGGGAAATTCTACAAACCAAATGACCCAATTTCTTTTTTCAAAAATAAATGTTCAGAGGCTGAAGTGGGAGGATTGCTTAAGGCCAGAGTTCAAGGCTGTAGTGAGCTATGATCACAGCTGTGAATAGCCACTGCACTCCAGGCTGGGCAACACAGCTAGACCCCCCATGTCTTTAAAAAAAAGAGGGTGGGGGGACCTTGAGAGACACATTAGCCAAATGCAATTTGTGGACCTTGTTTGGGTCATGATTAAGACAAACAAACTTTTACATAAATAAATGGCATTTTTAAAAACATTGGCGGCCAGGCGCGGTGGTTCTTGCCTGTAATGCCAGCACTTTGGGAGGCCGAGGCGGGCAGATCAGGAGGTCAGGAGATCAAGACCATCCTGGCTAACACGGTGAAACCCCGTCTCTACTAAAAAAAAAAAAAAAAAAAAAAAAATTAGCCGGGTGTAGTGGCAGGTGCCTGTAGTCCCAGCTACTCGGGAGGTTGAGGCAGGAGAATGGTGTGAACCCGGGAGGCAGAGCTTGCAGTGAGCCCAGATCACGCCACTGCACTCCAGCCTGGGCGACAGAGTGAGACTCCATCTCAAAAAAAAAAAAAAAAATTGGGAAACTTAAACATGGACTGAATGTTAGGTGACATTAAATAACTTCAGGTAATTTTATTACGATAATACCATAGTGGCTATGATTTTTAAAGGCCTCAGAGAAACATATTAACATATTTACAGGCAAATTATATTATTTCTGGGATTTGCTTTAATAAAATTTAATAACAAATTCCTGGAGTTTTTTAGAGAACAAAGTGAGAGATAGGAGAAACAATATTGGCAAAGTGTTTAATGTTTAAGCAAGGAGATGGGTACATGGGCATTGTGCTAGGCCTAATTATGCCCCCCAAACATGCCCACATTCTAATCTTCAAACCTGTGAACAAGTTACCTGACATGGCAAAAGGGGCTTTGCAAGTATGCGATGAAGAACCTTGAGATGGGAGATGATCCTGGATTATCCCAGTGAGCCCAGTCTCATTGGGTCCTTCCGAGAACCTTTACCTGCAAATGAGAATTGGAAAGAGACGTAACACTGGAAGGAAGTTCAGAGAGATTCAACCTGACAAGGATGTGGCCGCTGGTGCTGACTCCGGAGATGGAGGAAGGGGCCACAAGCCCAGGAATGCCACAGGTGGCCTCTCAAGGTGGAAAAGGCAAGGAATGAATGATCCTGCAGATGCTCAGGTGTCCTGCCATCACCTGAGTTTTAGCCCAGTGAGCCCCGTGTGGGCTCCTGACCTACAGGACTTGTACGGTAGTAAATTTGGGTTGTTTTAGGTCACCAAAGTGGTAGTAATTTGTTACAGCAGCCATAGAAAACTAATACAAGCATTTGCTATATTTCTCTCTATGTTTTTGTAAGTTTAAGATTTTTTTCTGCTGGGTGCGGTGGCTTACGCCTGTAATCCCAGCACTTTGGGAGGCCAAGGAGGGCAGATCACAATGTCAGGAGTTCGAGATCAGCCTGGCCAATATGGTGAAACCACGGCTCTACTAAAAATACAGAAATTAGCCAGGAGCGGTGGCATGCGTCTGTATTCCCGGCTACTCGGGAGGCTGAGGCAGGAGAATCACTTGAACCCAGGAGGTGGAGGTTGCAGTGAGCCGAGATCGTGCCACTGCACTCCAGCCTGGGTGACGGAGTGAGATTCTGTCTAAAAAAAAAAAAAATTGTAATAAAATATTTATTAAGTCCATAAAACATAAACCTAAGAAATACATTTTTAAGGTAATTCATTTACACCTGAAGTGTAATCTGACCAACCATAGAATTATACCATGCATTTTAATTTCCAAAAGAATTATATGTCATAAATCCCTTTTTAAAAAGCATTGTTGAGTATGGTTAGTAAAATAATGTTAATTTTCAAAGTCACAGATATAATAAAGCATCACGGATATAATAAAGCATGGCATGACCTATTCCTGACTTTATTTATTTATTTATTTTTGAGACAGAGTCTTACTTTGTCACCCAGACTAGAGTGCAGTGGCTCATCTTGGCTCACTGCAACCTCTGCTTCCCGGGTTCAAGCCATGCTCCTGCCTCAGCTTCCTGAGTGGCCGGGATTACAGGCACCCGCCACCGCACCCAGCTAATTTTTGCATTTTTAATAGAGACAGGGTTTTGCCATGTTGGCCAGGCTGGTCTCGAACTCCTAACCTCAAGTGATCCGCCCACCTCGGCCTCCCAAAGTGCTGGGATTACAGGTCTGAGCCACCGCGCCTGGCCCCATTCCTAACTTTAGAATTAGTTTATCTATACCGATTGTTATCAAAATCTGCATATTGACATGACTTTTAAGATGCTGACATTTATAAAGGTAATTTTCCTTCTAGCATATATTAATTTCAGGAAACAGATAACACAATTAATAAAATATATAAAACAGAATCGTTAAAGAAAATAATCTTCCCAAATATGTAAAAGTAGAATAGTTTAAAAAACAGTACCGAATATTTTAATGTAATTTCTAATTTTCAATTAATGAATATTAGGCATTTTCTATTATATGGATAAATTACCCACATTTTGTCAAATTTGCTAAAACAGTCCGGGCGCGGTGGTGCACACCTGTAATCCTAGCACTTTGGGAGGCCAAGGCGGGCAGATCACTGGAGGTCAGGAGTTTGAGGCCAGCCTGGCCAACATGGTGAAACCCCATCTCTACAAAGAATACAAAAAAATTAGCCAGGCGTAGTGGTGGGCGCCTGTAATCCTAGCTGCTCCGGAGCCAGAGGAAGAGGCAGGAGAATCACTTGAACTCTGGAGGCAGAGGTTGCAGTGAGCTGATATCGCGCCATTGCACTCCAGCCTGGGCAACAAGAGTGAAATTCCGTCTCAAAAAAAAAAATTGCTAAAACAGATAACATTTATTAAAGTCCATAGTTTTAACTAATTTTATTAGTTGACTTTTAATGCCATTAACCAATTTTTTTTTTTTTGAGACCAAATCTGGTTCTGTCTCCCAGGCTGGAATGCAGTGGCATGATCTCAGCTCACTGCAACCTCCACCTCCTGGGTTTAAGGGATTCTCATGCCTCAGCATCCGGGGTAGCTGGGATTACAAGTGTGTGTCACCATACCTGGCTTTTTTTTTTTTTTTTTTTTTTAGAGACAGGGTTTACCCATGTTGGCAAGGCTGTTCACAAACTCCTGACCTCAAGTGATCTGTCTGCCTCAGCCTCGTAAAGTGCTAGGATTACAGGCTTGAGCCACCACACCCGGCCTACTTGGGGTATTTGGTTTTGTTTCTTGAGACAAGGTTTCATTGTGTTCCCGGGGTGGCCTCAAACTCCGAGGTTTAAGTGATCCTCCCATCTTAGCCTCCTAAGTAACTGGGACCAGAGGTGTTCCCCAATGTGCCGGGCTAACTGGTTTTAATTCTACAGAGCACTCTTTAAATCACTGTTTCCTCTCTAAACATCTTCAGTTTCATATTGTACTTCACTGTCTTGTAAACTACTTTTCTGTGGGAGCAGCTACAGTGAATAACATTGTGGTATACATAGTGGTATACATGGTTGTGATATACATTGTTGTGTTGTGGTAACATTGTGGTATCTTTGCCGCCTTGTATTTAAAAAATCCTGGCTTACACTAAGGGAGCCTTGGAAACTCCCAATACTTTGGGAGGCCGAGGTAGATGGGTCACCTAAGGTCAGGAGCTCAAAACCCAACATGGCAAAACACCATCACTGCTTAAAAAAAGTAATAAAAAATTAGCCCAGTGTAATGACACACACCTGTAGTCTCAGCTCTCCTGGAAGCTGAGGCAGGAGAATCGCTTGAACCCAGGAGGTGGAGGTTACAGTGAGCCGAGATAGCGCCACTGCACTCCAGCCTGAGCAACAGAGGAAGACTCTGTCGTAAGAAAACAAAAAACAGGTGGGGCCTGGCTCCTCACCCACCCGTCAGCTCCAGGACTGCCCCTTCCTGGGCCAACTGGCCAAACAACTGGGAAGAGCCCCCAACTCCAACAGGATTATTTTCCCAGCAGGAGTTACAGATGCAGCCACAGATTGATGATCTGCCTTAACATGATCGGAGATGCTTTGTAATCTACTGTCCAGCTGAAAGCGCTCATGTTATGAGGAAGAAACTACAAATGATGTTCAAATCTATTTTAAACTATTTTGGGCCATTTTTATGTACCTTTGGGTTCAGGCATTATTTGGGGGTTTTTGTTTCCAAAGTAACTAAATAAAGTCATATTGCTTATTAAAAAGAAAACAAAAAACAACAAGAAAACTATATTCATTATCTTGCAGCTCCCACTGGTCAGGAGTCTGGGGCTTGGTTTAGCGGGTCCAGCTGCAATCCAGCTGCTCACCAGGATGTGGCATTGGCATCTGCATCTTCTGAGTCGTCTTCCACCTCTCTGGCTTTGGGATGAATTCAGTTCCTTGTGGTCATAGGTTTAGGCCCTCAGCTCCCAGAGCCACCTACCAATCTCAGCCCAGTGACCCTCTCCCAGCACAGGCGGTTGCTTCTTTAAGGCCAACAGGAGAAAGTGTCTGCTGCTGCCTCATCTTTCTCCAACTTCCATCCCTGACATCTGGACCCTGTTAACAGATGCAGGTGATTAGATCAGACTCACCCAAGATCATCTCTCTTTTGAATGGCTTAATACCAACTCATTAGGGGCCTTCATTACATCTGTGATATCCCTTCACTTTTTGCCAGCTTAGGCTATAGAGTGAGACACTGTGTCAAAAAAAAAAGAATTCTTTTATTTATAAAATTGTTTATTAGAAGTTTCCTTTTGATAGTGAGCTCTCCTTCTGCTTTTATTTTATTTTTTGAGACTGAGTCTCCCTCCGTCACCCAGGCTGGGGTGCAGTAGCCCAATCTCAGCTCACTGCAACGTCTGCCTCCTGGGTTCAAGCAATTCTCCTGCCTCAGTCTCCCGAGTACCTGGGACTACAGGCATGTGCCACCATGCCTGGCAAATTTTTGTATTTTTTAGTAGAGACGGGGTTTTGCCATGTTGGCCAGACTGGCCCACGAATTCCTGACCTCAGGTGATCCTCCCACCTCGGCCTCCCAAAGTACTGGGATTACAGGCATGAGCCACCATGCCCAGCTGCAATATTTTTCTTAAGATAAATGTTTTCTGGCCAGGCCCTGTGGCTCACGCCTGTAATCCCAACACTTTGGGAGGCTGAGGCAGGTGGATCACTTGAGGTCAGCAGTTCTAGACCACACTGGCCAACATGGTGAAACCCCATCTCTACTAAAAATATTAGCTGGGCGTGGTGGCACATGCCTGTAATCCCAGCTACTCGGGAGGCTGATGGAGGAGAATCACGTGAACCTGGGAGGCGGAGGTTGCAGTGAGCCGAGATCGCGCCATTGCACTCTAGCATGGGCGACAGAGCAAGACTCCATCTCAAAAAAAAAAAAAAAAAAAAAAGATAAATGTTTTCTGTATTTTCTGTATCCTGTTTGTTTGTTTGTTTGTTTTGAGACAGAGTCTTGCTCTGTCACCCAGGCTGGAGTGCAGTGGCGCAATCTCAGCTCACTGCAACCTCTGCCTCCCAGGTTCAAGTGATTATCCTGCCTCAGCCTCCCAAGTAACTGGTACTACAGTCGTGCACCACCATGCTAATTTCTGTATTTTTAGGAGACATGGGGTTTCACCATGTTGGCCAGGCTGGTCTTGAACCCCTGACCTCAGGTGATCCACCCACCTCGGCCTCCAAAAGTACTGGGATTACAGGCGTGAGCCACCAAGCCTGGCCTTCTGACCCTGTTTTAGATTATGATGCCTGAGGTTTAAAGTATAAACTACTCCAGGCTGGGCGTGGTGGCTTACACCTGTAATCCCAGCACTTTGGGAGGCCAAGGCGGGTGAATCATGAGGTCAGGAGTTTGAGACCAGCCTGGCCAACATGGTGAAACCCCCATCTCTATTAAAAATACAAAAAATTAGTTGGGCATGTTGGCGGGAGCCTATAATCCCAGCTACTCGGGAGGCTGAGGCAAGAGAATCGCTTGAACTCGGGAGGCAGAGGTTGCAGTGAGCCGAGATCACACCACTGCACTCCAACCCGAGTGATAGTGTGAGACTCCATCTCAAAAAAAAAAAAAAAAAAAGTATTACCTATTCCATCTATTTTCTTTCCCTTTGAGTAGTGCTTGCACTGTGATCTTACAGATCACAGAAGGCTGGCCACAGTGACTCACACCTGTAATCCCAGCACTTTGGGAGGCTGAGGTGGGAGGATCCTTTAAGCCCAGGAGTTCAAGACCAGCCTGGAAAACATGGAAAAAAACCTGTCTCTACAAAAAATACAAAAAAAAAAAAAAAAATTAGCCGGGGTTTGTGGCATGCTCCTGTAGTCCAGCTACCTGAGAGGCTGAGGTGGGAGGATTGCTTGAGCCCAGGAGGTCAAGGCTTCAGTGAGCTGAGATCTTGCCACTGCACTACAGCCTGGGCAACAGAGTGAGACCCTGTCTCAAATAAATAAATAAATTACAGAGAACTATGGGGGATGGGATGGTTATCACATGATACATTATAGTCAATCTGCACTGAGATGTTAAATGATTGATACATTTTATATCATTATAATTTACAAATTATCTTCCTACCTCCTGTGTCTAATACAATCCCAGACAGATTTGAAGCTCTTTGAGGGAAGGGCCAAGCTTCATACTTATTTATAACCACGATAGCATTTAGTAGAATCCAACACATCACTGATTCCCAATCAAAATGTATGGAATGAGTGGAAAACAGTAAGATGTGCTACGTGGTTGTCAGAGATTCTGGTTTAGGGAGCCTTGATTTAGTTACTTTTCAGGGTAATTCCTTTTAAGCAGCTTGGTTATTAGAACTTCCTTGGGAGAGTTACTGTGTTTATTTTGCGCTCATGTGCTTAGTTCAAGACAGAGTCCATAGTTCAAATCATTGAAAATGACCCATTAAAATTTTCCTTTTTTTTTTCTAATAAACATGGAAGAAGAGCCATTTATCTATTAGGTGCTATGGATCGAGCAACTGAATGGCAAAAGTAAAAATCCCTAAACAAGGTTTAGAACAAAACTAGTTGACAAGGTATCCCCACAAACCCCAAATGTAAGAGGCGTGAGGAGGAACCACAGACAGCTGCAAGACCTGAGTGAAGTCAGCAAATGCACAGATAAAAACAAGGGCATGACAAAGCATGTGGTGGACATGAAGAGAGGAGAATCCAAAAATAGCATCAGGTTCCCCCAGGAAAGTGTGGCAAGAACAGCGGCTGAAAACAGGAAGGATTTCGCCCCATGCAGTAGTGAGTGAGTGCAAGGGGCCCATGGTGAGACCTGAAAGCCTAGAGCAATCCTTCCTTCCGGGATTAAGACCCCTCACAGAGGGGAGACTCTTAAGATGGAATGAGAATTTTGCATGATGTAGACTAGAGAAATGTAAGAAAGAGAAAGTGCAGAAAAAGGTGAGAAAAGGGAAATTTCCTAAGGCAAGCTTCCCTATTTTAGCACACTAATTAAAACAACAGAAAAGTTTGTGAGGTGCTATGGTCTGATGTTTGTGTTCACTCCTCCCGATTCACGTGTGGATATCTCATCACCAATGTGATGGTATTAGGAAGAAGGGCTTTTGGGAGGTGATTATGTGATGGTGGTGGAGCCCTTACAAATGGGATTAGTGCCCTTATGAAAGAGGCCCCAGAGAGCTCCCTAACCTTTCTACCACCGCCACCTGAGGACACAGCAGGACGGCACTGTGTGGACCAGGAAGCAGGACCTCACGAGACACTGAATCTACCAATGTCTGTATTTGTCAAGTCCAGTCTTGATCTTGGACTCCCCAGCCTCCAGAACTGTGAAAAATATATTTCTGTGGTGTATAAGCCACCCGGTTTATGGCATTTTGTTAAAGGAGCCCAAAAGAACTAAGACACTAGGTGAAGTTGCAAAAGCTCTCCGGAACTCTGCCTCCTTCTAGGTGTTAAGGAGAAGTAACCTGCCTAAGGAGGAGCACTTGAGAAGAAATGACATCAAAGATGTACAAAGTT
Source organism: Homo sapiens (assembly GCF_000001405.40). NCBI lineage: Eukaryota > Metazoa > Chordata > Mammalia > Primates > Hominidae > Homo > Homo sapiens. The sequence continues at coordinate 11,917,883 of NC_000018.10, forward strand.
ATCATCAGAAAAACAATGAAGGCCAGGTGCGGTGGCTCACGCCTGTAATCCCAGCAATCTCATCTCTACAAAAAATAAAAAATCAAAAATCAGCCAGGTATGGTGGCATGTGCCTGTAGTTCCAGCTACTCAGGAGGCTGAGGTGGGAGGATACTTTGAGCCTGGGAGGTTGAGGGTGCTATGAGCTATGATTGCGCCACTGCACTTCCAGCCTGGGCAACAGAGCGAGACCGAAAGAAAGAGAAAGAGAGAAAGAGAGAGAGAAAGAGAGAGAGAGAGAGGAAGGGAGGAAGGGAAGAGGGGAGGAAGGGAGGAAGAAGACATTTGCACACACAATGAAAGCATACCACAGAGACATGACCACGAAACAGATAAAAGCTGTAGCCTACAGTTTCAGAACAAGCTCAAGACCTGAAGGGAGTAAATAGAACATATGAAGTAATAACATAAATCTAAGTTAGGAAAACTTAGAAATTAAGTAACACTTCAGAAAATAATTAAAAATAAAAGGAAAAAAGTAGGCCGGGCACGGTGGCTCACGCCTGTAATCCCAGCACTTTGGGAGGCTGAGGCGGGTGGATCACGAGGTCAGGAGATCGAGCCCATCCTGGCTAACACGGTGAAAACCCGCCTCTACTAAAATTACAAAAAATTAGTAGGGCGCAGTGGTGGGCGCCTGTAGTCCCAGCTACTCTGGAGGCTGAGGCAGGAGAATCGCGTGAACCCAGGAGGCGGAGCTTGCAGTGAGCCGAGATTACGCCACTGCACTCCAGCCTGGGTGACAGAGCAAGACTCCCTCTCAAAAAAATAAATAAATAAAAAATAAAAAAAATAAAAGGAAAAAAGTAAGAAATATAAACGAAATAGCAGTACCTACTTCACAATATTGCTGTAAGAATTAAACACTTTACTACATATAAACTGTTGGACGTGTACCTGCCACATAGTTAGTGCTCAGTAAGGATTACCTGTTATTCTGATTATGTTGTCCAACCACAGACAGGACCATAGGCTGGGTGGGTGTCCTGTGTGCCAACAGTGGCGGGGGGCCTGTCTTGTCTGCGTGTGTCTCCTCCATCCGCAGGTGGCGTGTGACCTCCTGCAGCAGTAGGGTTTGGGGAGCGGGTGAGCTATGGCAGTGAAGACTTGAGATGACCACTCCACCACTCTTTGTCACAGCATACTAACTACTGTGGCCCTGGCCTCTCCACCCCACCAGTCACTTGACTTTTAGCAAATGTCAAGCACAAATGTCCCCCAACACCTAGACTCAACACACACCCCACAGTGGGCACATCCTATATATACATATATGACTTACATGTGCTAAATGTTACACAAAACAATAAAAATTCCACACATTTTGCCCAACTCACAATGTAGAAACACAATCCCTACTTCATTATTTTTACTTAAATTTGACATTTGTATGACTATCTTAGAAGTCCTGTGAATTTTCTTTTTTCTTTCTCTCCTTTTTTTTTTTTTTTTTTTTTGGCAGAGTTGGGATCTTGCTATGTTGTCCAGGCTGGTCTCAAACTCCTGGCATCAAGCAATCCTCCTGCCTCAGCCTCCCAAATTCCTAGGATTGCAGTTATGAGCCATTGCACCTAGCCCAAGTCCTGTGAATTTTAATGCATGTTCTTTTTTTTTTTTCTGCCAGCAGCAGAAAAAGAATGACTTGTGTTTCTTTTTCTCACCAGTGTTTCTGTGACTCTATATCAATATCCTAGCCAGGGACCTGCTGCCAGGACTTCTCCCCGGGCTCTAGGCAAGAGCAGAGGAATGATTCAGTTCTCACCCAGCCAGAAGAGTAGCATTTCCATGTACTATAGAGGGAAGGCGTGTAGTACAGAAAGAGAGAAGATAGAACTACTCATCACACCAGGGTGTGCCCTACAGGCTTGAGATGGACAGAATCTAAGAAGGGCTGACCTGTTTCAGGATTTTTGTTTGTCTGTTTTTTGAGATGGAGTCTCACTCTGTCTCCCAGGCTGGAGTGCAATGGCGCAATCTTGTCTCACCGCAACCTCCGCCTCCCAGGTTCAAGCGATTCTCCTGCCTCAGCCAACTGAGTAGCTGGGATTGCAGGCATGTGCCACCATGCCCAGTCAATTTTTGTATTTTTAGTAGAGATGGGGTTTCATCATGTTGGCCAGGCTGGTCTCGAACTCCCGACATCAGGTGATCCACCTGCCTCAGCCTCCCAAAGTGCTAGGATTACAGGTGTGAGCCACCGCAGCCGGCCTGTTTCAGGATTTAAGGTCAACTAGGAAATACTTTAACTTCCCAAATTAAAAAACAAAAAAGAAGCTGCTCTTCCTCCCAGCTGCCACAGAACAGGCCACCACACTGTAATATGTCAATCCTGCCAAGATATACTATCTTTTTACAAATTGTCAGCCTCAGTTCTGGCAGGTAGAGAGTCCCCTCTTCGAATCCTGCCTGTGCCATGTCTCATCTGAGGGCTAGTCTGCCTAGCTGCCTGCAGATTTGCACCACCCCATCTGAGATGATCCGCCCTGCTCTGAGATGAATCGTGAGATCACAAAGACAGTGATGCTGTAAGTAAGCCAGGCACTGTGCTTACTCCTGTGTGAGCAGCGTGTACATCCTATGCGGGGGTCCCTGGCTTCCAGTTCCTTTGTCACTCACGGAAGATCATACCATTAATACATTCTGGAAATGACAAAAAGAATAAATTTCTAAATAAGAAAACATAAGTGCCCACAATTCACTAAGGATTTTGCAGATTTCCCAATTATTATACATCCACACCACCAGAAATACGCCCATCAAATAATAAAACCCAAAATTATATTCCTCAGTATGCTGGGTCAATCACTGCCATCCTAAGAATTCCATACATCCAGACCAGCCTGGGCAACAAAGTGAGACCCCATCTCTACAAAAAAAAATTGTTTTAATTAGCCAGGTGTGGTGGAGTGCTCCTGTAACCCTAGCTACTTGAGAGGCTGAGGTGGGGGGGTTGCTTGAGCCCCGGAGGGTGAGGCTACAGTGAGCTGAGATGCTGAGATTGCATTACTGCACTACAGCTGGGGCGACAGAGTGAGACCCTGTCTCAAAAAAAAAAAGAAAAAGAAAGAAAATAAATGTTAGTGGACAACTTAGAATGGGTGGGGCAGTACATAGTTTTTCAGCATTCCTTTAGTGTTATATAAAAGAAAAATTTGAAAATTACTGAGCTAGATGACAGGAGACATTCTCCAAACCCAAAATGAGAAAGTTGAGCGCCCTTGATCTTTTAATGTAGACGGGTTCTAATTTCTTCTTTTTTTTGTTTTTCTTGAGACAGAGTCTCGCTCTGTCACCCAGGCTGGAGTGCAGTGGTGCGATCTCGGCTCACTGCAAGCTCCGCCTCCCAGGTTCACGCCGTTCTCCTGCCTCAGCCTCCTGAGTAGCTGGGACTATAGGCGCCGCCATCACGCCCAGCTAATTTTTGTATTTTTAGTAGAGACGGGGTTTCACTGTGTTAGCCAAGATGGTCTTGATTTCCTGACCTCGTGATCCACCCTCCTCAGCCTCCCAAAGTGCTGGGATTACAGGCATGAGCCACCGCGCCTGGCCGACAGGTTCTAATTTTATTCATACAAATTCAGCTTGTATAAGCTATACAATTATTAGGGAACAACATATAAGGGAGTATTTTATTCTCAATCTTAGTTGAATCAGATTTGGGAAGATATTTACACAGACCAAGTAAAAACCATTACACACTATGCAAACTACAAAACACATGTCACAAAATTAGCAGGGCGTGGTGGCACATGCCCTGTAATTCCAGCTACTCGGGAGGCTGAGGCAGGAGAATCGCTTGAACCTGGGAGGTGAAGGTTGCAGTGAGCCGAGATCACGCCACTCCACTCCAACCTGGGCAACAGAATGAGACTCCATCTCAAAAAAAAAAAGAAAAGAAAAAGAAAAAAAACCCCACACATATCATGTAACTTCACTGGAAGAAAAGTTACATTCTCAGCTCTGTCTTTTTCACAATGAATCAGCAGGCAGTTATTAAGCATTTTCTATGTGCTAACATTGTGTTAGCTTGTACTGGGGAATACAAAATACAATCATTTCTCATGGTAGTTTTGTTCTGAAAGTTGCTGCAAACACTGAATTAGCAAATACTAAAACCTTTGACCCTGGAGGAATTATAGGGTTAGGTTCCTGCAAGCCTCTGACCATGACGTTTTCATCAACCAATCAATGCATAACCTTGGGTTTCTGTTTTGTTTTGAGACGGAGTCTTGCTCTGTTACCCAGGCTGGAGTGTAGTGGTGCGATCTTGGCTCACTGCAACCTCCACCTCCCGGGTTCAAGTGATTCTCCTGCCTCAGCCTCCCAAGTAGCTGGGACTACAGGCGCCCACCACCATGCCCGGCTAATTTTTGTATTTTTAGTAGAGACAGAGTCTCACCATGTTGGCCAGGCTGGTCGCAAACTCCTGACCCCAGGTGATCTGCCCGCCTCAGCCTCCCAAAGTACTGGGATTACAGGTGTGAGCCACCACGCCCAGCCCATAACCTTGTTTTATTTGTGTTTCTGTTTAAAGACATCTTTTTTTTTTTTTTTTTTTTTTTTTTGAGGTGGAGTCTCGCTCTGTCTCTCAGGCTGGAGTGCAGTGGTGCGATCTCGGCTCACTGCAAGCTCCGCCTCCCGGGTTCCCGCCACTCTCCTGCCTCAGCCTCCCGAGTAGCTGGGACTAAAGGTGCCTGCCACCACGCCTGGCTAGTTTTTTGTATTTTTAGTAGAGATGGGGTTTCACCGTGTTAGCCAGGATGGTCTCGATCTCCTGACCTCGTGATCCGCTCGCCTTGGCCTCCCAGAGTGCTGGGATTACAGGCGTAAGCCACTGCTCCCGGCCTAAAGACATCTTATATTTACATTAATAACAGCCAACAGCCCTAAAACTCATGCCTAAACCAAGCTTATCTAACACACATATTTTCTCTGTAAGGCACATCACAGCCTTCTTGCTCTTAGGAACACTAGCCAGCACGAAGACACTGTGCTTGGGGCCTTTTCAACAGCAAAATCAACAGGAAGCACAAAAATGTGGCAAAATGACACTAACTAGACCATGCTAAGGAAGCTTGTTCACAGCGTTAGCCGAAACAAGAAGGCCGAGCATCGCCTTGTTCCACCTCAGCTGGGAACGTGCATTTGGGCAACTCAAATCTTGTGTCACTCATGCATGCCTGTGAATTACCTCAAAAGCACTGTGAGTATTGACTTTGGGGTTACATGTGAATTTTGGCGAGTAGGCAGATTTGTCAAGTCCAAATTTATGAATCATGAGAGTCAACTGTAAATGCATGCTTAAGAAGCATTACTCTAGCAGGAAAGCAAGACACAAAATACAGTCATGCATCAAATAACGATTTGGTCAATGATGGATTGCACATACAAACAAGCAGTCCCATAAGATTATAATGGAAATGAAAAATCCCTATTGTCTAGTGATGTCAGTGCCATAGTAAAGTTGTATAGCAACGCATTGCTCATGTGTTTGTGGCGGTGCTGGTATAAACACACCTGCTTCACGGCCAGTCATGTAAAAGTCCAGTACATGCAATTATGTGCGGTACATCATACTTGATAATGACAGCGAATGACTTTCGCTGGTTTATGTATTTACCATGCTATTTTCCTTATCATTACATTAGAGTATATACTCATTCTGCTTATAAACAAAAGTGAACAGCCTCAGACAGGTTCCTGCAGGAGGTGCTTCAGAAAGCATTGTTATCTTGTTGTCACAGGAGGTGACAGCTCCATGTGTGTTACTGTCCCTGAAGACCCTATAGTGAGACAAGATGTGGAGATGAAAATCAGTGATATTGATGATCCTGAGCCTGTGTAGGCCTAGGCTAAGGTAGATGTTTGTGTCTTATTTTTAAATAAAACATCTGAAAGGTAAAAAGAAAAAAAAATTTAAATAGAAAAAAAAGCTTATAGAATAAGAATATAAAGAAGTTATATATATATATATATATATATTTATTTATTTATTTATTTATTTATTTATTTATTTATTTTTTGAGACAGAGTCTTGCTCAGTCACCCAGGCTGGAGTGCAGTGGCGCAATCTCCACTCACTACAAGCTCCACCTCCTGAGTTTGTGCCATTCTCCTGCCTCAGCCTCCCGAGTAGCTGGGACCACAAGTACCCGCCACCACGCCCAGCTAATTGTTTTGTTTTGTTTTTTTTTGTATTTTTAGTAGAGACGGGGTTTCACCGTGTTAGCCAGGATGCTCTCGATCTCCCAACCTTGTGATCTGCCCGCCTAGGCCTCCCAAAGTGCTGGGATTACAGGCTTGAGCCACCACGCCTGGCCAAGAAAGAAAATATTTTTGATTAGCCAGGCATGATGTTATATACCTGTAGTCCCAGCTACTCTGGAGACTGAGGCAGGAGGATCACCTGAGCCCGGGATTTTGAGGTTGTCATGAGCTATGATCACACCAATGCACTCTAGCCTGGGGAATAAAACAAGACTGTCTCAAAAAAAAAAAAAAGAAAGAAAGAAAGAAAGAAGGAAAGAAAGAAAGAAAGAAAGAGAAAGAAAAAGATATGTTTGGTTCAGCTGTACAATGTGTTTGTGGTTTAAGCTGTGTTATTACAAATTACTCAAAAAGCTTTTAAAAATTAAAAAGTCTTCTAAGTTAAAGTTATTGTAAGCTAAGTTTAATTTATTCTTTTAAAAGACTTAGGAAATTTAGTATAGCTTAAGTGTACAGTGTTTATAAAGTCTACAGTAGTGTATAGTGATGTTCTAGGCCTTCACCTTCACCCACCACTCACTCACTGACTCAAGAGCAACTTCCAGTCCTGCAAGCTCCATTTATGGTAAATGCCTATACAGGGGGTAGCATATTTTCTCCTTTATTTATTTATTTATTTATTTTTGAGACAGAGTTTTGCTCTTGTTGCCCAGGCCGGAGTGCAATGGCGCAATCTCGCTCACCGCAACCTCCGCCTCCCGGGTTCAAGCGATTCTCCTGCCTCAGCCTCCTGAATAGCTGGGATTACAGGCATGTGCCACCACACCCAGCTAATTTTGTATTTTTAGTAGAGACGGGGTTTCTCCATGTTGGTCAGGCTGGTCTTGAACTCCCAACCTCAGGTGATCCACCCACCTCAGCCTCCCAAAGTGCTGGGATTACAGTTGTGAGCCACCGAGCCCGGCTTCTCTTTTATACTGTATTTTTATTGAACCTTTTCTGTTTAGATACACAAGTACTGACCATTGTGTTTCAACAGCCTGCAGTATTCAGGACAGCCACGTGCTGGGCAGGTTTGTAGCCGAGGAGTAATAGGCTATATCGTATAGCCTGGGTGTATAGTCAGCTGTACCATCTAGGTTGTGTAAGTACACTCTGTGATGTTTGCCTAATGAGGCACTTCCCAGAACTTATCCCCATGGTTAAGCAATGCATGACTATAAATGAAACATGAATAAGATCAAGATGTAAATGGTGGCTGGGGGCAGTGGCTCACTCCTGTAATCCCAGCACTTTGGGAGGTGAGGCGGGTGGATCACTTGAGGGCAGGAGTTCGAGACCAGCCTGACCAACATGGCGAAACCTTGTCTCTACTAAAAATACAAAAATTAGCCAGGCATGGTGGCACACGCCTGTAATCCCAGCTACTTGGGAGGCTGAGGCAGGAGAATCACTTGAACCCGGGAGGTGGAAGTTGCCATGAGCTGAGATCACGCCACTGCACTCCAGACGGGGCAACAGAGCGAGACTCCATCTGTAAGAATTAAAGAGGAAAGAAACATGAAAAGCAGCTCAACAGTCAAAGACAGGTTTATTTTGGAAAATAAACTTGAGAGGGGCTTCTGGCCATTTTTGGTCAGGAGCGCTTTCTCTTATAGACTAAGAGTATTTATTGGTTTTAGGGTGAGGGAGCTTATCACAGGCTCAGAATGTTTCTGCATGAGGGAGAAGTTTATTTTGGGGTTGGAACGTCTCTAGTTGGACGGGAGGTTATCTTGAGGCTGACATCTCTCTGGCCTGTGGGGAGGTTATCTCGGGGATGGCATGTCTCTGGTCGGGGAGGTGTTTATCTTGTGGTTGGAATGTTTCTGGCCAGAGTTGTCATTTGTGGTTTATGGCCATGCTGACCTTAGCCATTAGGCTGATGCCCTTTGGATTTAGGTGGTTTTTGATCAAGGGGGACTTTAGAAGGACAGTGCTTGTCCAAGACGGCGATCCTCCTGCCCTGTCACCATCTCCCCCACCACAAAGAAAAAGATGTAAATTGAATCTGAACCTGTATTCGTTCCCTATTGCTGCTCTAAGAAACTATTGGTAAACACAGTAGCTTTGGGCAGGGCATGATGGCCCCGGCAGGCTGAGGCAGGAGGATGGTTTTAGCCCAGCGGGTGGAGGCTGGAGTGAGCTATGATCGTGCTGCCGCACTCTAGCCTGCACAACAGAGTGAGACCCTGTCTCAAAAAATGATAATAATACAAAATAAACATAGTCGTTTGAAAAAGCACCAATTTATTATTGAAAAAGCACAAATTTATTAATGCTGAAGATTGGAAGCCCAACACAGGTCTTACTGGACTAAAATAAAGAGGTCGACAGGACCGTGTTCTTTCTGGAAGCCCTAGGAGAGACTCCATTTCCTCACCTTTCTCAGCATCTAGAGGCTGCCCACATTCCTTGGTTCTTGGTCCCTTCCTTCATGTTCGAACACAGCAACAGTGGTTGAGTTCTTTCCAGATGGCACCACTCTGATATCCTCTTCTGCCTCCCTCTTCCACGTTTAAGGATTTATGTGATTACACTGTGTCCATCTGGATCATGTCCCACTTTTAAGATCAGCTAATTAGCAACTGAGGGTTTTTTTTGGCTGGGCATGGTGGCTCACGCCTGTAATCCCAGCACTTTGGGAGGCCAAGGCGGGTGGATCACCTGAGGTCTGGAGTTTGAGACCAGCCTGGCCAACATGGTGTAACCCCATCTCTACTAAAAATACAAAAAATTAGCCAGGCGTGGTGGTGGGCACCTGTAATCCCAGCTACTCGGGAGGCTGAGGCAGGAGAATTGCTTGAACTTGGGGGACAGAGGTTGCAGAGAGCTGAAATCGTGCCATTGCACTCCAGCCTGGGAAACAAGAGTGAAACTCCATCTCAAAAAGAAAAAAAAAACAACTGAGGGTTTTTTCTTCCTCTTGACATCAACCGTGTCTTTTCCAACACCACTTCTCCAACTCTCTGATGCCAGCTTGGTGTCCTACAATTCAATTCCTTTCTGACACTACCTGGAGTTATTGTGTGACTCCACAGTCACACAAGACTGTCCTTAGACACCAAAGAAAGGACTGGGTTCCCAGGTTAGCCTAACTTCTGCTGATTGACCTACAAAGGAAAGTTCCTACAAAGAGGTTTCAACTACCTCATTACCCCAAGGTTAAATAATTTGCTAGAATGACTCACAGAACTCAGGAAAAGCTGTGCTTACTCTTACCGTTTATTATAGAGTACAAATGAACAACCAGATGAAGAAGTACCCAGGACAAGGTAAGTCCCGAGTGCAGAAGCCACTGTCTCAGTCAAGATGGGGTGCACCACCCTCTGGGATGAGGATGTGTTTGCCAACTTGGAAGCTCCCTGAACCCCATCATTTAGGGGCTTCTATGGAGGCTTCAGTCCATAGGTTTGACTGTGGCCACTGGTGATCAGCTCAATCTCCAGCCACTCTCCCTTCCCTGGAGGTTGGGGGAGGGGGTGCAGGAAATGCTGATCTTCTAATCAAGCTTGGTCTTTCTGGCAGCCAGCTCCCACCCTGAAGCTAAGTACAAGAGTTGCCTCACTAAAACAAAAGAGGCTCTTAACACTCTATTGCTCAAAATTCCAAGGGTTTAGAGCTTTGTGCCAGAAACCAGGGACAACGACCAAATATCTTTCTTGTTATTCCACAGCAATATCAGTTCCATCTACAACCCTGATTCCCCTTTGCCATGAAAGGTAACACATTGGCAGGGCCTGGGGAGTTGGACATGACTATCTGAGGGGCACTATTCTGCCTGCCCCAGCATCTAACATTAAAGATAGCAGCTCAGGAAGCTTGGCAGGGTGGCATTATGGAGTGGGGATTGCAGGGCTGATTAAACGACCATAATCAGGCTGGGCGCCGTGGCTCACGCCTGTAATCCCAGCACTTTGGGAGGCCGAGGCAGGCGGATCACCTGAGGTTGGGAGTTCGAGACCAGCCTGACCAACATAGTGAAACTGCCGTTTCTACTAAAAATAAAAAATTAGCCGGGCGAGATGGTGGGCACCTGTAATCCCAGCTACTTGGGAGGCTGAAGCAGGAGAATCACGTGAACCCGGAAGGTGGAGGTTGCGGTGAGCTGAGATCGCACCATTGCACTCCAGCCTGGGCGACAAGAGCCAAACTCCATCTAAAAACAAAAAAACAAACAAAAGACCGTAACCAAAGTTACCTTCTCAGGGCAATGGAGACAAAATAGAAAGGGAGCTCTTGGAGGAAGATGCCGTTTAGGGCAGTGTGGGCTGTGGTCTGCCCTCTCCTGCTCCTCACTCACCACTGTTCGCTCTCGCACAGAAACAAGTCGGCCAGGAAACCGCGCAGCAGCCACAGATTTCTTTTTTCTTTTTTTGAGACGGAGTCTCACTATGTTGCCCAGGCTGGAGTGCAATGGCGCGATCTCGGCTCACTGCAAGCTCCGCCTCCCGGGTTCAAGCAATTCTCCTGCCTTAGCCTCCCGAGTAGCTGGGATTACAGACGCCCGCCACCACATCTGGCTAATTTTGTATTTTTAGTAGAGACGGGGTTTCTCCATGTTGGCCAGGCTGGTCTCAAACTCCCGACCTCAGGTGATCTGCCCACCTCGGCCTCCCAAAGTGCTGGGATTACAGGTGTGAACCACCGTGCCTGGCAGCCACGGATTTTAAAGATACTAAAACACACCCATGGAGCCAGAGGTGCCAATTCACCAATTAGAATCACTCTAAGGAGCAGCAAGGTAAAATCCCTGGAGAAGGTGTGTGCTGACTTGATCAGAGGGGCAAAGGAAAAGAATCTCAAAGTGAAAGGACCAGTTCAAATGCCTACCAAGAATCACTAAAAGAAAAACTCCCTGTGGTGAAAGTTTTTTTTTTATTTTGAGACAGAGTCTCGCCTGTTGCCCAGGCTGGAGTGCAGTGGCATGAGCTTGGCTCACTGCAAACTCCGACTCCTGGGTTCAAGCAATTCTCCTGTCTCAGCCTCCTGAGTAGCTGGGATTACAGACATGCGCCACCATGCCTGGCTAATTTTTTGTATTTTTAGTAGAGATGGAGTTTCACCATGTTGGTCAAGCTGGTCTCGAACTCCTAACCTTAGGTGATCCACACGCCTCAGCCTCCCAAAGTGCTGGGATTACAGGCGTGAGCCACTGCGCCCGGCCAGTAGTGAAAGTTCTAAGACACCGGATCATTTCCAGATGATAATCTGCAAGTGACTCATTGACTTGCACGGCCCTTCTGAGACCGTTAAGGAATTTACTTCCATGAATATTGGGAGGAATCTGTGAGGCATTCACAAAGCAGAAATAATAATGATATAGGCCAGGCATGGTGGCTCACACCTGTAATCCTAGCACTTTGGGAGGCTGAGGCAGGCGGATCACTTGAGGTCAGGAGTTTGAGACCAACCTGGCCAACATGGTGATACCCCATCTCTACTGAAAATACAAAAAAATTAGCCGGGCATGGTGGCACGTGATTATTCCCAGCTACTCGGGAAGCTGAGGCAGGAGAATTGCTTGAACCCGGGAGGCAGAGATTGCAGTGAGCCAAGATCACGCCACTGCACTCCAGCCTGGGCAACAGAGCAAGACTTTGTCAAGGAAGGAAGGGAGGGAGGGAGGGGAGAGAAAATGGAGCTGTGATTGTTCTGTTAGATCATGCTCTGTAATTAATAGATGCCATAATTCCAAGACCCAGTAAATGCATTATGAAAATAATCATGATCTGCATTAGTTTTACATAAACATGCAAGAGTCTAATTCTGTTTTTTTTTTAATTTGTTGTTGTTTTTGAGACAGGGTCTCACTCTGTCTTCCAGGCTGGAGTGCAGTGGTGTGATCACAGTCACTGTAGCCTCTATTTCCTAGGCTCAAGCAATCCTCCCACCTCAGCCTCCCAAGTAGCTGGGACTACAGGCGTGTGCCACCATGCCCTGATAAAGGAGTCTGATTCTAGATACCCACACTTCCCCTGCTACCAAACTGCCCTCTGGTTACGATGGGGAAATTCTGAAGCACCTCATTTCTACTCCTGTCCTCCTCCCCCTTCCCCCTCTCACCTTGTACCACTCCTGACACTGACAGCTATTTGGGATGTGGGAGAGGGGCACAGATGGAGACATCCTCCCCCAAGCTGCATTCAGTCCTGTGATTTAAATGACCAGCCTATCAGTGATTGGTGGATGGAATTTATAAGCCATGAGCATAAAGTCACTGCACGCTCAGGTGATTTGTAAACAGTCTCTGGGTGGAAAAAACACATTTGTTCCAAGTGCTTTTCCGATTCTCTTGCTCAAGAACAATCATCACAGAAGTCTTCTGTGAGCAAATGTGGGGAGGCGGATTCCCCACACACCAAGCAAGCAAGTAGTTCTGCATGGACACCCCCTGGGTGTCCTCCAATTCAACTCAGTTCTGACACTCTGTACCTGGAGACAGCATCAGATCCCACAGGTTGAGGCCTCGGTCCCCAGGACTGTCCCACTTCTGATGTCAATCAAAAGCCCCAGGCTGTAACCTGTGCTTCTGGCAGACCAGATATGAATTGGGGTTCCCACAACCCCCTCCGTGGGTTTAATTGATTTGTTAGGAGGGCTCACAAAACTCAAGGAAACACTTTCCTTATGTTCACTGGTTTATAGTAAAGGATATTGCAAAGGATACAGATGAAGAGCTGCATAGGGCAAGGCATGTGGGAAGGGACGTGGAGCTTCCATGCCCTCCCCAGGGCCACCACCCTTCAGGAACCACCACATGTTCAGCGATCTGGAAACTCTCAGAACCCAGTCCTCTTGAGCCTTTTATGGAGACATTATTGAATAGGTGTGATTGAGGACAACTGTGCAGAAATGCGATTGGACAAAAGGGGAATGATCTAATAGTAACAGACTGAGAAACCCAGCAAGGCTCAGCTGTTCAGGTCTTTCTTGCCCTCTCCGCGGAGCATTCCTTCCTCTAGGGTGTGGGACAGGACCCTGTCTGCAATGAGGGTCTTATGACCCACAATCAGAATCGAGTCCCGCCTTGGGCAGGAGAAATTCAGAGAGATTCTGTTTCCCGAGGCCTGCTTCTGAGGCCTAAAGACTCAACATTATAAGGCCAGGCATGGTGGCTCATGCCTGTAATCTCAGCATTTTGGGAAGCCGAGGCGGGCAGATCACTTGAGGTCAAGAGTTTGAGACTAGCCTGGCCAATATGGTGAAACCCCATCTCTACAAAAAATACAAAAATTAGCCAGGTATGGTGGCTCATGCCTGTAATCCCAGCTACTCCAAAGGCTGAGGCAGGAGAATCGCTTGAACCTGAGAGGCGGAGGTTGCAGTGAGCCAAGATGGCACCACTACACTCCAGCCCAGGTGACAGAGCAAGACTCTGTCTCAAAAACAAACAAACAAACAAACAAAAACTCAACATTATAACAAAAGACTGTAATAAAGGATATTATAAGGGAGAGTCAGGAATGGTGAATGAAAACCTATAAATATGTAGGTTTCTTCAATGTAGAAAAACTGCACAATGATAATGTCGTTTCACAATCGGTCAGTAAACGCTGAAATCCCTCTAAGTGTCAAATGTGCCTATGCATCTTTGTTACAGATACCCAGTCATTCATTCCAAATACAAAAATTTTGACAGCGTGAGGAAATATGGTTCAGAAGGAAAAAAAGTTTGATCATGTAACTATGATATGATTTACTATTTCCTCAAATCTAAGACATCATGAACTGTAAGATGAACCACTATTTAAGGCACATTAAGAAAGAAAAAAAAGGATGCACATCGCCTAGGGTCAGACTCACTGCAATGCATGTCTTAGATGAAATAACCCAGCTTTAAATAAAGAAGGGCGGCCAGGCGTGGTGGCTCATGCCTGTAATCCCAGCACTTTGGGAGGCCGAGGTGGGTGGATCACGAGGTCAGGAGTTAGAGACCAGCCTGGCTAACATAGTGAAACACTGTCTCTACTAAAAATATAAAAAATTAGCTGGGCGTGGTGGCGGGCACCTGTAATCCCAGCTACTTGGGAGGCTGAGGCAGGAGAATCGCTTGAACCTGGTAAGTGGAGTTTGCAGTGGGCTGAGATTGTGCCACTGCACTCCAGCCCGGGCAACAGTGCAGGACTCTGTCTCAAAAAAAAAAAAAAAAAAAAAAAGGGCTATTTTCTCCAGAGGAGAGTAAGGATCACAGATGCGTTGATATGTGAATTATTGGCACATGTATTAGCAAACCTCTGTTATCTCACAGCTTCTGAGTGTTTGGAATTCAGAAGTGGCTTAGCTGGGGCACCTGGTGCAGGTCTTTCCTGAGGTCGCAGCTAAGCTGTCAGCCAGGCTGCAGCCACCTGGGCCTGGAGGCCCTGCCGCCACGCTCATCCACATGGTTGTCGGGAGGCCACGCCGCCGTGCTCAGCCTCATGGTTGTCTGGAGGCCCTGCCGCCGTGCTCATCCGCATGGTTGTTGGGATGTCGCAGTTCCCCCCAGCTGCTGGCTGGGTACCTTGCTGCTCCGGAACGGACTTCTTGCCAAGTGGGCCTCTCCATTGGCAGCATGAACGTCTCCCCAAGCTGGCAGAAGCCACAGGCTTTTATAGCCCCATCTCAGAAGTGACACACATTACTTCTACAATATTCTACTGGCCACACAGACCAACTCTGATAAAGTATGGGAGGGAGCTACACAGGGCATGAATATCAGGAGGCTGGGATCATCGGTTATGCTATGGAGAGGCTGGTTACTGCAATACATATTACAAGAGGGGAAGGGAACCTGAAGCTAATTTGTTTTTTGTTTGTTTGTTTGTTTGTTTTGAGACAGTGTCTTCCTCTGGCACTTGGGCTGGAAGGCAGTGGCACGATCATAGCTCACTGCAGCCTCAACCTCCTGGGCTCAAGTGATCCTCCTACCTCTGCCTCTCAAAGCACTGTGATTACAGAAATGCGTCACCACATTTAGCTAATTTTTTAGAATTTTTTGTAGACACAGAGTCTCACTATGTTGCCCAGGCTGGTCTTGAACTCCTGGGTTCAAGCCTTCCTCCTGAACTGGCCTCCCAAAGTGCTGGAGTTACAGGCATGAGCCACTGTGCCCAGCCTGCTTCCAGTTTAGGTTAACATTTATTGAGCACTTACTAAAGCTTAGAAGGGTTAAGTAAACTATCCAAGGTCACAACAGCTAGTAAGGGTGAGAACTGGTACTTGTGACTTTTGACTAATACACTACCCAGCCTTTGTGTCAATGTATATTATTATAACATGTCAACCACTGAAATTTTCTTTTCTTTTTTTTTTTTTTTTTTGAGACAGAGTCTCACTCTGTTGCCCAGGCTGGAGGGCAGTGGTGCGATCTCGGCTCACTGCAACCTCCGCCTCCCGGGTTCAAGTGATTCTCCTGCCTCAGCCTTCTGAGTAGCTAGAAATACAGATATGTGCCACCATGCCTGGCTACTTTTTTTGTATTTTTAGTAGAGACAGGGTTTCGCCATGTTGGCCAGGCTGGTCTTGAACTCCTGACCTCAGGTGATCCACCCGGCTTGCCCTCCCACAGTGTTGCAATTACAGGCATAAGCCACCACGCCTGGCCAACCACTCAAATTTCAGAAGAAAAATTTGAAAACCTCCAAGATTCTTTATATTTCTCTACAATTGTGTGTGTGTGTGTGTGTGTGTGTGTGTGTGTGTGTGTGTGACAGGGTCTCACTCCATCACTCAGGCTGGAGTGCAGTGGCATGATCTCAGCTCACTGTAGCCTCAACCTCTCAGGCTCAAGCAATCCCCCCCCACCTCAGCATCCTGAGTAGCCGGGACTACAGGTGCACACCATCATGCCTGGCTAATTTTTTTGTGTCCCCTGTAGACACAGGGTTTCACCATGTTGCCCCAGCTGGTCTCAAACTCCTGGGTTCAAGCCATCCACCCACCTCAGCCTCCCAAAGTGCTGGTGAGAGCCACCGCACCCAGCCTGTTTCTTTCTTTCTATCTTTTTTGAGACGGAGTCTCGCTCTGTCGCCCAGGCTGGAGTGCAGTGGTGCGATCTCGGCTCACTGCAAGCTCCGCCTCCCGGATTCACGCCATTCTCCTGCCTCAGCCTCCTGAGTAGCTGGGACTACAGGCGCCCGCCACCAAGCCTGGCTAATTTTTTGTATTTTTAGTAGAGACGGGGTTTCACCGTGTTAGCCAGGATGGTCTTGATCTCCTGATCTCGTGATCCGCCTGCCTCTGTCTCCCAAAGTGCGGGGATTACAGGCGTGAGCCACCACTCCCGGCCAGCCTGTTTCTTTACTATTGCCATCACCACTAATTCAGAGAAAGTACTCTCTTGTGTTTTAATGCCTTTAAAGTTTTAGTTTATTTAATTTGTTGTAGTAATTATGTATAATTATAAAAATATCTAGTGTAATGGACTGACTGTACCTTAGCAAAATAAATGCAAAAAATATGAGCATAGCTGGCTGCCAAAACACTTGCTCAAACAATAGTAGGTATCATTTTGAAAAATAGACAGAAGGGGCCGGGCGCGGTGGCTCATGCCTGCAATCCCAGCACTTTGGGAGGCCGAGGCGGGTGGATCTCCTAAGGTCAGGAGTTCGAAACCAGCCTGGCCAACATGGTGAAACCCTGTCTGTACTAAAAATACCAAAAATTAGCCGGGCGTGGTGGCAGTGCCTGTAATCTCGGCTACTCAGGAGGCTGAGGCAGGAGAATTGCTTGAACCTGGGAGGCAGAAGTTGCAGTGAGCTGAGATTGGGCCACTGCACTCCAGCCTGGGCAACAAGACCAAAACTCTGTCTAGGAAGGAGGGAAGGAGGGAAGGAGGGAGGGATGGAGGGAGAGAGGGAGGAAGGAAGGAAGGAAGGAAGGAAGGAAGGAAGGAAGGAAAGGAAGGAAGGAAGAGAGACCAGCAGTGGCTCATGCCTGTAATCCCAGCAGTTTGGGAGGCTGAGGCAGGCGAATCACAAGGTCAGGAGATTGAGACCATCCTGGCTAACACGGTGAAACCCCATCTCTACTAAAAATACAAAAAATTAGCCGGGTGTGGTGGCAGGTGCCTGTAGCCCCAGCTACTCAGGAGGCTGAGGCAGGAGAATCGCTTGAACCTGAGAGGCAGAGGTTGCAGTGAGCTGAGATGGCGCCACTGCACTCCACCTGGGTGACAGAGCAAGACTACGTCTCAAATAAATAAATAAATAAATAAATAAATAAATAAAAATTAAATAAAATAAAAAAGGAAAAGAAAAATAGAAGAATAAAGTAAGGACCTTCAAGAAAAACTGGAACAATTTCCTCTGAAGAGCGAATAGTCTCAGTTGATAGTATTTAAAATTATTTTTATAACTTTACAAAATAAATATAAGACAAAAAGATTGCTTTTGATTTTAGCACAGAGATGCTCCAATATTATCTCTAAAAACTGTCAAGAGTAGAGGTGTAATCACATTCCGTCTATGTAGCAACAACTGAAAGTGCTAAAACTTCCCAACTCCGTGAGCAGGAAGTAAGCACAGAGAGTCCTGACTCCTCTGTGATCCAAGTGCTGATCACTTCCCAGACATCATTTGAACTCACTCTACAAAGAAGCAGGTCTGTAGTTTATGAAAGTAGTTCACTAGGCTGGGCGCAGTGGCTCATGCCGGTAATCACAGCACTTTGGGAGGCCGAGGTGGGCAGATTACGAGGTCAAGAGATTGAGACCATCCTGGCCAACATGGTGAAACCTGGTCTCTACCAAAAATACAAAAATTAGCCAGGTGTGGTGGTGGGCGCTTGTAATCCCAGCTACTAGGGAGGCTGAGGCAGGAGAATGGCTTGACCCCAGGAAGCGGAGGTTGCAGTGAGCCGAGATCGCGCCACTGCACTCCAGCCTGGGCGACAGAGCAAGACTCCGTCTCAAAAAAAAAAAAAAAAAAAAAAAACAGAAAAAAAAGAAAAGAAATTAGTTCGCTAGTTTCCAGTTCATGTTACACAAAGCAATTTTCTTAAATTCCTGAACTGGAGCCATAACTGTGGAAACACTGCAGTCACATCCCAAGGAAAATCAAAGATGTAAAGTTACTAACTGTTGGAACAAACTGGCTCCAGCTGTAACCAAGCAAAGAAAGTAATGTGCCCTGAATCAACTTACTGTCAAATCCTCTCCTGAATTATTAGCAGGGCATGGTGGTGTGCACCTGTAGTCCCACCTACTCGGGAGGCTGAGGCAGAAGAACTGCTTGAACCCAAGAGGTGGAGGTTGCAGTGAGCCGAGATTGTGCCACTGCACTCCAGTCTGAGAGAGCGAGACTCCATCTCAAAAAAAAAAAAAAAAAAAAAAAATTCCTCCCCTGAGCAGGCAGAGCTGGCGAAGTTCAGCCATGGGCAGAGCAGGCTTGGGCCCAGGGATTGAAAGCCAGGGATTACCAGGCCAAGAAGTCGAACAGTCCAGACTACCACACAGTGAGGGCGCTTCCCAGGGGAGGGGTGGAGGGGCCTAGAGTGCAGGTGTGGGACCATGGCTGGGGAGGAGCAGGAATGCCGGTGCCAATGCAGGGCTCAGCAGAAAGCAACCAGATGGTTGTCAAGAAAATAATTGATCCTGAAGACAAATCCTAGACCAAGTGTGCACACTCTAAGCCCAGGTCCTGATTCTACCCTTTCCAGCTCTCCAGAGAGCAGAGGCCCCAACAGTCTGGCCAGTTCTGAGCCCGGCACCCAAGCACCCTAAGACCTCTGAGCTATCTGGCCAACCTCCCTCCCCCAGGGCATGTCACTGTCTTCTGCCACAATTTTGGAGCTTGCAAAGCTTGCTAACAGAATATACACAGAGGTATTTCACTCATGGGTCTTGTTCTAGATGCCTGGGAGATCATAGTGTAACCTGGAGACAAGATTCCCAGTAGATGTTTTTTGATAATTAGAAAACAGAGAAAGTCAGGCTCAGTGGCAGATGTCTGTAGTCCCAGCTGCTCAGGAGGCTGAAGTAGGAGGATCATTGGAGGCCAGGAGTTCAAGGCTGCAGTGAGCTATGATTGCACCTGTGACTAGCCACTACACTCAAGCCTGGGCAACAGAGCACATTCCCATCCCTAAAAAAAAAAGAAAAAAAAGAAAAAAAAAAGAAAAGGGAGAGGAAGAGGAGAAGAAGAAGGAGGGGGAAAGAGGAGAAGAAGAGGAGGGAGAATGGAAAGAGCAAAACAAAGAAAGAAGAAGAAGAAACAAAAGGGGAAGAAGGAAAGAAGTCAGTGACATCAGTTTGAGGGAAAAGCGCACACACGCACACGCACACACACACACGCACACCACTGTGATTGCCCTAAAGAAATTAGCTACTTTTTGGCCAGGCGAGGTGGCTCACACCTGTAATCCCAGCACTTTGGGAGGCCGAGGCGGGTGGATCACCTGAGGTCTGGAGTTCGAGAACAGCCTGGCCAACATGGTGAAACCTCATCTCTACTAAAAAT
Organism: Homo sapiens; assembly: GCF_000001405.40. NCBI lineage: Eukaryota > Metazoa > Chordata > Mammalia > Primates > Hominidae > Homo > Homo sapiens. The sequence goes on from NC_000018.10 coordinate 11,937,607, forward strand.
ACAAAAAATTAGCTGGGCGTGGTGGCGGGCACCTGTAATCCCAGCTACTTGGGAGGCTGAGGCAGGAGAATCGCTTGAACCCTGGGGGCAGAGGTTGCAGTGAGCCAAGATGGCACCAGTGCACTCCAGCCTGAGCAACAAGAGTGAAACTCCGTCTCAAAAAAAAAAAAAAAGAAAGAAAGAAATTAGCTATTTTTCAACTCTATTATTTAAACCCTCCTTAGGGCATCCTTTGGAGTGACAGCAGACAGTGACTGGGATAACTCTGCATATTTTGGCTTAAAATTATTTTTATCTACTGAAAGGAAAACTAAATTATACTCTGAAACATAATCTAATGACGGAGGGTCTCAGAGCAAATAGCTGTTAGTCGGAGATATTGAAAGTGATCAGGTTGTGAACTCACTTGAATCGAGCCTATTACCTCATGAAATTATAAAATGATTAGCAATGTCCCCAGCAGATGGCGCAAGTGGCCCCTCTGCTGTGATGGGAAGCCAATCTGTTTCCTCTTCATATGACAATTGAACAGTAGATCCTAACCAGGTAAGGTGTTTAGTTAGGAAAGAAATCATTCATGGGATTCCAAGAGAGGCTAACTAGGAAAGACAAAATCTGGAGGCTTTTTAATTTACTTCTCATGTTAAACAGTCTAGGAGCATGTATTGACCTCACCAGTAATATGGTTCCATTCACAATATTTTTAGCTCTGAAAAAGAAAATTCTCTCATGACAGAGTTTTAGATTAAGTCCCAAAGGATGACAAAGTACCAACAATTAGAATATCTGAAATGTTTTGATGAGCTGGTGGAATTAGTGAAGGGCTCATAATGAGAAGCTCAGAGCTGTCTCCTAACAAATTACAGGTAAACGGTTTCTGAAGGAAACTGCAGGGAAGGGGATAATGATTAAAGATTATTGGAGTCAGCCAATGTTTCTGCTGCTTTGCTAGTTACTTGCAAACAAATATGATGTTCTTGCTCACATTTTGAAGCTCTCGGCTACGCATTTTTTACGAACAAGCAAACATTTGCATTTCTAGGCCAGAGGCAGCCCACGCTGGGAAGGCAGGGGACGGAATGTGTTATCCATCGAATAGTCTTCGAAAGTGCAAAAGAACTTTATTAATTAAAGCATGTTAAATATCTGCCTTTATAACTTCCAAAGAAACAAGAATTGAGAATGTTCAGGTCAATGAATAATTTTGTGCAATAGCTGTCCTGCCAATACCTACTGCCTTCCATCCCAAACACCCATCAATGTTTTAACCCTCTGTAGTCTGCTTCTTATATCCAACTGCCACTAAAACTTTATTTTATTTATTTATTTATTTATTTATTTATTTATTTATTTATTTTTGAGACAGAGTCTCACTCTGTTGCCCAGGCTGGAGTGCAATGGCGCGATCTCAGCTCACTGCAACCTCCGCCTCCCGGGTTCATGTGATTCTCCTGCCTCAGCCTCCTGAGTAGCTGGGATTACAGGCGTGCGCCACCAGGCCCAGCTAATTTTTGTATTTTTAGTAGAGACGGGGTTTCACCATGTTGGTCAGGCTGGTCTTGAACTCCTGACCTCGTGATCCGCCCGCCTCGGCCTCCCAAAGTGCTGGGATTACAGGAGTGAGCCACCGCACCCAGCCCCTATTTTTTTTTTTTTTTGACTGTCTCTGTTACCAGGCTGGAGTGCAATGGCATGATCTCGGCTCACGGCAACCTCTGCCTCCGGGGTTCAACTGATTCTCCTGCTTCAGCCTCCCAAGTAGCTGGGACTACAGGTGCATGCCACCATGCCCAGCTAATTTTTGTATTTTTAGTAGAGACAGGGTTTCACCATGTTGGCCAGGATGGTCTTCATCTCTTGACCTCGTGATCTGCCCACCTCGGCCTCCCAAAGTGCTGGGATTACAGACATGAGCCACCACCCTGGCAAAACTTTACTTTTTTTTTTTTTTTTGAGACTGAGTCTCCCTCTGTCACCCAGGCCAGAGTGCAGTAGCACGATGTTGGCTCACTGCAACCTCTGCCTCCCAGGTTCAAATGATTCCTGTGCCTCAGTCTGAGTAGCTGGAATTACAGGCGTGTGCCACTATGCCTGGCTAATTTTTGTATTTTTAGTAGACATGGGGTTTCACCATGTTGGCCAGTCTGGTCTCCAACTCCTGGCCTCAAGTGTTCCACCTGCCTAGGCCTCCCAGAGTGCTGGGATTACAAGTGTGAGCCACTGCACCTAGCAAAACTTTACTTTTTAAATATATTTAAAAATATAAATTAATATATGTTAATTGCAAGGAATTTGAAAACACTGAAAAGTATAAAGAGAAAAATTTGTAGCTACCTGAGGTGTTCTTCGCTGCATAAAGAAAGACCACAGGCTGGGTGCAGTGGCTCACGCCTGTAATCCCAGCACTTTGGGAGGCTGAGGCTGAGGCAGGTGGATCATGAGGTCAGGAGTTCGAGACCAGGTGGCCAACATGGTGAAACCCCATCTCTGCTAAAAATACAAAAGTTAGCTGGGTGGTGGCGCATGCCTGTAATCCCAACTACTCGGGAGGCTGAGGCATGGGAATTGCTTGAACTCAAGAGGTGGAGGTTGCAGTGAGCCCAGTTTGCACCACTGCACTCCAGCCTAGGTGACAGACCAAGACTCTGTCTCAGAAAAAGAAAGAAAGAAAGAAAGAAAGAAAGAAAGAAAGAAAGAAAGAAAGAAAGAAAGAAAGAAAGAAAGAAAGGACCACAGCATTGTAGTAGAGTTTAATAGACACAAGGCTGGCCATAACACTGGGAGATGGAATTGGTACTCAAATCATCTCATTCAAAGCTCGTAGATTAGGGGTTTTTTTCTTTTTCTTTCTTTTTTTTTTTTTTGAGACAAAGTCTTACTCTGTCACCCACTGGGCTCACTGCAACCTCCACCTCCTGGGTTCAAGCGATTCTCCTGCCTCAGCCTCCTGAGTAGCTGGGATTAGAGGCACGTGCCACCACATCCAGCTAATTTTTGTAGCTTTTTTGTAGTTTTTAGTAGCTAATTTTTGTAGTTTTTAGTAGATACGGGGTTTCACCATGTTGGTCAGGCTGGTCTCGAACTCCTGACCTCGCGATCTGCCCGCCTCAATCTCCCAAAGTGCTGGGATTGCAGGCATGAGCCACCACGCCCCATCAGATTAGGGGTTTTTCAAAGGCAGTTTGGGGGAAGCAGTGTTGGGGAGGGGGGGTGCTAGGTAACAGGTGCTTGCTGCTGATTGGTTGGGGGCAGAGATGAAATCATAGTGGGTTGAAGCGGTCCTCCTGTGGGCTGGTCGACTCTAGGTGCAGCCACAGGAGCAAGGGTTGTCATCCAGGTGGAGCCATGGGTGTCAGACATGCAAAAAACCTGGAAAGATATCTCAAAAGGCCAATCTTCAAGAATGGTGTTATTTGGAGGAGTAACTGGGGATGTATCATATTTTATAACATTCTGAATAACTTAGCAGGACCCAGCCTCCTCTCCTCTCTCAGCGTGATGGCCTCCAATTAGCTTTACAAAAGCAGCTGAGTTTTGGGCAAGGCCTGTTATTATTTAAACTGCAGCTGAAAGGTCTTCCAAAGTTAGCTTAGTCCAATAATCTGGGAATAATTAAGGGAAAGGCAAGATGGAGGTTAGGCTAGCTTAGTTTACCGTTATAATTTTCTCATGGATATAACTTTTGCAAAGGCAGTTTCAAGATTACCCATGAATGAGTAGATATGGGCAACACATACTTCATTATTATTATTATTATTATTATTATATATTTTTTGGAGACAGGGTCTCACTCTGTTGCCCAGGCTGGAGTGTAGTAGTGTGACCATGGCTCACTTCATCCTTGACCTACCAGGCTCAAGCAATCCTCCCCAGTCAGCCTCCCCAGGAGCTGGGACTACAGGCACATGCCATTACACCCAGCTAAATATACATTTAAAAAAATTTTTTTGTTGGGACAGGGTCTCACCATCTTGCCCAGACTGGTCTTGAACCCCTGGGCTCAAGCAATCCTCCTGCCTTGGCCTTCCGAAGTGCTGGGATTACAGTCATGTAACCCCACTGTCAGAGGTGTGTGGACCAAAGCAACTCCATCTTGAATAGGAGCTGGGTAAAATGAGGCTGAGACCTACTGGGCTGCATTCTCAGACGGTTAAGGCATCCTAAATCACAGGATGAGATAGGGGGTCAGCATAAGATACAGGTCATAAAGACCTTGCTGATAAAACAGGTTGCAGTAAAGAAGCCAGCCCAAACCCACCAAAACCAAGATGGCCACAAGAGTGACCTCTGATTGTCCTCACTGCTACCTTCCCACCAGCGCCATGACAGTTTACAGATGCCATGGCAACATCAGGAAATTACCCTGTAGGGTCTAAAAAGGGGAGGCATGAATAATCCACCCCTTGTTTAGCATTTCATCAAGGAATAACCATAAAAATGGGCAACCACCAGCCCTCGGGGCTGCTCTGCCTACGGAGTTGCCATTATTTTATTCCTTTACTTTCTTTCTTTTTTTTTTTTTTTTTTTTTGAGACGGAGTCTCGCTTTTTCGCCCAGGCTGGAGTGCAGTGGCGCAATCTCGGCTCACTGCAAGCTCCGCCTCCCGGGTTCAGGCCATTCTCCTGCCTCAGGCTCCCGAGTAGCTGGGACTACAGGCGCCCACCACCACTCCCGGCTAATTTTTTGTATTTTTAGTAGAGACGGGGTTTCACCGTGTTAGCCAGGATGGTCTTGATCTCCTGACCTCGTGATCCGCCCGCCTCAGCCTCCCAAAGTGCTAGGATTACAGGCATGAGCCACCACGCCCAGCCAATTCCTTTACTTTCTAATAAACTTGCTTTTGCTTTCCACTGTGGACTCGCCCTCAATTCTTTCTTTCACAAGAAACAAGAACCCTCTCTTGGCGTCTGGATCGAGTTCCCTTTCCTGTAACACCACCATGCTTAGCCTGGGCAACACATACTTCTGACAAAGAGCTTGTGCCCAGAATATAGAAAGAACTCATACACATCAATTTTCTTAAAAGACTAAACAGAAAAATTGGTGAGAGATTTGAACAGACACTTAACCAAAGAGAATATATGCATGGACAATCTCTATTTCATTAGTAACCAATATTTTTTTTTTTTTTTTTGAGACGGAGTTTTGCTGTTGTTGCCCAGGCTCGAGTGCAATGGCGTGGTTGGGCTCGCTGCAACCTCCACCTCCTGGGTTCAAGCGATGCTTCTGCCTCAGCCTCCTAAATAGCTAGGATTACAGGTACCCACCACCACACCCTGCTAAATTTTTTTATGACTCATGCATGAGTCACTGCACCTGGCCATTAGTAACCAATTATAAACTAAAACCAAGGCTGGGCATGGTGGCTCATGCTTGTACTCCTAGCACTTTGGGAGGGCGAGGCAGGCGGATCACTTGAGGTCAGGAGTTCGAGACCAGCCTGGCGAACATGGTGAAACCCTGTCTCTACTAAAAATACAAAAACTAGCCAGGCATGGTATGCGGCTGTAATCCCAGCTACTCGGGAGGCTGAGGCATGAGAATCGCTTAAACCCGGGAAGTGGAGGTTGCAATGAGCTGAGATGGCACCATTGCACTTCAGCATGGGGGACAAGAATGAAACTCCGTCTCAAATTAAAAAAATAAACTAAGACCATAATGAGAGCCGGGCATGGTGGCTCATGCCTGTGATCCCAGCACTTTGGGAGGCCAAGGCGGGTGGACTGCTTGAGCTCAGCAGTTCAAGACCAGCCTGGGCAACATAGCGAAACCCTGACTCTACAAAAAAATAAATTAATTAATTAAATAAAACCATAATGAGTGTGATGGCTTTAAAATATGCCCACAGATTCTTTGATACTTCTCCCACCAAGAGATGTAGCCCAATTCCCCTCCCCTTGAGAGTGGCTAACCTTAGACGCTCTTCTAACAGTTAGAATAAAGCAAACAGACACTGTCAGCCTTCAGTGATCTGGTTGAACAGACCTATGGAGAGGCCATGTGGCAAGGAACAGGGGCCCCCTGGCAAGTGCTGCATGAGGGAGCCCCTCAGCCCTGGACAAGTCTTCAGCCCCAGACAACATGCTGAAAAGGGAGAGTTCCCGGACACCCTCACAGGATGTGTGACAGGGGCGTGGCTCATCTGTTCGGCCACTGTGTGCACTCAAACCCCTTATGGGGTGGGGAGCACGCAGATGAGCAAGTACAGGAGATGGGGCAAGTGGCCCTGGGCTCCAGCCCCACGGCAGTGTCCAGGGGTGGGTGTCTGAGATTCCCAAAGCACACATGTGTTACAGTGTGCTCTTTCAGCTTTGCTGTCCGCAGTCAACTTAACTGTTAACCAGCTCAGTGCCCTCTTAGTACCCAGATCCTTGTCTGGTGTCCAGAAAGAATTAGGTGGCACACAGACTTGAAGGATAAATGTGGGGGTTTTATCTCTCAGTGGGATGGATGGGGAGCTGGAAGGGAGATGGAGTGGGAAGATGATCTTCCCCTGGAGTTTGGCCATCTAGTGGCCCACCTCCTCTCTGACTGTCCCCAACCGAACTCCTCTTGGCGTTCAGATGCTACTTCTCTTCTCTTTGCTGTGCTGTTCTGCCATTCTTCTTCACTTCTGTTTATCTCCTTGTAAAGCCCTGGGTTTGGGGTTTATATAGATATAGGATGGGCAGCATGGTGGGCCAAAAGACAACTTGTGGGCATGAAAACAGGAGTGCCCGTTCTCATTTAGGGCTGCGGGTTTCCAGGCTCAAGGGTGGGGCTTTTGCCAGGAAACTGCTCTCTTCTACCCAGTATTTCCATCTGCTGTCCATATCAATGCTGACGGCAACCTCATGAAAGACTCTGAGCAGAACCACCCTGCTAAGTCACTCCCAAAGAGACTGAGGTAACAAGTTTTTAAGCCAAAAAATGTTGGGATAATTTATTATGCAGAAATAGATAACTTATAAAATGAGACACACCCACACGTGCACCAGAATAGCTAAAATTTATAGTCTGACATGTCAGGAACTGGTTAGGCTGTGGAGAATGGGCACTCTCATTACACTGCTGGTGAATGTGTAATTGGTATAGCCATTCTGGAAAGCCATGTGGCATGATCTGCTAAAGGACGGTACACATACCCTATGCTACAAGAATTCCATTTTAGGATACACCTACAGAAATACATACAATATGCATTGTATACAAAGCTCATGTGCAAGAATACTCACAGCAGCGTTGTATATAATAGCCCAAACCTGAAACTAACCTGTCTACCAAGAGTAGGTGAATAAATGGTGGTGTGTTCACACAGTACAGTGCTACACAGCTGTGAACATTCATGAACTATAGCTACCCGTGACAGAGACAGGAAGCAGCCAAATGCCTAGGTAGATAGGGGCAAGTCCCTGGTGAAACCTCACCTCCAAGCCGAAGGCAGTTTAAAGCCCGAAAGCCAAGCTGCAAGTTAAATGCTCAGGCCAGAAGGACAGCCTGCCTTCCCATTTGGCGCACTTTCCTCTGATTGATCTCCATCCTTCACCTATTTTACATATACCTACCCTTTCCTAATTGGCTTTCTACACTGTCATGCCCACCTTTGAGTGGTGTCTTTGCTTTGACCCATTTTGCATACTCACAAACCAATTATCACACACTCCTTATTCTGAGCCCACAAAAAGCCCCGGGCTTAGCCATATTGAGAACTTTCCTGCCTTGAGGTAGGGGGACCACCCCCATGTCCCTTCCCCGCTAAAAGCTGTTTAATCACTCAATAAAACTTTCCACCTTACTCTTTCAGTGTCCACATGCGTACTTCTTTCTGGTCATGAGACAAGAACCCAGACCTATCTGAGCTAAGGGGCAAAAAATCCTGCATCACCTGTAACAATTTGATTGAGTCTCACCAACAAAATGATGATGATGTTAGCCAAACACAAAAGAATTAATACTAAGTGATTCTCTTATCAGGGTCCAATAAAGAGAGAGAAGCTACACCAGTTATTCCAAAAGAGTGAGTAATATAAAGAATTACTGGGCCGGGCGTGGTGGCTCACACCTGTAATCCCAACACTTTGAGAGGCAGAGGCGGGCAGATCACGAGGTCAGGAGATTGACACCATCCTGGCTAACACGGTGAAACCCTGACTCTACTAAAAATACAAAAATTAGCTGGGCGTGGTGGCAGGCGCCTGCTGCTCGGGAGGCTGAGGCAGGAGAATGGTGTGAACCCGGGAGGTGGAGCTTGCAGTGAGCAGAGATCGCACCACTGCACTCCAGCCTGGGCAATAGAGCGAGACTCCGTCTAAAAAAAAAAAAAAAATTATTATTGACGGGCACAGTGGCTCATGCCTGTAATCCCAACACCTTGGGAGGCTGAGGAGGAAGGATTGCTTGAGCCCAGGAGTTTGAGACCAGCCTGGGCAACATAGAGAGACCCCATCTGTACCGTGTGTGTGTGTGTGTGTGTGTGTGTGTGTGCACGCGCACGCGTGCGTAGCATTCAGCTATCAACCAGGAGGTTTCATTTAGTGTAACCCAGCAAGTACTCACAGAATTTTTTTTTTTTGAGACACAGTCTCACTCTGTCACCAAGACTGGAATGCAGTGGCGCAATCATGGCTCAATGGAACCTCAACCTCCTGGGCTCAAGCAATGCTCCCACTTCAGCCTTCTGAGTAGCTGGGACCACAGGCATGTGCCACCACGCCCGGCTAAATTTTGTATTTTTTGTAGAGAAGGGGTTTCGCCATGTTGCCTAGGCTGGTCTTGAATTCCTGGACTCAAGCCATCCGCCCACCTCGGCCTCCCAAAGTGTTAGAGGCGGAGGTTGCAGTGAACCAAGATTGCACCACTGCACTCCAGCCTGGGCTACAGAGCGAGACTCAGTCACAAAAAAAAAAAAAAAAAAAATGTTAGGATTACAGGCGTGAGCCACCTCACCCATACAGAAATGTGATCCACACTGTAAGACGCGCCTCTTCTTGAAATACTTACCCGATTCTTTGTTCTCTCACTGATCTCTGATCTCTCCACCTTCCCAAGTCTTGGAAAACTTGTCTTCTGATTTCAGAGTTAACCCTTAATTACGTAGAATCTTCCATTGTCATGTATTACATTACACGTGCTGGTTTTATCTTCCCAACTAGAAGATAAACCATAGAATCAGAAAAACAATTTTATCATTTTATTTCCAAAATTACATAGCCCAGGATTGAACTGTCCATAAACATCTATCGGATGGTCAGCTTCAAAACTAACTGCAATGCTGATGAGTTAAAATAGCTCCTTTTGTTGGCACCAGATAATAGATAAACATGAGAAGCCAGTGCAGTGGCTCATGCTTGTAACCTCAGCACTTCGGGAGGTCTAGGAGGGAGGATGGCTTGAGCCCAGGAGCCCATAGTGAGCTATGATTGAGCCACTGCACTCTAGTGTGAGCAACAGAGCAAGACCTCGTCTCTATACAAAATAAAATTATACATTTTTTTTACATAAGAAAACTTGAGAGAGATCATACTTTTGGGTTTCTTTATTAAAAGAAAGAAGACCAAAAGGTGACCCAAGTAAAAGTGTACACCCCTTAAGGGAAAAAAAAATTATTTTCATTTAAAATCGTTTTCTTTATCTTTAAAGTGAAAGTGCCATATCTGGCTTCCTAAGGAGGAACCACAAACCGCGTAGACTCAGGCCAGCCGCTGGGCCTGGGCCTGTGTGTCCCTCAGGCGGCGACCTTTGGCCCACTTCAGGCCGGCCGTATTTACCAGCTTAGAGGCGCCGCGGCGTTGGCGAGTCCTTTTTCACCCACCCCTTCCCTCCGTTCTCAGGCTTGAACTTGAACAGGCACTCATGACTCAGCAAACGGTACTTGATAGGGTTCTTTACACGTCAGTCAGGCTATTTTTTAAAATCACTCTTCCTGGAGATCTTCAAACCAGAAGCACCGCGGGCCCTCCCCAACGGGCTTCTGCTTACCTCCACTACGTGATGCAGTATGGCCCCCGGGAGGCCGCCCCCAGATTCTAGAGGGGCTTACCCCAGACACACCCGAAGGACCACCTCGTGACCTCAGAGGAACAGCCCTAGACCCAGGAGAGACTGCCAGACACCCCCGTGGCAGCCCGCCAGGGCCCAGCTCTACTTGTCGCCTGGAGGTGCTGCCTCCCTTCCACGCCGCCCCAGGGAATGGCCGCCCCTCTGGGGCTCCTCCCAATCCCCCTTCCCAGGACTGACAATGGCCCGGCGCCCTGCTTTGGGCCAGGATCGGCCTCGAGCCTTCCTCACTAGCGGCCAAGAGCCGGAAACCTTGCGTCTCAGATTCCCCGGGTCTGTGCACCCCCACCCCAACCGGTCTTCCCACCCAGGCCCCCCCTGATGCCAGCTGCGGGCCTGGACCTAGCCCGGGGCCCTGCCCCTCCGCCCCTCTCGCTGGACAGCCCAGGCCGGCGCCCGAGGGATAGGCTCGGGAGCGCGGGGAAGACGCTGCAGCCGGAGCTGGAGCCAGGGCCCACCTGTCCAGCGCCGTCCTGAGCTCACACAAAGACCCTTCCAGCCTCACCGAGGCCGCGAGCCCAAGCCAAGATCTTACAGATGTCAGGAAGTCTGGTTTAAAACCCATTGGTTAAGAAACTAATGACAATTTTTTTTTCTTAATAGGAAATCTGGGTGACTAGAAAATAGAGGGAAGGGAGACATTTTCATAACACCCTGTCACCTTTGCATTTCATGCACATGCAGAGTTGCATTCATATTATTAAAATATCTTTTTAGCTGGGCGCGGTGGCTCACATCTATAATCCCAGCATTTTGGGATGCCGAGGCAGGTGGATCACTTGAGGTCAGGAGTTCGAGACCAGCCTGAGCAATGTGGCGAAACCCTGTCTCTACTAAAAATACAAAAATTAGCCCAGGCATAGTGGCGGACGCCTATAATCCCAGCTACTCCGGAGGCTGAGGCAGGAGAATCATTTGAACCCGGGAGGTGGAGGTTGCGGTGAGCCAAGATCATGACACAGCATTTCGGCCTGGGAGACAGAGCCAGACCCTGTCTCCAAAATAATAATAATAAATTAATTAAAATAAAATAATATCTTTTTGACCTGGTGCTGGTTGCATAGGTATGGTCAGTTTGTGACAGTCCAGTGAGTTGTATGTTCAGGATACATGTATTCTTCTGAATGTGCATGTACTTCAGTTAAAGGTTTCCAGAAATAAACCTTTGGGTGAGGAGCAGAGCGCACTTCATCCTGAAGGCATAGGTGTGCTTTTGGGCCACCAGTAAACGGAGGTCATCCCACCTGTCATCCCACCCGGGGCCTCCTGTGCTTGGACGGAGATAAACAACATCCCTGCCCTCATTTCTGTTGCCTTCCTTCCCCCAATCGTGGAGTCTTCCCAGGAGCACAAACTCAGTGCATTCCTACTATCTAATTCCCCTATGAAGCTGGCAAAGGCTGGAATGTTATTTAGATTTTGACGGAAAATCATTCATAGCAATTCAGTTACTCAACACCTACTGAGCCCCAGATTCCTGCCTTTTAGTACAAACACTTTGTTCTCTGTTAAAAGCATTCCATGCTATATAGCACTGGCCATGCTGTGTCCCCTCTCTCTTCCTGCCACCCCCAGCACAAGGCTCTACCAAAAACTCGAAGACAACAAGCTAAATGTGGTTTGGTATGTAGAATCTTATTACTTGCTGTGATTGCACTGCTTAACATGAAGCATCATATTGACTTGGGATGTTATGAGAGGTACTAAAGGAAATTTACTTTGTCAGTTTTCCAGCTCTAACCCCATAAACTCTGGCTTCTAATAGAGTGTGGTGGTTGGTAAATGAATCTGGAAGAACAATCAATGAGACATATAAGGATTTTTAAAGGAGAGGGGAATATAATTGCAACCTAGGTGAAGAGTTTCAAGATTTAGGTAGGTGCCCATTCACATAATAGGCTAGACTATATGATTTAAACAATTGGTTGGGGATAATCACATACAGTACGGCACATTAAAATTGGTAAGAAGATAGGGCTGGGCATGGTGGCTAATGCCTGTAATTCCAGCACTTTGGGAGGCCGAGGTGGGTGGATCACAAGGTCAGGAGTTTGAGACCAGCCTGACCAACATGGTAAAACCCCGTCTATACTAAAAATACAAAAATTAGCCAGGCTTGGTGGCGCATACCTGTAATCCCAGCTACTCAGGAGGCTAAGGCAGGAGAGCTTGAACCCAGGAGGCAGAGGTTGCAGTGAGCCGAGATCGCGCCACCGCACTCCAGCCTGGGTAACAGCGAGACTCCGTCTCAGAGAAGAGAGAGGCTAATAGCTCAGAAAAGGGAGGGAAATATATTGAAAATCTTAGTGCAGGACAAGAGTGTTTTAAACAAAAAAGTTCTTGGTAAAGATGAAGGTAAATTAGATACATGAAAACAAACTCATGGTATTTACTAAAGTGGTCTACAATCTGTATTACCTCTTCAGGGCCCCTTGGCTGCTTTCACTCATGGACTGCTTGTGTTTCTTGGGAGAGGAAAAATTAAAATTGGTGTGACATAACTTGCTTGTAGTAAAAAATACAGGCTATTTCAAGACTACCAAGAAGCCAGCTCACATCAGCTACATCTCAACAATAGAAAATAATCATTCTGAAAAAAAGGCCCCGCCAGCAGGGTGGCTCATGCCTGTAATCCCAGCACTTTGGAAGCCAAGGTGGGAGGATCACTTGAGCCCAGGAGTTTGAGACCAGCCTGGGCAACATAGCTAGACCCCCGTCACTGCAAAAATTAAATAATTACCTGGGCGTGGTGGTGTGCACCTGTAGTCCCAGCTACTCAGAAGGCTGACCTGGAAGGATCTCTGAGCTGGGGAGGTTGAGGCTGCAGTGAGCCAAGGTCATTCCACCAAACTCCAGCTCCAGCCTGGACAACAGAGTGAGACCTTGTTTAAAAAAAAAAAAAATCTAAGGCAAAGAAGCAGGTCACTTCTCTTCCAATTATAAGATCCAAGACTTAGACCTGGTCTCTATCTTATGCCTGGTACCCCAGACTAGAAGGGCTGAGGTGTGCAATCTATCCCCTGGGCTAAATGAATACTCTTTTTTTTAAGGCACAGGATCTTGCTCTGTGGCCCAGACTGGAGTGCAATGGCATGTAGCCTCAAATTCCTGGGCTCAAGCGATCCTTCCATCTCGGCCTCGCAAGTAGCTGAGACCACAGGCGCGTGCTATCACACCAAGCTAAGTTTTTTATTTTTTAATTTTTTGTACAGACAGGGTCTTGCTATGTTGCCAGGTCTGGTCTTGAACTCCTAGGCCCAAGTGATTCTCTTGTCTCGGCCTTCCAAAGTGCTGGGATTATAGGCATGAGCCACTGTGCCTGGCCAGGGCTTGGGAATTTTAGTAGGGGAAACAGATGTGTTAGTCAATAAATGAGAAGCGTTTCCGGTGCTTTCATAGTTACCTGAGCAGGTGCAGCAGAACCCAAGGGAGGTGAATACTGCCAGATCTAGAGAGACAGGAAAGAGGCTTCCTTCAGAGAGGGAGGCGGGAGGGCTGGGGAGCAGGCCAGGTCAGGAGGGGCTGCATCAGCCACCCCAAGGAGTCCAGACATTGTCCTATGTGTGTGGGCAGGGGTCGTGTGCTGGTTATTTTATTTATTTATTTATTATTATTTTTTTGAGACACAGTCTCGCTTTGTTGCCCAGGCTGGAGTGCAGTGGCGCAATCTCAGCTCACTACAACTCTGCCTCCCGGGTTCAAGCAATTCTCCTGCTTCAACCTCCCAAGTAGCTGGGATTACAGGCACGTGCCACCATGTCCGGCTAATTTTTTTATATTTTTAGTAGAGACGGGGTTTCACTGTGTTAGCCAGGATGGTCTCGATCTTCTGACCTCATGATCCAGCTTGCCTCCGCCTCCCAGAGTGCTGGGATTACAGGCTTGAGCCACCGTGCCCAGCCTTGTTGTGCTGGTTATTAAGCGTTTGTCTCTCAGCTCAAAACAACCCACCCCTGCTCTGCAATTTGATGCTGAGGCTAAGACTCTGCAGACACGTTTATCTCCCTTTGGCAGCTGACTCCTGTTAAAATCTAGCAGGAGGAGTGCGGGAAGGAGATGGTGGGGGAAGGGGCTGGAAGAGGGAGAAGGGACCTGCTCACCTGCTGTCCTTGTCGGCCTCCCTCCAGCTCTCCCCACACTCTGAGCCAGACTCTCTGTGCCCTGCAGGGGTCATAGCACCAGCCATTCCTTAAAGTCCCCCTCTGAGCCTGCCATGGCAGCTGCAGCAGTGTCCTGCACAGAGGTCCAGCTCCCAGCTCTGTGACACTCCTCCTCCCAGCTTCCAGGTTCTGATAACCTCAACCTCTGCCCCTGTTTCCCCAACCCTAAGGTTGGTAGCTACCTGTTTTGTGGTGAGCAGGTCTATGCAAACCTGCCTCCCAAATCCAAGGAAGCTGAGAGGCCCAAAAAGGAGGCTGACAAATCCAGTTTCTTAGAAAGAAACATTTAATAGGGACTTACAAACAGAAGCCAGGTTTGTGTCTCTGGTCACTGCGAGTTGAGATGGTAGACCCTGCGCCATCATCCCCAGACCCAGGGTTTACACACCATCGGGAAAGGGTGTAGATGCTTCAGAAGAGATGTGTAGGACAATTGAAATATGATATCACGGTTGTTTGACCTAAGGGCAGGATTTATGGTAAAGTACCTGCTCTTACACAAGGAACAACACATAGACTGGAACTCTTAGAGGCTTCTGGGAATAGGAGTTAATCACAAGCCAACATGGTGGATCAGCGTCTGTGGTGGAGCTGCTTTGGCCTCCACACTGCCTCCTGCCTTTAAGGTCCTTGCTGTCTCAGTTTTCTGTTTTTGCCCTTTTACTTGCTTTCTCAATTTTTTTTTCTTTTTTTTCTTTTTTTTGTCGCCCAGGCTAGAGTGCAGTGGCATGATCTTGGCTCACTGCAACCTCTGTCTCCCAAGTTCAAGCAATTCTCCTGCCTCAGCCTCCTGAGCAGCTGGTATTACAGGCACCCACCACCGCGCCCGGCCTAATTTTTGTATTTTTAGTAGAGATGGGGTTTCGCGATGTTGGCCAGGCTGGTCTCAAACTCCTGACCTCAGGTGATCCACCTGCCTCAGCCTCCCAAAGTGCTGGGATTACAGGTATGAGCCACCGCGCCCTGCCTGCTTCACCAATTTCTTTCTTTTTTCTTTCTTTTTTTTTTTTTTTTAGATGGAATTTCACTCTTGTTGCCTAGGCTGGAGTGCAGTGGCATGATCTCAGCTCACCACAACCTCCACCTCCCGGGTTCAAGCAATTCTCCTGCATCAGCCTCCAGAGTAGCTGGGATTACAGGCATGCACCGTCACGCAATGCTAATTTTGTATTTTCAGTAGAGATGGGGTTTCTTCATGTTGGTCAGGCTGGTCTCAAACTCCCGACCTCAGGTGATCTGCCCGCCTCAGCCTCCCAAAGTGCTGGGATTACAGGCGTGAGCCACTGCGCCCGGCCTCAATTTCTTATATTAAATTTTCTCTATTGAAATGCTAAGATTGTTTCTGTTTTCTTGACTGGACCATGACTGATGTCATGGGTATGAGGTCCAAGAAAACAGACTCTCATAGATTAGATCACGGGATTTGTATGGAGGTGTCTTTGGCTTGATCACAGTGCTGACTTCCTTTCTACTAGGAAACTGAACATTAGTAATCTACAGCACATGGCGTCATCACTATCAGTCAAACTGTCACCAGCGGTTCACTGTGATGATACATCTGACGTGCATTGAAAGACCAAGGACCTGCTGCACTTGACTGTCATGGCAGCAATGATGATGACAGAGCTGTTGGGATGGGGCTTCTGGGCTTTTTCTTTCTTTTTTTTAAGACAGAGTCTCGGTCTCACTCTGTCACCTAGGCTGGAGTGCAGTGGCATGATCACAGCTCACTGCAGCCTCCACCTCCTGGGCTCAGGTGATCCTCCCACCTCAGCCTCCTGAGTAGCTGGAACTACAGGTGCGTGCCATCATGTCCTGCTATTTGTTGTTGTTGTTGTTGTATTTTTAGTAGAGATGGGGTTTCGTCATGTTCCCCAGGCTGATCTCGAACTCCTGGGCTCAAGCGATCCACCTGCCTTAGCTTCCCAAAGTGCTGGGATGAGTCGCCACACCCAGCCTAGGCTTTTTTTTTTTTTTTTTTTGAGACAGAGTCTCGCTCTGTCACCCAGGCTGGAGTGCAGTGGCGTGATCTCGGCTCATTGCAAGCTCCGCCTCCCGGGTTCATGCCATTCTCCTGCCCCAGCCTCCCGAGTAGCTGGGACTACAGGTGCCCGCCACCACACCTGGTTAATTTTTTTTTTTTTTTTGTATTTTTTAGTAGAGATGGGGTTTCACCGTGTTAGCCAGGATGCTCTCGATCTCCTGACCTCGTAATCTGCCCGCCTTGGCCTCCCAAAGTGCTGGGATTACAGACGTGAGCCACCGCGCCCGGCCAACCTAGGCTATTTTTGAGCAAGGAATCCAGTATCCAAGAGCATGGCTAGAAGAGTGGGAGATTAGGAGTGTATTGCCAATTAAATTCAGTAACTTCCTAATGGTGAATGTTTGAGAAAAGGTCATTCTGAAATATTGAATACGTTTGAATATGTATTTGCATTACTTTATAGTACTACAGCAATTTAAACAATGCTAACAACATGTCTGAACTTGGGGTGCCCACTATAATGCCCAGCTAAAATATGATTTCTAAATGCTCTACAGCTTATTTTAGAGATTCAGATTCCTGGAGTTGGAAGAAATCATCAGCTCCTCTTACAACATCCTGCAGGCGATCACTCTGCCCCTACTTGAAGACTTCCAGTGACATGCTCACGGGTTTTCCGCAGCCCATCCCAATTTTTAATAGAGCTGACTGGGAGAATTTCCAGATCTTGAGCAATGTTCTGCCTCAGTGTAATTTTGTTTTTAGACGGAGTCTCGCTCTGTCGCCCAGGCTGGAGTGCAGTGGCTTACTTGGCTCACTGCAAGCTCTGCCTCCCGGGTTCATGCCATTCTCCTGCCTCAGCCTCCTGAGCAGCTGGGATTACAGGCGTAAGTCACCACGCCCAGCTGCCTCAGTGTAATTTTCAATTATTAGCCTTTGTTTTGTCCTAAGGAGTTACGGAGTCAGGCAGACTCATTCTAGCTCTAGGGTGGACCCAGAACTGGTTAGTGGGCTAACCGTATTCAATTTGGGAAGCCCTTTTTCAGGAAGAAGAATAACAATTATGAACACAAAATTAGGTTGAAGGCTCACAAGAGGCCCATGTCAGTGTGTGGCCTGGAAGCTTCTGTTCCATGAGAGTTGTAGCAAATGTAGCTTTGTTCAGGCCCTTCCTCCTGAGAACTCTTCATATCATCTTGCTCTTTGCTGCTGTTTCTTGCCTTCTCCAAGATAAGCATCCTAATTCACTCATTTGATTCCTTACACATGTTCCCTGTGGTCAGTGGCCCTTCTAAAGAATGGTGAATAGAGCCGGGTATGGTGGCTCACACCTGTAATTCCAGCTACTTGGGAGGCTGAGGTATGAGAATCGCTTGAACCCAGGAGGTGGAGGTTGCAGTGATCTGAGAACTTGTCATTGCACTCCAGCCTGGGCAACAAGAGCGAAACTCCATCTCAAAAAAGAAAAAAGAAAAAAAAATGAAATTGAAAGTACACTCCACAGTGTGGCAGCAGGCCCAAGCAAAGGGGCTCAAGGGCCCCATTACAGAATTTTTGGAAAGGGGTGTGCCCTATGTAAATGAAGAGCATGAAGTAAAGTTGTAAAATAATTTACTGTGGAGAGGATATTTCCTGTGATAGCCGAAGTGTCCCCTGCCTTATGTTCCCTGCCTCCAGACCCTGTTTTCCTGCCTCACACATGCTCCTAAATATCAGGGAGTCCTAGCACTTCCATATGCTGATTCCTAGAACAGCTGCATTCCACACTTCTACGGTTACTGTTTTAGTAGGCCTAAATGGAGGATTTTATGTTTGCCCAAATTTCATTTTCCTTTGCCAAGCTGTCCACAAAATTTCTTAAAGCCTTATTCTATCATCCTGTTAATGACTTCTTTTAGGTTTGTCATCTGGAAAATGAAAACATGTTCTCATTCATTCAATTCTAAAATCATTAAGTGCCTGCTAGATTCAAAGACAAAGAAAACCAAATAATTGCGTAATGTGACTATGTCTAGAGCTGAGTCAGAGCCGGTTCAGCTGCCAGGATCTGGGGGCCTGGGGAGGGAGAGGGGAAGGGCTAGGAGTGGAAAAGTACCAAACACTGTGTCCCAGAGGGGAAAACGTCTTCAAAGCGCCCCAGAGAAGGGGGGCCGTGGCTCAAGCCTGTAATCCCAGCACTTTGGGAGGCTGAGGTGGGTTGATTAGGTCAGGGGTTCGAGACCAGCCTGTCTAACATGGTATAACCCCGTCTCTATTTTTTATTTTAAAAAATAAAATAAATGACTGGGCACAGTGGTTTATGCCTGTAATCCCAGCACTTTGGGAGGCTGAGGGGGGCGGATTGCCTGAGGTCAGGAGTTCAAGACCAGCCTGGCCAACGTGGTGTAACCCTGTCTCTACTAAAGATACAAAACTTAGCCGGGCATGGTGGTGGGCGCCTGTAATCCCAGCTACTCAGGAGTCTGAGGCAGGAGAATCGCTTGAACCCAGGAGGCAGAGGTTGCAATGAGCCAAGATCATGACATTACACTCCAATCTGGGTGACAGAGTGAGACTTTGTCTCAAAAAAAAAAAAAATATATATATATATATATAAAATATACTTTATATATCTATAAAAGGAAAAAGGTGGTCTCACCTGAGGCACCTCCCCTCACCTCAAAATGGAGGTACCTAGGCTAAGCCTGCAGATGTGTCTAAGAACCCAGCTTGGGGGTGGTGGTGGGAGGTCGCTTCTGAGTCTTTGACTGCAACTCCCTTGTACAACTGCAATGCACCAGCTATGCAGCAAGGCTAGGACGGAAGGTGCAGCTCCCCAGCCCTCAGAGACCTGCCAGGTAAATACCTTTGTAACTGTTAGATATAGTGAACTCCAAGTTTCTCTTCAAAGAATCAGTATGTCAGTATGTTCAGCTCTCTTATTCTTTGATTCTTCATTTTAAAGTTTAACTTCCTGGTTCTCTTCGCCCCCTTGCCTCTAGTTTCAGTAAACAACTTTCCCGCCAGTTCTAATCAGTAGTTCACATCTGTTCCCCTGGTCACCTGCTTTGACATGAGTCACCCCGGTCACCTGCTCTCACCTGAATCATCCGGAGTAACCACCCTTCTTGCTAAACTACCCACCCGGCCACTCTGGCTGTTACCCCTGCTCTCTTTAAAATAGCCAATCAGAATTAGCTTAGACTGTGCTATCCCACCCTCGCCAACAGGGGAATGACACAGCAGTAGGGGCTACCTACATCAGGAATAAGAACCCCTTCCCCTCCCTTGTCCAGGTGTGCCCTCACCATTGCTTGATTCACAAGTCACACTCTTCTGTAGGAGTAAAAATTGCCTTGCTGAGAAAATTAAATTTATGTTTGAGTGCTATTTCTTTGCGGCACTGAGGAACAAGCATTTTGTTTCTAACATAACCACCTACGGTCAGGTCTGAAAAATCACACATAGAATTTGGCCTGGAGCTGGACTCCTCACACTGGAGTGAAAATAGAACATGACTTCTCAATGGCAGCATTATTAACATTTAGGTCAGATAATTCTTTGTGTGAGAGCCTGTCCTGTGAATTGTGGGGTGTTTAGATGCCTCTCTGGCCTCCAACGACTAAACTACTAGATGTTCACTCCCCCCAAGTTGTGACAATGAAAAATGTCTCCAGACATAGCCAAATATTGCTGGGCAGGACAAAATTGCCCTGGTTGAAAATCATGGAAATAGAGGAATATGCTATTTGCAAATTGCTCAGAATTCTATTTGTGTGAATCTACTTCCGCCTACCTTTTTGCATTGCCCTGGGAATGTTTTCTCTGCCTGAAATAATTTTTCTATCCTTGTCTATTTGTGAAGGCCATTCTTACCCTCATTTCCCTCGTGAAGCCTTCCCAGACCTTGCTCCAGGGAGAGTCCACCCTGTCTTTTGCACAACTTCTGGACTAAACAAAGGCTTCTGTTGTTTCATATGTCATACTGTATGTCAATGATTCCCTTACATTCTACTTCT
Organism: Homo sapiens; assembly: GCF_000001405.40. NCBI lineage: Eukaryota > Metazoa > Chordata > Mammalia > Primates > Hominidae > Homo > Homo sapiens. The sequence continues at coordinate 11,957,784 of NC_000018.10, forward strand.
CTCCACACTGCAAGTTCCCTGAAATTTCCCTGAGGACAGGGACTGTGCTTTAAGTCTGTCTGGAGCACATCTGTGAACACACAGCACTTGGTCAGTACATAGTACATGGTAAATAGAGTGGGTCTAGACCAAAAAGGGGCGAGGACAAAGAACCAAGCACTTCCCAGAAGACTGGAAAAGCAGTAGTCAGAGAAGTGCAAAGAGTACCAGCAGAGACTGATGTCCCAAAACAAACAAGAGAATTTCAGGGAGAAATAATCCTCCAGGTGAAGTGCTATTGAAAATGCAAGTAGGGGCCAGGTACAGTGGCTCACGCTTGTAATCCCAGCACTTTGGGAGACCGAGGCGGGCAGATCACGAGGTCAGGAGTTCAAGACCAGCCTGGCCAACACAGTGAAACCCCATCTCTACTAAAAATATAAAAATTAGCCAGTAGTGCTGGTGTGTGCCTGTAATCCCAACTACTTGGGAGGCTGAGGCAGAAGAACTGCTTGAACCTGGGAGGCGAAGGTTGTGGTGAGCTGAGATTGTGCCACTGCACTCCAGGCTGGGCGACAGAGCTAGACTCAGTCTCAAAAAAAGAAAAGAAAATGCAGTAAGGATTGGGTGCGGTAGCTCACACCTGTAATCCTAGCCAAATAAAGCTTTTTTATTAGGCAAAGTGTGGGAACTGATATCAGGAGTAGGGCGGAGCACTGAGGGGACAGGATGCAGGTCAGCATATCTGGCTGCCATGATTCTCTTGTGTCAAGGGTCCCCTTGTGGCCTGGCCAGCAGCAACAAGATGTAAATCAATTGTTCAGCATTCCTTCCTGAGGTGGCACACTGGACACCCTGGTTTGATATTTAGGTTTCGTAAGGTAATTTCCTAGAATTTTTCAAGTAAAAGGCATCTTAAACATGAAGTAGGGGCCAGGCACGATGGCTCACACCTGTAATCCCAGCACTTTGGGAGGCTGAGGTAGGTGGATCACCCGAGGTCAGGAATTCAAGACCAGCCTGACCAACATGGTAAAACCCCATCTCTACTAAAAACACAAAATTAGCCAAGTGTGGTGGCGCATGCCACTTGGGAGGCTGAGGAAGGGAATCGCTTGAACCCGGGAGGTGAATGTTGCAGTAAGCCCAGATTGCACCATTGTACTCCAGCCTGGGCAACAAGAGTGAAACTCCATCTCAAAAACAAAACAAAGCTCTCTCCTCTCCCCTCTCCTCTCTCCCCTCTCCCCTCTCCTCTCTCCCCTCTCCCCTCTCCTCTCTCTCACCTCTCACCTCTCCTCTCTCCTCTCCCCTTTCCACGGTCTCCCTCTCATGCCGAGCCAAAGCTGGACTGTCCTGCTGCCATCTCGGCTCACTGCAACCTCCCTGCCTGATTGTCCTGCCTCAGCCTGCAGAGTGCCTGCGATTGCAGGCGCGCGCCGCCACGCCTGACTGGTTTTCGTATTTTTTTGGTGGAAACGGGGTTTCGCTGTGTTGGCCGGGCTGGTCTCCAGCTCCTAACCGCGAGTGATCTGCCAGCCTCGGCCTCCCGATGTGCCGGGATTGCAGATGGAGTCTCGTTAACTCAGTGCTCAATGGTGCCCAGGCTGGAGTGCAGTGGCGTGATCTCGGCTCACTACAACCTCCACCTCCCAGCCGCCTGCCTTGGCCTCCCAAAGTGCCGAGATTGCAGCCTCTGCCCGGCTGCCACCCCGTCTGGGAAGTGAGGAGCGTCTCTGCCTGGCCGCCCATCGTCTGGGATGTGAGGAGCCCCTCTGCCTGGCTGCCCAGTCTGGGAAGTGAGGAGCGTCTCTGCCTGGCCGCCCATCGTCTGGGATGTGAGGAGCCCCTCTGCCTGGCTGCCCAGTCTGGGAAGTGAGGAGCGTCTCTGCCTGGCCGCCATCCCACCTGGGAAGTGAGGAGCGTCTCTTCCCGGCCGCCATCCCATCTAGGAAGTGAAGAGCGTCTCTGCCCGGCCGCCCATCGTCTGAGATGTGGGGAGCGCCTCTGCCCTGCCACCCCGTCTGGGATGTGAGGAGCGCCTCGGCCCGGCCGCGACCCCATCTGGGAGGTGAGGAGCGTCTCTGCCTGGCAGCCCCGTCTGAGAAGTGAGGAGACCCTCCGCCTCGCAACCGCCCCGTCTGAGAAGTGAGGAGCCCCTCCGCCCGGCTGCCACCCCATCTGGGAAGTGAGGAGCGTCTCCGCCCGGCAGCCACCCCGCCCGGGAGGGAGGTCGGGGTCAGCCCCCGCCAGGCCAGCCGCCCCGTCCGGGAGGGAGGTGAGGGGGTCAGCCCCCCGCCCGGCCAGCCGCCCCATCCGGGAGGTGAGGGGCGCCTCTGCCCGGCCGCCCCTACTGGGAAGTGAGGAGCCCCTCTGCCTGGCCACCACCCCGTCTGGGAGGTGTACCCAACAGCTCATTGAGAACGGGCCATGATGACAATGGCGGTTTTGTGGAATAGAAAAGGGGGCAAGGTGGGGAAAAGATTGAGAAATCGGACGGTTGCTGTGTCTGTGTAGAAAGTAGTAGACATGGGAGACTTTTCATTTTGTTCTGTACTAAGAAAAATTCTTCTGCCTTGGGATCCTATTGATCTATGACCTTACCCCCAACCCTGTGCTCTCTGAAACATGTGCTGTGTCCACTCAGGGTTAAATGGATTAAGGGCGGTGCAAGATGTGCTTTGTTAAACAGATGCTTGAAGGCAGCATGCTCGTTAAGAGTCATCACCACTCCCTAATCTCAAGTACCCAGGGACACAAACACTCTGCCTAGGAAAACCGGAGACCTTTGGTCACTTGTTTGTCTGCTGACCTTCCCTCCACTATTGTCCTATGACCCTGCCAAATCCCCTCTGCGAGAAACACCCAAGAATGATCAATAAAAAAAAAAAAAAAGAAAAAGAAAAAAAAGAGAAAAAAAAAAAAAGAAAAAGAAATCTAGAACCAATTAGAAAATACGTAAAATATCTTAGTTTTGGAGAGAGAGAACACAATAAAAAGCAGGTGAAGTCTTTCAAAAAAAACAAACAAACAAAACAAAACAAAAAGAAAACAAAAACAACATGAAGTAGAAGCCACGTCCCATTCCCATACTATCTCGCTGAGAAGCAGGACTGGTGGCCTTGACGTTAACACCACTGGCAGCGAAATTGCTGAATGGCAGGGGCCTTAGAGGAGTTAGGGCTCTGGCATGAAGATGGAGCCTGTGAGGGTGGAGAGAGGAGGGGCCATCACTTCCCTCTGCTCGCCACCCTGCTCCATCCTCACGCATCCCTGGCCCTGGGGATGCTTATGAGTTTCCAGAGACTCTTATGGAGAGAGCTAGGTTTCATTCCAAGCCAGAAGAGAAAGAGCTTTCCATGAAGAGGATGAGTGTGTGTTTGTGTGTGTGTGTGTGTGTGCGTGTGTGCGCGCGCACGCGTGCAGACGCACCTACACGCCCTGAAGTGGGTGTGTGTCCAGGGGGTTATTATCAGAGGGCCCAGCGACAGAGCCTGGGAAGCTTCTCAGCAATGGGGGTGCCGCTGGATGAGAATTGGGGATGGGGCTCAGAGCCTGGAAAAAGAAGAGCCTTCTAGCATTTTGCTTTCCGAATTGATTTAAGCTGGATCTATATTTCATTTATATCACTCTTTGCACCACCTAAGAAGAATAAATGTACTAAGAGAAGTAAAGACATTTCAATAAATTGGCTGGGCACAGTGGCTCACACCTGTAGTCCCAGCACTTTGGGAGGCCGAGGTGGGCAGATAACTTGAGGTCAAAAGTTCGAGAGCAGCCTGGCCAACATGCTGAAACCCAATCTCTACTAAAATATATATATATATATATACACATACAAAAATTAGCTGGGCGTGGTGGCAGGCGCCTGTAGTCCCAGCTACTCGGGAGGGTGAGGCAGGAAGATTGCTTGAACCCGGGAGGCGGAGGTTGCAGTGAGCCGAGGTTGTGCCACTGAACTCCAACCTGGGCGACAAAGTGAGTCTCCATCTCAAAAAAAAAAAAGACATTTCAATAAATTAAAATTTTAGGATTATATATACATTATGTATATTTATATATTATATATTAAAAATTATAAAAATATACAAAACATTTATATGTAATATATAATATATAAACTTATATAAAAATATAATATGTATAAAAATATATAGTATATATGTATTATATTATGTATAATGTATATTATGTATTATATATTAATATATTACATATTAATATATTATAATATATTAATGTATATTACATATTAATATATTATAATATATTATAATATATATATATATATATATTTTTTTTTTGAGACTGAGTCCCGCTCTGTTGCCCAGGCTGGAGTGTAAATGCATGATCTCGGCTCACCGCAACCTCCGCTTCCCAGGTTTAAGTGATTTTCCTGCCTCAGCCTCCTAAGTAGCTGGGATTACAGGCACGTACCACCACACCCAGCTAATTTTTGTATTTTTAGTAGAGACGGGGTTTCACCATGTTGGCCAGGCTGATCTCAAACTCCTGACCTCAGGGGATCTGACTGCCTCGACCTCCCAAAGTGCTAGGATTACAGGCGTGGGCCACCGCGCCCAACCAAAATTTCAGCATAATATACTAATGTTCCATTCTTCTGCAACATCCTGAGCCATTAAAAAGGGGACAGTGCGCAGTTTGCCTGATAAATCATGTTTCTAAAACAAGTCTCTATGCCCTTTTCTCCCTCCCAGCAGTCTCAGGATATTTATTCTTAAATAAATTTAATTTTTGGTGTTCTTAGAAGGCAAGAAAGCTTTGAATCATTTCTGCCACTGCTGTTTTCAGTACTGCATACATCTCTCTGTTCCTGCTACAGCCTTCCTTATGGAGAAGCTTGGAATTTGATAAAGAAGGAAAGTTTCTTGGAGCAACCAGGAGTTAGTAATGTCATAGGATTATCAGAGCCACAATATTATCAGTCAGAGGATCTTTCAGGCTGCAAAGAGCCTGCAGATCATGATTAGAGGGTGTGGAAGGACTAGACAAGTCCTGGCAGCACTGACCCTTTATCCCTCCTCTTGCACTGCCCCCCCTCCCCCCACAACATTAAATCCACCCACTGAAAGTCCCATGAGCCTTTGGACAAAGTTTACATTATGCCGTTGGAAAATCTGATCCTATTCTGGATCATTGGCTTGCATCCCTTCCTCATTTGCATTTTGTGTGTCAGATCACTGGATCCAAAATAATTTGGTTGAGAACAAGTTGATCCAAAACAATATTTTTGTTTAAACAACAAATCATTGCTAACTAAATGCATCATCTACTATTTGTATTTTCTTGTATTTCTCATTTGAATCCTCTTTATTCATTTAAGGCATATTAGGCTCACTCTACTAGTTTGACAATGTCTTTGGTCTTTTAATTTTGCAAAATTGGCTAAAAATAAATGTTTCCAATCACCTACTTATGTTTGCATAATTTATATGTATGGTGTGGGGGGTGGATACTAATTTTAGATACCTTTAAAGTAATTGTGGCACAAATACCAGTGGTACTGAGTTGCTTCTCCAGCAAAGTGAAGCATAAAGAGATATAAACTCCTTGACCATCCTGCTAGGGGAGTTTCAGAATCCTTCCAGGTTACTTACTTTCTTTCTTTATTTTTTTTTGTTGTAGAGATGGATCTCGCTATGTTGACCAGGCTGGTTTCAAACTCCTGGATTCAAGGGGACCTCCCACCTTGGCCTCCCAAAGTACTGGGTGTGAGCCACCATGCCTAGTGAGTGCATGGTTACTTTGGTTACTTTCTTTTTTTTCTTTATTCTTTTTTTTTTTTTTAAGACAAAGTCTTGCTCTGTCGCCCAGGCTGGAGTGCAGTAGCACGATCTCTGCTCACTGCAACCTCCACCTCCTGGGTTCAAGCAATTCTCCTGCCTCAGCCTCCTGAGTAGCTGGGACTACAGGCGTATGCCACCACGCCCAACTAATTTTTTCTTTTTCTTTCTTTTTTTTTTTTTTTGTATTTTTAGTAGAGACAGGGTTTCACCGTGTTAACCAGGATGGTCTCGATATCCTGACCTCACAATCCGCCTGCCTCGGCCTCCCAAAATGCTGGGATTACAGGTGTGAGCCACCGCACCTGGCCTAGATGGTTACTTTCTATGTGCTTGCCTTTGCAAAATAAGGAACGTGTTCTCTTTGGCCCTACCTAAATCTGAAGCCTAGCAGCACATTTACAGCTTTCCCCAGGGTAGTCTGGGAGGCCCTTCAGGTCGGTAGCCTGTGGAATTAGCATGGTTTGGTGCTCTCACTCCTCACGCTCTCCAGTAGCCAAGACAAGAGGCCCCTGGCTAGCTCTGGTAATGCACCTCCTGCTGGGAGGATGCTGACACCTCAGTGTTCATACTCTGGCTTAACCTTAACACTGTTGCCTCAGAATGCATCTCCTTGCTCATTCTCCTGAGATATAGGGACTGCTCTCTCTTTCTCTTTTTGAGCTTTTTCCAAAAGTCTTCACCCTTCATCACAAAACTATTCAGAATGCTAGGAAACAGGCCCTTGTTGTAAGCAAAACATTTTTATAGGAACACAAAGTTAATATTAGTATAAAACTGCACACGTGTGAAATAAGAAGCCTAAAATGTGAGCAATCTTAGGGTTTATGTATGTCATTTGTTAGAAATGTTAGAAATCTTTGCAAATAGCCAAACAAAAGGTGAATTCAGCTCTGGAATACAGATGACTTGAGAATGATGCTCATGAACACACGGAGGGTTTTTTTTCCAAATATGGAAGCAGTAGAATTGACTTTAGAAGTTAACTTTATTAACAACTTCAGTAGAACTCTCCTATAAATAGAAATAAAATATACTCAGTTCTCTGCCTCAGGGATGGTTCCCCTACTACCACCACTCCCAGAGAAATACATTTGGGAGAGTTTTAGGAGTCAGTACATTTTTCAGTACCCTTGAGGATGTTTTTCTGTGCAGAGGAAAAATTATTCGGAGATGCCTTGGTCTTAAAAATTAATATTTGATTTTAAAAGAGTTTTTAGTTCCACTTCATTCACATTCCTTCTAGCAAATTTTAACAATTGGCTAGGCATGGTGGCTCATGCCTATAATCCCAGCACTTTGGGAGGCCAAGACAGGCATTTTGCTTGAGCCCAGGAGTTCAAGACCAGCCTGGGCAACATAGTGAAACCGTGTCCTTACAAAAAAAATACAAAAATTAGCTGGGTGTGGTGGCATCCACCTGTAGTCCCAGCTACTTGGGAGGCTGGGGTGGGAGGATCACCTAAGCCCAGGAAGTTCAAGGCTGCAGTGAACCCACTGCCCTCCAGTCTGTGTGGCAGAGTGAGACCTTGTCTCAAATTTTTTTTTTTTTTTTTTTTTTGAGACAGAGTCTTGCTCTGTCTCCGAGGCTGGAGTGCAGTGTGCAATCTCGGCTCACCGCAAGCTCCGCCTCCGGGGTTCACGCCATTCTCCTGCCTCAGCCTCCTGAGTAGCTGGGACTACAGGCACATGCCACCACGCCTGGCTAATTTTTTGTATTTTTAGTAGAGACGGGGTTTCACCTTGTTAGCCAGGATGGTCTCGATCTCCTGACCTAGTGATCCGCCTGCCTCAGCCTCCCAAAGTGCTGTGATTACAGGCGTCAGTTACCACGCACGGCCAAAAAAAAATTTTTTTTTTTAATCACTTTTTTTTTTTTTTCTGAGACGGAGTTTCGCTCTTGTTGCCCAAGCTGGAGTACAATGGCGCGATCTCGGCTCACTGCACCCTCCGCCTCCTGGGTTCAGGTGATTCTTCTGCCTTAGCCTCCTGAGTAGCTGGGATTACAGGCGTGCACCACCACGCCCGGCTAAGTTTTGCATCTTTAGTAGAGACGGGGTTTCACCATGTTGGTCAGGCTGGTCTAAAACTCCTGACCTCAGATGTTCCACCCGTCCCGGCCTCCCAAAGTGCTGAGATTACAGGTGTGAGCCACAACGCCCGGCCAACAATCACTTTTTTTTTTATTTTTTTGAGATGAAGTCTTGCTCTTGTCCCCCAGGCTGGAGTGCAATGGCACCATCCCAGCTCACTGCAACTTCTGCCTCCCGGGTTCAAGTGATTCTAATACCTTGGCCCCCCGAGTAGCTGGGATTACAGGCGCCTGCCACCACCCCCAGCTAATTTTTGTATTTTTAGTAGAGACAGGGTTTCACTATGTTGGCCAGGCTGGTCTAGAACTCCTGACCTCAGGTGATCCACCTGCCTCGCCCTCCCAAAGTGCTGGGATTACAGGCGTGTGCCACCGCACCCGGCCAACAATCACTTTTAATAGTGATTTTTATAATTTGATTATTTGCAAATATTGTTACATGTGCTTTAACATATTAAATGCTTTTATATATTTAATAATTTACTTTTAAGCACTTCAATCGTCTCACTTAGACAAAATGTTTCCAAGTTTTAAATTATTAATTTTTTTTAATAAATAGAGACATGTCGCCCACGCTGGTTTCTAACTCCTGAGCTCAAGCAATTCTCTGGCCTTGGCTTCCCAAAGTGCTGAGATTACAGGTGTGAGCCACTGCACCTGGCCAAAAATTTTTAAATAACATTGATAATTACAAATTAAATGCATTAATATGGTGAACTTAAGGTCATTTAAATGCTAGTTTCTTTTTTTGAGACAGAGTCTCACTCTGTTGCCCAGGCTGGAGTGCAGTGGCACAATCTCGGCTTACTGCAACCTCCACTTCTAGGGCTCAAGTGATTCTCCTGCCTCAGCCTCCCAAGTAGCTGGGATTACAGGCGTGCACCACCATGCCTGGCTAATTTATTTTTATTTTATTTTTTTATTTTTAGTAGAGACGAGGTTTTGCCATGTTGGTCAGTTTGATCTTGAACTCCTGACCTCAGGTGATCTGCCCGCTTCGAGCTCCCAAAGTGCTGGGATTACAAACATGAACCACCACGTCTGGCCTCACTTAAATGTTTTAACATTTAATTTAATTTAAATGTTTTAGTAAAATCTCATCTTAAAATCACAAATTTGGTCGGGTGTGGTGGCTCAGGCCTGTAATCCCAGCACTTTGGGAGGTGAGGTGGGAGGGTCACTTGAGTCCAGCAATTGGTGACCCTGTCTCTACAAATAATTTAAAAATTAGTTGGAGGTGGTGGTGCACACCTGTAGTGCCAGCTACTCGGAGGGCTGAAGTGAGTGGATCGCTTGGGCCAAGGAGTTGGATGCTGCAGTGAGCTGCAGCCTCTACACTCCAGCCTTAGGGATGGAATGAGACCTTGTCTCTAAAATAACAAAAGGAATGGCCGGGTGCGTTGGCTCACGCCTGTAATCCCAGCACTTTGGGAGGCTGAGGCGGGTGGATCACGAGGTCAGGAGTTCAAGACCAGCCTGGCCAAGACAGTGAAACCCCGTCTCTAGTAAAAATACAAAAATTAGCTGGGCATGGTGGTGGGCACCTATAATCCCAGCTACTCGGGAGGCTGAGGCAGAGAATTGCTTGAACCCAAGAGGCAGAGGTTGCAGTGAGCCAAGATCGTGCCACTGCACTCCAGCCTAGGTGACAGAGCGAGACTCCGACTCAAAAAAAACAAAAACAAAAACAAAAAAAACAACAAAAGGAACAAACCACACACATTCAATTACATATATATGTATATATATATGTATATATGTATATATATGTGTATATATATGTATGTATGTATATATATATGTGTGTGTGTATATATATATATTTTTTTTTCTTTTTGAGATGGAGTCTCGCTCTATTGCCCAGGCTGGAGTGCATTGGTGCTATCTCGGCTCACTGCAAGCTCCACCTCCCAGGTTCACGCCATTCTCCTGCCTCAGCCTCCCGAGTAGGTGAGACTACAGGTGCCTGCCACCACGTCCGGCTAATTTTTTGTATTTTTAGTAGAGACGGGGTTTCACCGTGTTAGCCAGGATGGTCTCGATCTCCTGACCTTGTGATCCACCCGCCTCGGCCTCCCAAAGTGTTGGGATTACAGGTGTGAGCCACCGCGCCCAGCCCTCAATTACATATTTTAACTTGAATTGCAAAACTTACCTGTAAGAACCCCTTAGAACCTACCAACTGTATACCGATAGTTCTTTAACATGGAGATATTAAGCATGTGAGTTTGAGTCCCTTTAGTATTTCTTTGCTTAATGCTACATCCTCCCAGGGATAAGAGGCTCATCCCCTCAGGGAACAGTGGATCTCAATTCACAGAAGGTGAGGTTTCTGCCCAAGACCTCGGAACCTAATAGACTTCGGCATTATTTTCACTTTCTTCCTACTCTCACTGATACGACAATGACTGATCTGACAATGTTACCTGATTAAATTCTGCATCTCTCATCTGTTTTTTTCCCCAGATTCTGCAAACTAATTTCCAAGCCCATTCTAATGACAATCTGTTGCTAGGCCCACCCAGCAGCCTTGTCATCTCTTGTATCCTACATAGTATTTTTTTCTGTCCAGTTACACTTCTAACTCAATTTGGGACCCTAGATGGTGCCTGCCTTAGTGTGCAGGGCTACCAATGAAATGAGTGATGATAATATAGAATCCTACATCTCACTTTCCCTTCTTGTTTCCCTAACCACCAAAGACCAATGTGCATTGAATAAATAGAAGAATAGAAAATACTCTGTGTGTGTGTGTGTGCGTATGTGTGTGTGTGTGTGTGTGTGTGTGTAGAGGACAGGAGAGAGGGAGAGAGAAGAAATTTGCCATACATCTTTCATGAATATATAGCTGATAGAAGAAAGCTGGTAAACACAGAATCTCATTAAGAATTTCCATTTCTGGGCCAGAGGTGGTGGCTTATGCCTGTAATCCTAGCACTTTGGATTGAATTAGTTCATGAATGAGTGAATTAGTTGAATTAGTACATGAATGAGTGACTACATGAACAAATGATATACATGAGGATGTATCCATGCAGAAATCTGAAATTTATATTTATTTTCCCCCTTAAATTGGGTCCCTTTCCTGGCAGAAAAGACTCGAATTTTGGTGCTGACTATAATATTTTCTTTTTAAGACACAGACAAGTAGAATGTGCGTATCTCATTTGAGTCTCATATTCGTCTTCAAGGTAAAAAAAAAAAATGTGCTTAGTAGTGGCGGCTGCCTTAGAAATGGAAATTCTCTTTTTCTTTTTTCTTTTTTTTAAATTAGACAAGTTCTCCCTCTGTCACCCAGGCTGGAGTCCAGTGATGGGATCTTGGCTCACTGCAGCCTCAACCTCCCACACGCAAGTGATCATCCCACCTCAGCCTCCCCAGTAGCTGGGATTACAGGCACACAGTACAACGCCAGGCTAATTAAAAAAAAATTTGGCCGGGCGCAGTGGCTCACGCCTGTAATCCCAACACTTTGGGAGGCCAAGGTGGGAGGATCACCTGAGGTCAGGAGTTTGAGACTAGCCTGGCCAACATGGTGAAACCCCACCTCTACTAAAAAATACAAAAATTAGCCAGGCATGGTGGCAGGCAGCTGTAATCCTAGCTACTCAGGAGGCTGAGGCAGGAGAATCACTTGAACTCAGGAGGCAGAGGTTGCAGTAAGCCAAGACTGCACCACTGCACTCCAGCCTGGGCAACAAGAGCGAGACTCCATCTCAAAAAAAACAAAAAAAAAATTTGGTAGAGATAGGGTCTCATTGTTCTCATTGTATTGCCCAGGCTGGTCTTGAACTCCTGGGCTCATGTGATCCTCCTGCCATGGCCTTCCAAAGTGCTGGGATTACAGACATGAGACATGAGCCACCTCACCCGGCACAGAAATGGAAATCCTTTTTTTTTTTTTTTTTTTTTTGAGATGGAGTTTCTTTCACTCTTGTTGCCCAGGCTGGAGTGCAATGGCGCGATCTCGGCTCACTGCAACCTTGCCTCCCGGGTTCAAGCAATTCTCCTGCATCAGCCTCCTGAGTAGCTCGGATTACAGGCATGCGCCATCATGCCTGGCTAATTTTGTATTTTTAGTAGAGACGGGGTTTCTCCATATTGGTCAGGCTGGTCTTGAACTCCCAACCTCAGGTGATCCGCCCACCTCGGCCTCCCAAAGTGCTGGGATTACAGGTGTGAGCCACCACGCCCGGCCTCACAGCAACGGAAATTCGTAATGAGATTCTGTATTCACCAGCTTTCTTCAATCAGCTATATATTTCTGAAAGATATGTGGCAAATTTCTGCTCTCTCTCTCCTGTCCTCCACACAGACACACACACACAGCATTTTCTATTTTTAAGTTCAGATCAGATTTTTAAAAGTTATGTTGCCTTGATGAAAATATGAGTGTTTTTGATAGCTGCCATGAATTCCATTTTATTTATTTATTTATTTATTTATTTAATTTATTTATTTAATTTTTTGAGACAGGGTCTCACTCTGTTGCCCAGGCTGGAGTGCAGTGGTGTGATCACAACTCACTGCAGCCTCAACCTCCTGGGCTCAAGCAATCCTCCTGCCTCAGCCTCCAGTGTAACTGGGACTACAGGCGTGTACCATGCCCGGCTAATATTTTTGAATTTTTGTAGAGACAGGGTCTCAGTTTGTTGCCCTAGCTGTTCTCAAACTCCTGGGTTCAAGCAACGCTCCTGCCTCGGCCTCCCAAAGTGCTGAGATTACAGGCATGAGCCACGATGCCCAGCCAAGAAGAAGTATTCTAAACAAAGAAGGATAAATTAAAAATGGTGAAGGAAGCCTGGGAGGGCTGAGCGCATTAACTGCCCCCTTTCTGCAGTTGCCAAAATGACCTGGAAAAGAAAGTGCAGGCATTAACACTTCCAAAAAAGGGTGTTTGTGTAATGAAGACACAAAGTTTTGAGATAAATCTCCTTGAGTCATGTTGGTCTTTGTTCCACTCACTTCATAATGTCAAGCGTGTTGATAAGTGGATCAAATGCAGCACAGTCTCACTGTGTTTTCTTCTCAAATGTTATCTAGTAACTTCGTAGCATTTTTGTATGCATCATCATACACATTTGTCCCAGGGGCAATTTTCTCCTTTTTTATCTGTAGTAAAACATACCAAAACTGGACGCAATAACATAACAAACCTTTTTAGGTCTGAAAACAACAACAACAACAAAAACCTTTGCAAATGGAACATAAGCTTTTGATTAAACAAAAAAAAAGCAGGTAAATATTTGCCTGAAAACAGTCATTTTAAAAGATTTTTTTATTTTGAGACAGAGCCACCCAGGATGGCGTGCAATGGTGCAATCTCTCTGCTCACTGCAAACTCTGTCTCCTGGGTTCAAGCGATTCTCCTGCCTCAGCCTCCTGAATAGCTGGGATTACAGGCACATGCCGTCATGTTTGGCTACTTTTTGTATTAATATTATTTTTTTCTTTTTTTGAAGTGGAGTCTTGCTCTGTCTCCCAGGCTGGGGTGCAGTGGCGCAATCTCGGCTCACTGTAGCCTTCGCCTCCCGGGTTCAAGCGATTCTCCTGCCTCAGCCTCCTGAGTAGCTGGGACTACAGGCGCCCGCCACCATGCCCGGCTAATTTTTGTATTTTTAGTAGAGATGGGGGTTTTGCCATGTTGGCCAGGCTAGTCTCGAACTCCTGATCTAAACTGATCCACCTGCCTCGGCCTCCCAAAGTACTGGGATTACAGGTGTGACCCACCGTGCCCGGCCTACTTTTTGATGTTTAATAGAGACGGGGTTTCACCGTGTTGGCCAGGCTGATCTCGAACTCCTGACCTCAAGTGATCTGCCAGCCTCGGCCTCCCAAAGTGCTGGGATTACAGGTATGAGCCACCGTGCCAGGACAAAGAATCCAGTTTTAAAATACGAGCGGGCAGAGCCGGGGACTGTGGTGCATTCCTGTGATCCCAAATACTGTGGAGGCTGAGGTAAGAGGATCCTTTGAGCCTAGCAGTTCAAGACCAGCCTGGGAAACATATGGCGACTCTGTCTCCAAAAACCCAAAATCAACCAAAACAAAACAAACAAAACAAAACAGGCAGGCAGGAGAATTTGTCAGTATATTTCCACCTCCATTTATATTCAATCCCAGGAACCTTCCTCATGCAGGCAGTGAGATTTGAGGCGTAAATTACCCTGAAAGTGGGAGTGGGGTTGGCATTTTTCTTAAGAACTGGGAACAAAGCATTTCTCCTTGGGTTAATGCTGACAAACGAAATAATGCAATTGAAAAAGAAATAAGGCCAGGCGCGGTGGCTCACGCCTGTAATCCCAGCACTTTGGGAGGCCGAGGCGGGCGGATCACAAGGTCAGGAGATCGAGACCATCCCGGCTAAAACGGTGAAACCCCGTCTCTACTAAAAATACAAAAAATTAGCCGGGCGTAGTGGCGGGCGCCTGTAGTCCCAGCTACTTGGGAGGCTGAGGCAGGAGAATGGCGTGAATCCGGGAGGCGGAGCTTGCAGTGAGCCGAGATCGCGCCACTGCACTCCAGCCTGGGCGACAGAGCGAGACTCCGTCTCAAAAAAAAAAAAAAAAAAAAAAAAAAAGAAAAAGAAATAATACGGATACGGCAGGGGGTATATGTACTTTCCCCTTAATTTTGCCGCGAACTTAAAAGTATAGAAAAAAAATAGACACGCTGCAGCACAGCCTGTGTCTCTCCTCCGCCCCGTAGACGGAAGTGCAGAGGGGCTGGAGGGACGAGGCTAGAGCGCGGCAAAGCAGGCGGGAGAACTAGATCCCAGTCCAGGTGAACATCCAGGCCCACGCGCACTCCCCTCCTGCAGAGGCAAAGGTGAGGGTGAGGGTTGTGCCAGAAGGTGACTTTTCCTGGAAACGTTTAGGGCCCGGGCCGCATTCCTGCGGGTCTTGGGTACAGGCAAGCTCCTGGTTTCCTTCCTCAGGACACCTGCATCGGGGGAGTGGCGCGGCAGCCGAAGAGAGAATGTCCAGGCCCAGCGGTGCGCAGCCTCCCCGGACCTACGGCTGCGGCGCCCCAGGGAGTGTGGCAAGCCCAGGGGCCCCCTGGACAGAAGAGACTAGCACGATCGCGGACCAGTGTGTCAGGGGCCACTCAGGAGAGGCCAGCAGAACTGGGCCAAAACAGGAACGTCCAGTCTCAGCATCCGCAGGGGCAGGACACAGCAGGGACTGAGGTGCAGGGACCTGCGAGGAAAAAGAGGAATTGACTGCATTTTATTTTATTTGTTGAGGCAGAGTCTCGCCCTGTCGCCCAGGCTGGAGTGCAGAGTGCATTGGCTCTATCTCTGCTCATGCAACCTCCACCTCCCGGTTTCAAGTGATTCTCATACCTCAGCCTCCAGAGTAGCTGCGATTACAGGCGTGCCCGGCTAATCTTTTTTTTTTTTTTTTTTTTGTAGACGGAGTTTCCCTTTTGTTGCTCAGGCTGGAGTGCAATGGCGTGATCTCAGCTCACTGCACCTCCGCCTCCCAGGTTCAAGCAATTCTCCTGCCTTAGCCACAAAAATACCCGGGATTACAGGCATGTGCCACCACACCCGGCTAATTTTGTATTTTTAGTAGAGATGGGGTTTCACCATGTTGGTCAAGCTGGTCTTGAACTCTTGACCTCAGGTGATCCTCCCACCTCGGCCTCCCAAAGTGCTGGGATTACAGGCGTGAACCACTGTGCCTGACCTAATTTTTGTATTTTTAGTAGAGATGAGGTTTCACTGTGTTTGCCAGACTGGTTTCGAACTCCTGGCCTCAAGCGATCCACCCACCTCAGCCTCCCAAAGTGCTGGGATCACAGGCGTAAACCATCTTGCAGGCCTGCATTGAGTGAATTTTAAACCTGAAATGTCTAAAAAATCACTAACACATCTTGAGTTGTCTGGAAGTAAGTAGGTTGAGTTTTCTGCTATCAGGCAGGAAGGGAGCTGAGAAAAGGAAGTTTGGTTGTGGGTAAATGAAGACAGTTACAGGTTGTACAACTGAGTGTGGATTACAAAATACCATCTGCTAGGCTAGCATCGTTAATTTCAACTCAAGTGTTGTGGAGAATTTCAGGTGCATGGGATTAGAGATACTGGAAATTCGGCTAGGCATGGTGGCTCACACCTGTAATCCCAGCACTTTGGGAGGCTGAGGTGGCCAATCAGGAGGTCAAGAGATCAAGACCAACCTGGCCAACATGGTGAAACCCCACCTCTACTAAACATACAAAAGATTAGCTGGGTGTGGTGACGCACACCTGTAGTCTCAGCTACTCAGGAGGCTGAGGCAGGAGAATCGCTTGAACCTGGGAGGTGGAGGTTGTAGTGAGCCGAGATCATGCCACTGCACTCCAGCCTGGTGACACAGCAAGACTCCGTCTCAAAAAAAAAAAAAAAAAAAAAGGCTGGGCGCGGTGGCTCATGCTTGTAATCCCAGCACTTTGGGAGGCCGAGGCAGGCGGATCACGAGGTCAGGAGATCGAGACCACGGTGAAACCCTGTCTCTACTGAAAATACAAAAAATAAAAAATTAGCGGGGCACGGTGGCGGGCGCCTGTAGTCCCAGCTACTCGGGAGGCTGAGGCAGGAGAGTGGCGTGAACCCAGAAGGCAGAGCTTGCAGTGAGCCGAGATCAAGCCACTGCACTCCAGCCTGAGCGACAGAGCAAGACTCCATCTCAAAAAAAAAAAAAAAGAAAGAAAAATACTGGAAATTCTCTTTTAGGACCAAGGCCTTGCAGGATAGGGTTTTTAACAGATGGAAGGTATCACCAATTGTTGAAGTACAATTTCGTAGTCTCCAGGATCTATGAATGTGGGATCCACAGGCATAGAATCCCCATAAGGAGTGGCTGAAGTGCAGAGCAAAGAAGAAATGTGAATCCCAAAAAAGTTTGCAAAGTTTTGAAAGCCAGAGTATACCATGTGAATTCTCAGGGAGTATCTGGTACTGTGTTACACTCAGAAGGAGGAGGAATGACCAGCACATTAACCCCTTCCTCAGTGGAAAATAATGACTTGGGAGGATTTTCCAGAGTAGAATAAAGGGCATCTCTGGTTATATAGTGGAAATAAATAAGTAGAAATAACCCTGCAGATTTTTTTTTATATCTATTGCTTAGCAAAGACTCCCAGAATTGTTCGTGGTTATGGGGCTGTGCACAGTGTTGGGGGATATTTAAATGCAGAGCATTTCTTGTAATCATCTATCTGACTTAGTTTAGTGAAAAGTTGTGGCGCTGGCTGACTCCAGTTATTGCATAAGTGACTCTGAGCAGTTTGGCTGGGTTGGGGAGTAGGAGGGTTGGCACTGATTTTCGGTTCCTAGAGTGCTCTGCACTCCTTGCTGCCTTCTTCAAGGCCTCTAGGCTGAGAAGAGTGCCTCGTAACCCCTAATGTGCTGATGCCCAAGACAAATCTCCTTGGGTCCAGCTGTATCAGTTTGCTGTGGCTGTGTAACAAAACACCACAGACTAAGCAGCTTAAAAACAGAAATGCACTTTCTTGCAATTCTGGAGGCTGAAAGTCCAACATCAAGGTGTCAGCAGGCTGGATAAAGATAATGTGGGAGGCCAGGCAGGGTGGTTCACAGGCGTGGTAGCTCATGTCTCCCAGCACTTTGGAAGGCCAAGGCAGGAGGATTACTTGAGCCCAGGAGTTCAAAACCAGCCTGGGCAACATAGCAAGACCTTGTCTCTAGAAAAAAATGAAAAAAATTAGCCAGGTGTGATGACATGTAGTCTCAGCCACTTGGGAAGCTGAGGCAGGAGGACCACTTGAATCTGGGAGGTGGTAGGTTGAGGCTTCATTGAGCCATCGTCTTGCTGCAGCACTCTAGCCTGGGTGACGCAGGAGACCTTGTCTCAAAAAAAAAAAAAAAAAAAAGGAAAAGAAAATGTGGTACATATATACCATGGAATACTAAACAGCCATAAAAAGAAGGAAATCATGTCCTTTGCAGCAACATGGATGCAGCTGGAGGCCATTATCCTAAGTAAATTAACGCAGGAACAGAAAAACAAATGCTGCATGTTCTCACTTATAAGTGGGAGCTAAATATTGGGTACTCACGGACACAAAGATAGGAACAACAGACACTGGGGATTCCAAAAGGAAGGAGGGTGGAGGGGGTCAAGTGTTGAAAAACTACCTATTAGGTATTATGTTTGCTGCTTGCGTTACAGGATCATTAGAAGCCCAAACATCAGCATCACACAGTATACCCTTTTAACAAACCTGCACATGTACCCTTTGCATCTAAAATTAAAAAAAAATGATTAGTCAGCAGGGTTGGTGTCTTCTGAGGCCTTTCTCCTTGGCTTGCAATGGCCACCTTCTCACTGGTCCTCACGTGGCCTTCCCACTGTGTGCATGCACTCCTGGTGTGTTTTTCTGTGTCCAAATTCCCTCTTTTCATAAGAACACCAGTCAGATTAGGGCCAACCCTGATGAACCCAATTTAACTTAACTACCTCTTTAAAGGCTCTATCTCCAAATATAGGCACATTCTGAGATTCAAAATTCAGTATATAAATTTGGGAGCAGGGAGTGGGGTGGTACAATTCAGCTTCTAATGTCAATATTCCACACTTCGGTTTAAGGATGGTCAGACATTATTCTCAACCAACTTCTAGGGATTTAGATGAGCTAAAACAAAAAAGCTCCTCAAATGTCCAAGTCAGCATGTCTTGGCCCTGGAGAATAAGATTAGACTTTTTTTTTTTTTTGAGACGGAGTCTTGCTCTGTTGCCCAGGCTGGAGTACAATGGCACAGTCTCAGTTCACTGCAACCTCCGCCTCCCGGGTTCAAGCGATGCTCCTGACTCAGCCTCTGGAGTACCTGGGGTTACAGGCGCCTGCCACCATGCCTGGCTAAGTTTTGCATTTTTATAGACACAGGATTTCACCATGTTGGCCAGGCTGGTCTCGAACTGCTGACCTCGTGATCCACAAGGCTCAGTCTCCCAAAGTGCTGGGATAACAGGCATGAGCCACCTCACCGGCCGAGATAAGATCAGATTTCAAGGTAACCTGGGGAAGCTGGAGAAGTGGATGGAAGAAAAGAACACTACCTGACATTTTGTTTATTTAGACTCTGCTTTCTTCCATAAAGAACATGAGGGGAGGGAACTCCCAGATTAATAAGGACATAAAGTCTGTCCTGACTGTCCTTTCACCTTCTCACTGCCACTGCCCTGGCTTCTTGGGCCCTGACCCAGGCACTGTGCATGTGGCCTTCTGGTGACCAGAGCCTCACCAGAAGGACTGTGCCCTAGGGTGGGGGGTGGGGAGGGGTAGTTAAGATACAGTTTTTCAAGGCAGAGTGCAGTACGCTAGGGGCTTAAGGAAAGTTCATGTGGCTTCCAGGGCCTCTGAAGGAGACAGTGTGCAGACTGTGGTGGAGGCCAGCTGGGGAAGAATATTTTACATCTCCACAGAGAGTCATCATTGACGCATGAGTGATACGCATTATTCATTAGAAAAAGCTGATTTCTGCCGGGTGTGGTGGCTGACTTCTGTAATCCTAGCACTCTCGGAGGCCAAGGCGGGGTGGGGAGGGGGTGGGGATCTTTTGAGCCCAGGAGTTCGAGACCAGCCTGAGTAACAAGGATGACACCCCATCTCTTCCAAAAAAAAAATGAAAATTAGCTGGGTAATTTAGGAGTCTTCCTAAGGATATAATAAATATATGTCTTTTTTCTTAGGCAGCAGATGGTGGCCAGCTGTTCTCTTATTACTGATGACCAAACATGAAGAAAAAAAATTGTAGTAAGGGGGCTTATAATAAATATAAGACAGAACTTAATAAACTAAATCTGGATTTTTATACACACAAAGGAAAATGGGCGGCTCTGGAAAATTATCAAATTATCCAAGCCAAAATAGCTTCTCCATTATCTATGTAACAAAACATTATTTATGTGGATTGAATTGTACAAATAATTGTCTAATATTTTGGGTCTCTGAGTAGACAATCTGGGTGGTCAATGATACAGATTGAGGGCCCTTCAAGGAATATTTTAGAATGGGAAAAGCGTTGATGCTCTTTGCCATTTGACTGGGGGCATTTCTACTGAGATGCAGGTGATATTGATCACATTTGTAGATACACGATTCTTTGACCAGGATTTGGGCCCGTTACAGTAAAATCGTAACAATTTTTGCTTAATGTTTGAAATCAACTTTTAATTGCAAAAATAATGCACTCTTTCCTCTAAATTTTCTTTTCTTTCTTCTTTTTTTTTTTCCGAGAAGGAGTCTCGCTCAGTCACCCAGGCTGCAGTGCAGTGGCGCAATCTCGGCTCACTGCAAGCTCAGCCTCCGGGGTTCACGCCATTCTCCTGCCTCAGCCTCCCGAGTAGCTGGGACTACAGGCGCCCTCCACCACGCCCAGCTAATTTTTTGTATTTTTAGTAGAGACGGGGTTTCACTGTGTTAGCCAGGATGGTCCTGATCTCCTGACCTCGGGATCCGCCCGCCTCGGCCTCCCAAAGTGCGGGGATTACAGGCTTGAGCCACCGCGCCCGGCCACTTTCCTCTACATTTTCTTTTCTTTCTTTCTTTCTTTTTTTTTTTTTTTTTTTTTTTTTTGATACGTAGTCTCGCTCTGTAGCCCAGGCTGGAGTGCAGTGGCGCAATCTCGGCTCACTGCAAGCTCTGCCTCCCGGGTTCACGCCATTCTCCTGAGTCAGCCTCCCCACAGCTGGGGACTACAGGCACACGCTGCCACGCCCGGCTAATTTTTGTATTTTTAGTAGAGACGGGGTTTCACAGTGTTAGCCAGGATGGTCTCGATCTCCTGACCTTGTGATCCGCCCACCTCGGCCTCCCAAAGTGCTGGGATTACAGGCGTGAACCACCGCGCCCGGCCATTTTTTTGTATTTTTAGTACAGACAGGGTTTCACCATGTTAGCCAGGATGGTCTCCATCTCCTGACGTCGTGATCCGCCTACCTTTGTCTCCTAAAGTGTTGGGATTACAGGCGTGAGCCACCGCGCTTGGCCTATTTTTATTTTTTGAGATAGAGTCTTGCTCGTGTCACCCAGGCTGGAGTGCAGTGGTGCAATCTTGGCTCACTGCTACCTTGGCCTCCAGGGTTCAAGCAATTCTCCTGCCTCAGACTCCTGAGCAGCTGGGACTACAGGCACATGCCACGATGCCTGCCTAATTTTGTTTATTTTTGGTAGAGGATAGGTTTCACCATGTTGCCCAGGCTGGTCTTGAACTCCTGACCTCAGATGATCCTCCTACCTCGGCCTCCCAAAGTTCTGGGATTACAGGCGTGAGCCACCACACCTGGCCGAACAGATATTTATTAAACACCTATTGGGTGCCAAGCGGTATGCTGATTGCTTGAGGCTACCCACACTGGTGCATAAATGACCAGTCTTTAATAATAATAGCAAACACATACGTTCCAAGCACAAGTACATTAACCCATACAATGGTTACAAAGACCACTTTACAGTTGAAGAAACAGGCAAAACCGGTTATTTTTAACTTGCTCAAATCCACACAGTAAGGAAGAAGAGAGGCCAATATTTTAATTTAGGAAACCTGGCTGCTTCAAAGCCTCATGCTGTTAAAAACCACACTACGCTGCCTTAAGATATGTCATTTGGGAAAGAAAGTTAACTCTTTTTCCAGTTGTTTAGATAAGCTGGGATCTATCATGAAAGTTTATCTAAAGATATAACTGAGCTTCCAGATGGGGTGACAGTACCAGGAGCACAGGCAGAGGTGTTCAGAAAGGAGAACTGGGAAGAGGCGGAAGAGACATTTTGCCACTTCTTTGTTTGCTTGGTGTTGGAAGTGACCGCTAATGAAAACCTGTCATGAAAATCAACAAGAGAATGCATTTCTTTTAAAGTAACGCATTCACAGCACAATCTTAAGTGCATTCTGAAGTCCTGCTGTCTTTTTTTTTTTTTTTTTTTTTTTGCGACGGAGTCTCACTCTGTCGCCAGGCTGGAGCGCAGTGGCGCCATCTCGGCTCACTGCAACCTCAGCCTCCCAGGTTCAAGGGATTCTCCTGTCTCAGCCTCCCGAGTAGCTGGGATTACAGACACCTGCCATCACGCCCAACTAATTTTTGTATTTTTAGTAGAGACGGGGTTTCACCTTGTTGGTCAGGCTGGTCTCGATCTCTTGACCTCGTGATCCGCCCGCCTCGGCATCCCAAAGTGCTGGGATTACAGGCGTGAGCCACCGCACCCGGCCTCTGTCTTAAACATCATAAAAACATAAGAACCCAAAAAAGATGGAGGGGAGTGCGCCCTTAGCTGCCCCAAACTGGCGTGGTGGGAGGCAGGGCAATTGGTCTAGTTTTCTGAGCCGTAGGATTAGGGCTCTGGGTGAGGCCAGAGTCCCTAAAGTTGTACCCATATCTGCGTGTTTGTATTTCCTGTTTGTAATTCCTCCTGTTTGTACTTTTTGTCTCTTATACGGTACACTTAAAGTTTCTCCACAAGGTGTTTCAGCATAAAGTACTCAAAAACTAAAAACGTTTAATTTCATTATTAGGTTAAGTGTGTAAAAAATGCCCCATCAAGGTTCTTGTACAAACTCCCATTATTCTCCCAGACTCCGAAGTGGCACTCCAGAATAATTTTACGTGGGTTAGCATCTTTTATAAAACGGGCAGGCAGAGCGGCTTATGAAATTAACCTTGGAAACCACGCGGCCACTCTTTCGGGAAATGCCTCCTATTTATGTTTACATGGGCCAGCAAGAGAATCCAAGGTTGGAAAGGTCATTCCTCACTACAGAGGCTCATCGCAATCACAGTTCCGTCTCCAAATTCGAGTTTTGGGTGTGAAGAGTTTATAAAGTCCAGCCGCTGTCCTCGCAGTGTTTGGGGTTAGCGGAGGGAGAGCTTGTTTGCGACCAAACTTGCCGCGCGGGGCGGCCGCTTGCAGGAACACTGCGGCCTTGTGCGCTCGGCGGTCTGAGCTCCTGCGAGGCCGAGAACGACGCCTAGCGCCCAGCGGCCTCCGCGAACAAAAAGCGACCGGTCGGAAGGTGCTGGCCCAGCCGCCCCTGGCGCTCGAGCCCGAATCCGGCCACAGACCATGAAGGGACGCCCGGCACCACGTGCGCGGGGATCCGCGGACGGGACGCTCCCCGGCACCTCCGGGGCTGGGCCGGCACCGCACGGTCCCACCCAGACAGTAGCTGCCCCGGGCCCCCAAAACAGCCGCTCCTAGCTCCTCCCTCCCAGCTCTGCGGTGGCCCAAGCCGCCCTCCGCGCGCTTGACCCAGAACAGTACGGAGTTCTGCACGAGCCGGGGGTGGGGCCTGTCTC
The DNA here is from genome assembly GCF_000001405.40 of Homo sapiens. Classification (NCBI taxonomy): domain Eukaryota; kingdom Metazoa; phylum Chordata; class Mammalia; order Primates; family Hominidae; genus Homo; species Homo sapiens. The sequence continues at coordinate 11,980,952 of NC_000018.10, forward strand.
AGCGCGCGGCGGTGGGGCGGGGCTTGGACACGGGCCCGGCTCAACTTGAGGGAGGCGGGGCTCGAGGCTCAGAGGAGTTGGAGCCCGCTCTGCGCGCTGCGGGACGGGGCACGGCGGAGCAGGGTTGGGTCCGCCTCGAGCGGGGAGGGTGATGCTGCACCACAGGGGCGGGGCTGGAGGTAAAGCGCGGAGCGGAGAGGGACCAGGCTCGGCACTGATTTGTGTTCAGGGCTAGCCCAGAGGGGCGGGGCCAGGTACGGGGCGCAGCCGGGAGCGGGAGGGGCGGTGCAGGACGGGGCCGGGCACGGCGCGGGAAGAGGCCAGGAGCAGCAACGGGTGCGGGGCGGGGCCGGGAGCGTCAAGGGGCGGGGAAGAGGGGGGAATGGGCGGGGCCGAGCTCTGCGAGGGGCGAGGTGGGGAATGCAGAGCGGGGCCGGACGCGGGAGCAGGGAGCTGGGCGGGGAGCGGGGCGGGGAGCTGGGCTGGGCTCGGCACGGGGCGGGGCGGAGGGTGGGGAGCGGAAAGCAGGACGCACGGCTCCCGCGGCCCGCTGGCTGCCCTTCCCGCCAGCGCAGGTGTGGGACGGGCGGCGGACTAGGCACAGAGCTGCGGGAGCAGGCACAGGGAGTGTGGAGCCTGGCGGCGGGACGGCGGGATCCGGTGGGAGCCGGAGTCCCGCCGAGGGGGGCTGGAGGTGGAGGGGCCCGGCGAGGCCGCGATGAAGCCGAGCGGCGAGGACCAGGCGGCGCTGGCGGCCGGCCCCTGGGAGGAGTGCTTCCAGGCGGCCGTGCAGCTGGCGCTGCGGGCAGGACAGGTGAGCGCCACGGCTGGGCTCGGAAGTCCGGGCGGAGCAGAAGCGCGTGGGCCTTGGGAGCCGCCTGGAGTGGCGGGGTCCTGGCGCGCAGCCGGCGGGCGCCCAGGGTCCGCACCCGAGGGCGCGGGGCGCGGAGCGGTGAAAGGAGCCTTTGTGCTGGTGTCCTGGACACACCTCCCGCGCCCTTCTCCAACTCCCGGAGCCCTGGCGGCGAGCCCCTCTGCTTTGGAGTTCAGCGGCTAACGTGACCTTTGCGTTTGAGTGAGTGGTCAGAATGTAGAAATCTCTCCAGGGGTAGCGTACGGGGCTGTTGATTTTTAAGGACCTATGAACGGATTCAGCTCGCGGTAGGAAGCCCGGGGCTAAGCCCCAGCCGCGTGGGGATCTGGCTGGGCTGCCGTTTGATTGTCCTGGCTGCAGCATCCTCAACCCAAACTTACTCTGACCCACACCCTGAAAGTGGCTCAGCTCCGCGACGGCCACGGACTCAGAGTTCAGGAGGAACTTGTTACACTGCCCGGAAGGATGAAAACCGAGCCGCAGAGCTACCGAAAACCAGCGAGCAGAGTTTAAAATGGAGTGCAGTTCCTCTCTTCTCTTTTTCATTTTTGTGATTGTTCCTTCCACTTTCCTCAGTACCTTTAGCAGTGCCTGACACACCGACGGTAGTGGTAGGCAAGCGAGTGTTGGTTCTCCCAGGACTGTAAGATGGCTTACTCCATGTTTGTCTCTTAGGATGTGATTGTGGGCCGGGCGCAGTGGCTCACGCCTGTAATCCCAGCACTTTGGGAGGCCGAGGCGGGTGGACCACTTGAGGTCAGGAGTTCGAGACCAGCCTGACCAACATGGTGAAACCCCGTCTCTACTGAAAATACAAAATTAGCTGGGCATGGTGGCGCGTGCCTTAGTTCCAGCTATTTGGGAGGCTGAGGCAGGAGAATCACTTGAACCTGGGAGGCGAAGGTTGCAGTGAGCTGAGATCGCGCCATTGCACACCAGCCTGGGCAACAAGAACAAAACTCCGTCTCAAAAAAAAAAAAAAAAAGTGATTGTTTTCGGGGATTTTAGAGACAGGAGGTGTGCTGAGAGCAGATTGGCCTTTTATATTCAAACATTTGTTTTCTTTTTTGAGGTCTGACAGTCCGAAAATGCTCTACCAGTTTCCCTAGATGTTGAAATCGGACTGTTATCAATCTTAAATTTGAAGTGAGTCGTCATAAAGTGGATAGTGCTTTACCTTGGTGCAAATCCTCTAATCCTGTTTAAAAATTAATCTGCAATACTAAGTAGACTCATTTTTTGTTGAAGGGCCTTCCTTCCCTTTGTAGTTTGAAGAACCCAAGCCTCAGACCGTAAAGAATGAATGAATTTAAGAGTGTTGCGAAACTCCACCCTTTGACCTTTCCCTCCTGTAGGAAAAGGAGGACCCTAAACCTTCCTGCAAGGCAGATGAAGCTTGTAGCTTCAGTGCAAGCGTTCTTCCTGGAAAGCAGAGCTGCTGTGTGCATGGAACACGGGTTCTCCTTCCATCCTTCCCTGCCTCCCAGCTTTCCTTCCAGAGCAAGCATCAGCCAGATATTTAGGAACTTTTAGGTTCTACTGTAAAACTTTTCTTCCTTGAGGCAGTGAAAAGCCAGCTTAGGATTCAGACATTGCTGTGTAAACCCTGGCGAGCTAAGTTAGGAGTTTCTGTGGTTTTCAAATTTAGATCCTTGAAGAAACAGAAGATTTTAAAATTTTATGTTATTATTTAACAAATGTGCATAAAGAGCTTGCAATAGAGCAGGAACAGTTCTAAGGCTCCTATGACTTTTAACTTAAGAGATATTTTATGTTTTTGCAACTTGCCAGCAACAAAAAAAGCTTTTTTTAAACGCTGGAGAGGGTTGCAATAAAGATGCTGCCATTAGGAGTCCGGTCAGGAAGCCCGGGCCGCCCGGGGCTCCCCCTCAGGCATTATGCTGATGCTTCCTGCCTGCCGGGCAGTGCTGAGGGAATGGCCTGAAGGTCTGCTGCTGGGACAAACAGAAGCCACACGAGGTCATCGGAACCTGTGTAAAGAGGGACAGATTGTCTTCTAATGCAATCGGGGGCTGACTGGAGAAAACATATCCTTTAGCCAGATGACCTGGTTCGGGGTGTAAAGGTCGTGAGTGGTGATCCTTTTGGAGTTCTCCTTAGTGAAGAGCATGTTGGCAAAGTCGCAGGGCCCCCAGATGCTCACCCTTCACTAGCACCCAGCATTCTACCACTCTGTTGTTCGCTGCTCTCAGCTGCCCCTGAGATGGAGTCTGTGTTCTAGATGCGGAAAGGTGAGGGAGCCGAAGGAGAGACCTTCCAAGAGATAAAGGTGCACTGTCCTTTCTCTCTTAGACTGGTTCCGCTCAAGGTGGCCCTGGAGAAACTGCTTCCATTTCCCCTCTGCCCCAGTTCTGGCAGGCTTCCCTGTCCCAGGCTCCCAATTCCCTCACCTGCCCCCTCCATGCTTCTGTGCCACTCTTCCTTCCGTGACCGTGGGGATCATCCCTGCCCTCCTAGTTCCAGCCACCCACACTGTGACGGGAGCCTCCTCCCTGGCTGTTGGGCTTTTGGGGAGGGAGTGACCACAGCCCCACCCCAAGTACAGATGACAGTATTCACTGATGTGGATGGTTGTCATCTTTTGTGTGATGTGTGAACAGAAGTATTGTAGACAGCTCTGCCTTTCAAATCCCCCCGCGGAGCTGAACCAGCTTCTGTTGGGCCAGAAACTTAGACAATTTAGGGGGCCCTCTTTAAGAAAATACAAACTTTGCCAGATGTGGTGGCTGAAGCCTGTAATCCCAGCACTTTGGGAGGCTGAGGCTTGTGGATCACCTGAGGTCGGGAATTTGAGACCAATATAGTGAAACCCCATCTCTACTAAAAATACAAAAACTGTGGCCGGGCGCGGTGGCTCACGCCTGTAATCCCAGCACTTTGGGAGGCCGAGGTGGGCAGATCACAAGGTCAGGAGATCAAGACCATCCTGGCTAACACGGTGAAACCTCGTCTCTACTAAAAAATACAAAAAATTAGCCGGGCGTGGTGGCGGGCGCCTGTAGTCCCAGCTACTCAGGAGGCTGAGGCAGGAGAATGGCGTGAACCCGGGAGGCGGAGTTTGCAGTGAGTAGAGATCGTGCCACTGCACTCCAGCCTGAGCGACAGAGCAAGACTCCGTCTCAAAAAAAAAAAAAAAAAACAACAAAAATCAGTCGAGCGTGGTGGCACACGCCTGTAATCCCTGCTACTAAGGAGGCTGAGGCAGGAGAATCCCTAGAACCTGGGATGTGGAGGATGCAGTGGTGAGCCTAGGTTGCACCACTGCACTCCAGCCTGGGTGATAAGAGCGAAACTCTGTCTCAAAAAAAAAAAAAAAAAAAAAAGAGAAAATACAAAATTACAAATTCAAACTTAGATATAAAAGTTATTTAGAATAAGAACAATCACATCTATAAATTTCTAAGGTGCTAAGAAATACTGCAAATATCACGAAATACACAAAAATAACAATTCTTTCACTGCTTCTCATACTTCCGTAATACTTTTTGCCCTTTTTCTGGTTTCATACTGTTTGCATCTTTTGAATGATAATGATTTTGTAATACTTTATATGGGGAGAATAGAAAGATAAATTCAGCATTTCCTGTTGCTTGGCTTATTGAAATTTATTACTGATAATTTAGAAAATTTAGGCTTCAAACTTGTTACTGGTAACAATTGGCTTATAAATTTTTAGGATGTCATCAAATTGAGAACCTTCTATGAATTTTTTTATACATTAGTTGTAAGTGAGTCTGTTTTTCACAGACTTGCTCCTGGCTCTGTGCAGTTGAAATCTGGTTTATTTTTGTGATCCACACATTTTCAGTGCCAGTGTCTGTGTCCACCTCATGTGCTCCTCTGGTCCTGTATGTTTTTGTCACCATGCCAGGTGGGTCGGCGTGATGGACAGGGGAGTATGCCTGGAAGCCCTTTCTACACTGGATGGCTCTCAGTAACTTACAGAGAAATGTGACTGCAAACCCTATTGAAGCAAAGTTAGTTCATCTACTCAGCTTATCTTTAGCCCACACTGGCTGTATCCACGCCAGTGCCACCTGATGCAAAGTCTGATGGAAGGACAGTTTAAGTGGAAAGGCACAAGGTTAGATCTACAGTCAAAACAGCTGACTTTTGCCCATTACAAAAGGGGTTTGTGTACGGCTTTGTGAACACTTTGTTAGGGTCCCTTGCAGGCAAGTGGGGGCCTTGATGCTTAAGCGTCATTAGCTTCACAGGAAATTCATCTCTGTTTACTTGTAACAAAATCTCAGGACAAAGCAGAAAAAGAAAAACCCAGCACTGACCTCAGGACCGCAGACTTCCCCCTTCTCTAGTTGGCCTTGCACACCCTTGCAGGTTATGCTTCCCGAGGCCCGGCCTTGCGAAGTGAGCCTGTCGTCCCCTTGTCCGGCCAGATCTGGTCGCTCTGCTTGGTGTTTGCAAAACACATGTTGTATTTTCTTGCCTTTCTTCTGGCCTATGGAGTATGCAAACCATTGCCTGTCTCCAGAGCCCGGCTCCTGAGCCCCTTCCTTCATGGACCGCTTCTCAGGTGGCCTTCCCTGTCTTTCCAGTGCCCCACCTGGTCCTGCTGAGCTGGCACTCCTCATGACTTTATTTATCCTTGCCTGGTGGTGTGCCCTCCACACAGTGGGTCCTTGGAATATGAATACTCTTTTGTCTACCTCTGGCTCTTCAGGGCAGAAGGCACATTGGTGGGCTCTGGACCCGTGTCCCCACTTGTCCATCTGGCTTTACCAACACAGTATTGTTTTGATTTGTGATTTTCCTTTTTGCTGGTTATTCACACCGGGAATTTAATGAGTGACGTAACACTGAAAGCACATGATGAAGAACAGCAGCACCTGGCCCACACTCCTCACCCCTTGTCCTGTGTCCGGAGTCCCTGTTCTCAATTTTCTGAGAGTTACACCCATTTCTAAGTAATATGCTTCTGTCGTGCTTTCTTGAGTTGTTCATTGTTGACAGAATTATTCTGTGTTACGCCGTGTAGTGGCCCTGCCCGTGTGGTTCTGTGGGTGTCCATGTCCATGTTCGGATGGCCATGCAGATGTAACTCATGGTTCAGCCCGGCAGTGTATTCCTTTCTTTCTAATGCAACTTGTATTTTCGTTAAAGAATGTTTTGTTTTGTTTTGCTTTGCATTTGTCTAGTTTTCTGTATACCTATTGTGAGCCATCCATCTTCCCAGCAGGATTTTTCATGATCTCCTTGGTGTGGTCACACTCCTTGGGTCGCTGCTGTGGAGCAGTGCTTCTCCAGCTTTGGCTGTGTTGGAAGCCCAAGAGGGCTTATTAAGGCAAATGGGGTCCCACCGCAGGGTTTCTCATTCACTAGGTCTGGAGTGGGCACCAGAATACGCATTTCTAACATTCCCAGCTGACATAGATGCTGCTAGTCTGGAGTGGCACAATGGGAACTTCCGCTGCATGGTATTTTATTATGTGAGTACATCACTATTCATTCAACTGTTTTATTTATTATTTATTTTTATTTTTTGAGACGACGTCTAGCTCTCTCGCTCAGGCTGGAGTGCAGTGGCGTGATCTTGGCTCATCAAAACCTCTGCCTCCCGAGTTCAAGTGATTCTCCTGCCTCAGCCTCCTGAACAGCTGGGTCTACAGGCATGCGCCACCATGCCTGGCTAATTTTTGTATTTTTAGTAGAGACGGCGTTTCACCATATTGGCCAGGCTGATCTAGAACTCCTGACCTCAAGTGGTCCACCCGCCTTGGCCTCCCAAAGTGCTGGGATTACAGGCACGAGCCACTGCGCCTGGCCTCATTCAACTCTTGAGCAAACTGGATAATGTCCAGTTTGAAGTTAATACGGGTAACGTTGCTGTGAACTTTCTTGCACATGTCTTTTGATTATGTGTGCATTTCTGTTGGGGATTTATTAATAGTAGGAGTAGAATCGCTGTGTCATTGGGAATGTAAATTCTGCCAAGTAGTTCTCTAAAGAGGATGTACCAAGTTACACTCCACCCTGCAGTGTGTGAGGGTTCCCTTTTCCCCACGTCTTCCACAACATGTGGTATGGTCTGTCTTTTATATTGTAGCCATTCTGATGGGCTTGAGTTGGTATTTTATTGTAGTTTTAATTTGCGTTTCTTAGATAATTAATGAAGTTAAATGCACATGTTTATTGGCTTTTTTTTTTTTTTTTTTTTTTGAGACACAGTCTTGCTCTGTCGCCCAGGCTGGAGTGCAGTGGTGCGATCTCAGCTCACTGCAACCTCCGCTTCCCGGGCTCAAGCAATTCTCCTGCCTCAGCCTCCCGAGTAGCTGGGATTACAGGCATGTGCCACCACGCCTGGCTAATTTTTGTATTTTTAGTAGAGATGGGGTTTCACCATGTTGGCCAGGCCAGTCTCAAACTCCTGACCTCATGTGATCCACCCACCTTGGCCTCCCAAAGTGCTGGGATTACAGGCGTGAGCCACTGTGCCCAGCTGTTTATTGGCTTCTTTGATATTATTTGCTTTTAAAATGATGGTAATAACACATTGATTATAAATTTATTCATCCAACAAAGAATCATTAACAACTCAGGAAAGGACTTTAGCCTTTTTACTCTGAATGTGAGGGGAGGTTTGGGGCAGAGTCTTGTGTGGGGCTTTATAGGACTCTATATAGGGGACCACCCTGGCTGCTGCATGAGGTCCTTTGTGGGACACTAGGGAGACCAGAATCAGGTATCTGATAGGAAGCCACGTGAGAAATGAGGGTGGATTTGACTGGGGTGCATGAAGAAGGTGGTGAAGAAGATTTACTTTGGAGGCTGAGATGACAGCCTCTGAGTTGGATGTGGGGTGTGAGAGAAAGAGAGGAGCCAAGGGTGACTTCAGGGGTTTAGGCCTGAAAAGCTGGTTGAATGGATTTGCCACTTTCCGAGATGGCAAAACTGCAGGAGGAACAGGTTTGGAGCTGAGAGTCGAGTGTTCTCTTCTGTGCAGGTTAAGCTCGAATTGCCAGTAGATTTCTTATTTTATTTTTTTGAGACAGGGTATCGCTTTGTTTCCCTGGCTGGAGTGCAGTGGTGCAATCACAGCTTCTACCTCCTGGGCTCAAGTGATTCTCCCACCTCAGCCTCCTGAGTAGCTGGGACTACAGGCATGTGTCACCATGCCTGGATAATATGTATTTTTTAATTTTTTGTACAGACGGGGTTTCACTAAGTGGAGATGTTGGATTTGCACCCAAGCTGACGGCAGAGATGCAGTGTGGAAGTCATATTCCTGGAGATGGTATTTAGGGCCATGTCCCGGACAGGAGGAGAGCAGGCTTGGCCACTGATGGGCTTTGCCGTCGGATGAGCTCAGGTCAGGCTCCCATTTTCCTCCTTGGGAGCCTCACAAATGCCAGTTTGTGGAGGTCATTTCTGAAGTGGTTCATTTCTCCAGAAAAGGCTTCCCTGCTCTTCCTGCCTGGGCTGAGCGCACCTGTCGCTGGAGGAAGAGGAGGCAGGAGGGGGAGAGGAGGCGGTGGTGATGGCCTCCAGCTCCTGCCTCGCCTGGTCCACACCTGCAGTGTTTGCTTAGCTCTGCAGGGTGGGGTCAGCCTACGTGAGAAATTCGAAAACTCAACAACATTTCAAACATCAGCAGAGACAGAATTCCTGTGAGACAGCAGCTGGCAGGCACAGAGTAGCAGCTGTCCCTTTGGTGGGGTGGGGGTCGGTACATGGTCTCCAAGGGTCCGAGGCCCACTGCTCCTGACCCTATCTGAGAGGTCCCTATCATTTCCTACCCATTTTGCTAACAAAAGCTGTCTCAGAAGAAGGGGGAGGGCAGAAGGCACTGCCCTTGCCTCTGGGCAGCCTCATCCCAGCCCTTGGCACTCCAGGGTGCCAGTGAGGTCCCACCTGTGCCCCCTTAAGGAGAGGCTGGTAGATGGCTCATCCCCACGGGGAGAGTGAGTCCTGGACTCTGTGGCCCTGAGCTTGTCACTTGCTCACCCCAATGAAGCGCTGCCCAGGGGAGATTACTGTCTTTGGAGTTTGGGGCAGGAGGGTGGGTGAAATCACTCAGCCAGAGGATGGAGAGGCTGCTAGTGAGATACAGGCCCCCTCCTCGAGCTTTAGGGGTGGAGGAAGGCAGGAGCTCAAAGGCATGGGGAGCTGAGACATTGAGAAGGAGAGGGGAGTTCCGGAGTCTAGGCCCCTCCCTCTCTCCTGGCCTCCTCCTGGGCCCAGTGGAGACAGGAGCCTGGAGCCTGGTTTGCGTCTTCTCTCTTCTGTGGGAGTGAGGGAAGGCTTTGGTCTCTAGGCTGAGCCAGTCTCAGGATCCTGTGTCCGTTGTCCCAGCTCTGCCCTAGCCTGCCATGAGCGCTGCAGGAGGCCTTCTGCAGGCTGGCGCCCTGCCCCTGGGCTCACCTTTCATGTGAGAGATGGAGGAGGTGCAGACCTGGCCAGTCACTGCAGTGTGCAGGCGGACTGGGAGGCCATCCCAGCACCTGGGATGTGGACAGCTTCCTGGAAGAAGTCACAGCTGAGTGTGTCTTTAGAAAAAAAGCAGGAGTCAGCTAGGAAGGTTAGGTGATGGGCTTGGGGAGGGGAGAGAGAAGAGGAGGGGTCGGGGCCAATAGAGAAGATGAAAGCAGAAGGGGCAAAAGAGAACATAGCACCAAGGACCTCCAAGAAATGCACTTTGGCTAAAGTTTGAGGTGGGAGAGGTCAGGACTTGGGGGCCCCGTGTGGAGGGCAGAATTGCAGGTGGGTGTCCTGCTCGAACTGATGGGGTGTGGCCCTTGGGGGCTGTGAGTTGGGGTGGACTTGATGAGTCGTACATTGAAGGAGACATAGGAATAAAGGACTTCTGGGTTTCTGGCTCATGCAGCTGGCTGGCTCTCATTGCTTTTGAGAGAAATGTGAGCTGGAGAGGGATTAGGAAGTAATCAATTGTGACGGCTCCAGCCGTGGGGTCGGCTCTGTTTAGCGATGGTGGACTTGGACTGTGGTGCTGGGAACCCCTTCCCTATACCTTACAGCTGCAGGGCCTTGGGCAACTTTCTCCATTTCTTTTTGCCTCCGTTTCCTCATCTTTAACGTGGAGAATAATTTTTGCTGTCCTCAGAGTTACTGTGTGGAATAAATGTACATGTGAACTGCTCAGAACAGCACGGGGCAGAAGAAGCGCTCTGTAAGCTTGAGCTCAGGCCGTGGAGCTGGGCAGGGTGTGAGGTGGAGGCCATCTCCAGGAAGCTCAGCTGCTGAAGGCAGGTCCGAGGGCTTGCAAACACCCACTTTCAAGGAATAGTGGGAGGGAGATGAGCCGCAGAATGGTGGGGAGATAGGAGGAAAGCCACGAGGGGAGGCAGGGGCCACAGGCCACGGGCCCTGGAACACAGGGAATGCAGCTGGGATGTGGGTGACGGGTGGCTGCTGGCATTGGTATGGAAGGTGCCAGTGCCTTGTCAGGGCGGAGGGCGACTAGAGATCAAGGTGAGGGGAAAAATAGCCACGAGACTAAAGGAGGCGTTGAGGATTCGAGAGCCTGAGGTGGGCTGGCCTGGGAGCCACGTCTGCTTGGACCAGCTCCTCCTCTTCCTCCCAGGGTTGAGGTTGTACAGAGATTTGTGACGCATCAACAGCTGTGAACTGCTGACCACATGTGCCACATGACACCATGTGATAGGCGTGTTATTACCTGGGTACCCGATGAACTGTTAGGTTTTATTGATTGTCACACGTATCAGGTTCTTCAGAGAAACAGGACCGGCAGGAGGTGGGTGGGTCCAGTCTGCAGGGTGGGCTGGCAGCTGGAGACGCGGAGAGACAGCTGATGTTCCAGTTTGAAGGCCATAGGGCAGGAAGAGTTGTTCATGTGGACAGAGTCCCAAGGCCATTTGCGGAGAACCCCCTCTTACTTGGGGGAGGGTCAGCCTTTTCATTCTGTTTGGGCCCTCAGCTGTTGGACAAGGCCTGCCCACAGGAAGGAGAGGGATCTACTTTCCTGATTAAGATGCTGATGCCCTCGCAGAAACACCCAGAACAATTTTTTTTTTTTTTTGAGATGGAGCCTTGCTCTGTCTCCCAGGATGGAGTGCAGTGGCGTAATCTTGGCTCACCGCAACCTCCACCTCCTGGGCTCACGCGTTTCTCCTACCTCAGCCCCCTGAGTAGCTGGGATTATAGGCGTGTGCCAGCACACCCACCTAATTTTTGTATTTTTAGTAGAGACAGGGTTTCCCCATGTTGGCCAGGCTGGTCTCGAACTCCTGACTTCAGGTGATCTGCCTGCCTCGGCCTCCCAGTGCTGGGATTACAGGCATGAGCCACCACGCCTAGCCCAGAACAATGTCTGACCAAGTATCTGCGCTCCACGTAGCTCAGTCAAGTTGACACATAAAATTAACCATCACAACACATTCACTTGTGTTGCAGTAAATCTGGAAGCATAAACATGGGGCGTGTCGTCAGGTGCACACCTCCAGTGGCCACATCTTCCTGACCTGACAGAGGGAAAGACACATCTCCTATTGAAACTGCACTCTGGCAAGGCTCCGGCGTGCTGCTCTGTGGATGATGCACAGGGCCTGGGTTCCAGAGCACATGCCAGCTGCCCTGCAGTGACTGGCATAAAGGTCGGATGGGGACAGGAGCACAAGAACAAGATGGGGTGAGACAGGAAAGATAGTTGGACGTCTCCATGAATATGTTAGCCTAGGATGTCTCTGAAGCTGGTTGATGGTGACCTTTCCTTTTAGATTTGAAATTCAGGCTTCAGTGACTTCAGGCCCATATTTTATATGTTATACATTAACAGAATGCTACTGGAAGGAGAGACCCGAGCCAGGGGGGTCTGTGAAGTGCATGCTTAGTTAGCGAGTAGCTGAAAAACATTAATTAAAAACCAGGATACCTAACTCATTGCTGGTGGAGTGAGAGTGTTTAAAATCTCTAAGACTGAGGGAAAATAGCCGTGGTAAAGGGGTTCAGCGGGACCTTACCTGGCAACCCCATGTGCTCCCTCGCCCTGTGGACGTGATCCTGGCTAAAGGGCAGGGCTGTTTGAGTCTCGCTTACTGATTTTAGAAATACAGCACTTTTCCTCACTTTTTCTCTTAGCATAGGACAATTCGTGAATTAAACTTTTCTTAACCTAGTATTTTAGCATCCTATTTGCAACGTGTACATTGTATGTACGGTAGGTTCTTATTTTTTGTAACAATACAAAAATTAGCTGAAAAAGTCATTAGATTTTCTCAGATACATGTTCTCACAACTGATACTGGTGAGGTTCTGTGTGTAAATAAGTTTGTGGACCAAGACCTTTTCATACAATACCTCATGTGATTCCTAAAACAACCCAATGTGTTAGATACACTGTTATTACAGAAGAGGAAATGAAGGCCATGAGAACCCATATAGAATTTGAATTTAGAGCTGTCTGATTCTGGAGTGTACTTTATCCCTCTCTACTCCCACTGATGTTATGAAACTGCTGAAAACAAGAATTACATCCTGGAAGGGAATTTTTCATACCCATCTTCATGAAGAGCTACAGGACAAGGCTTCTGACTTTTTTTAGGTTAGCTTAGTGTCATTGTCTGTTGGTGACTGAAGGAAGCTAGCTGGCGCAGCCCCCATGTGTGCAAGGCCCCCGAGTACACCTGATAGAGCCCTATCTGGTGTATATGGGTGCATGTCGCTGGCATCAGCACCCTGCCGGGGTGAGGGTAGTTCCTGGAGCTACTGGGATGAAATGCAGAGCTCCCAACCTGGAGGAGTGCATGGCCCAGTGGAGGAGACAGGGCAGTGACCAAGTACAGTGGACTGTGCAGTAGCTGACCCAGGAAGAGGGGCCTCAGCCAGGGCAGTGGGCGGACGGCCACACGGGCGACCTCCTGGAGCAGCTGTGCTGGAGTAGATGGAGGCTGAGAGCACAGACAGGCAGAAGGTGGCCAGGGATGTCATTGCAGGCACAAGGGATCGTGTCCAAAGACATGGAGGTACAGGAGGGAGGACACTCGAGGGGGCTTGAGCCTGGCATGGGGCATGCTGCCCTGGCTGGGTGTGAAGGGCCTTGCACACCTGATGCAAGACAGCAGCCCGATTGTGAGGCCAGGTCTAGTGGAAGAGGCTGGCCACAGGGTCACCTGCCCTGCTGGTAGGAGGTACAGGCATGTTCGAGCCCCATGGCCTTCCTTATGACACACTCACAAAGAAAGTCATCAGAGAAACTGCAATAATAAATATTAATAAAAGCAGAAAACAGTTAATATTTTAAAAGATTATGAAGGCTAGGTGTAGTGGCTCACGTCTTAATCCCAGCACTTTGGGAGGCCGAGGCGGGAGGATCACTTGAGGCCTGGAGTTTGAGACCAGCCTTGGCAATATTGTGAGACCTCAGCTCTACAAAATAAAAATAAAAATGATCCGGGTGTGGTGGTGCGTGCTTGTAGTTGCAGCTACTGGGGAGGCTGAGGCGGGAGGATTGCTTGAGTTCAGGAGGTCAAGACTACAGTGAGCCAAGATTGCGCTACTGCACTCCATCTGGGGCAACAGAGAGAGACCCTGTCTCAAGAGAAAAATAACAACAGAGCATAACACAACACAGCATCCTGCCTCTGAATCCACTCTTCCCACTCTGTAACCCATGACTCGGCCCTGTTTTCCTGGCGGACACACCCAGATTGCAGCATTCTCCAAGCTGCCCCAAGGGCCCCCAGCACCCGCCTCCTCCACACACACAGCTGTGTATGTTTTGAATGTGGAAAACTGAGTGTATAAATACCAGTGAGCTTCGATAAGGTGACACAAAAGGACATATTACAAAATCTTCTAGCATTTAGTTAACTGTGAGCTCAGTGTGCAGCAGCCAAGGACTCTTTATGCATTCACTCAGCAGGTGTTCCTGGAGACCCCCATGAGGCAGCCCCCATGCAGGGTGCACCATGGCCTGTTGGAGGTGGACAGAGACAGAGAGGGTAGGGTTCCTTACCCAGGCTGGTTGAGCAGACACATGGAGTGATAAGTGCTGTGGGTGCCAGTTGGTGGCTTGTGTAAGTGCTGTAGTCACAGTTGGGTGAGTGCCCCTCTGCCCGCAGAAGCTGGAGGCTCCTCATGTGGAAGGTGATGTTTGAACTGAGTCATGAAGGAGGAGGACAGTGGGCTGGCTGAGGCGGTTCCATCAGGAGACTCCAGGGTTAATGATTCCATGTGACAGGGCCATGGCATTCTCAGAGCTCGGAGGGGAGGGGAGGGGAGCTGAGAAAGGGGTCGGGAAAGGCCCGCAGCTGCTGAGTGGATGGTTTGTTTGGTTTCTTCACAGAGGCCAGTAAGAGGAGCAGGGGAAGTCTAGTTAGTAAGAGGTATGGGGTGGGGTGGTCTGCTCCACAAAGTCATCCAGGGATCCAGCTTTGTCCTCCCTCATTGCTCCGAGGTGTTTCTTCCTGCATGGGCAGCACCACACCTACTTTGTAGCCTGTGGTGAGGGGGAATGGGACACGAGGAAGTGCAAGGCAGTATCCTTTTGAGGATGTGACTCGGAAGTTGCAGGTCTTGCTTTCAGTCCCATCCTCTGGGGCAGAACTTGGTGCTGAGGCCACACGTATCCGCGTGGTGTGCAGATTGCAAGGCAGCTCTGTGCTTGCTCCAACTTGGAGGTTCTGTTCCTAAAAGGAAGAAGGGGAGACTGGACGTTTGGGGTCAAATGGTCTCTGCTACAAGGGCAAATCTGGAAGCTATTTTATGCTCCCTTCAGGGGTTTTGACTTTATCCACATAGTGACAGGGCGCCACCAAGTGCTCTGCTGGGGAGACGCATGGTCACCGTGACCATGTTTTAGGAAGTGCGTCTGGCTGTGCCGGGAGAGTGGGTCTGAGTGCAGGAAGCAGATCTGGTCTAGCTCCAGGAGGTGGGACTTGTGGATGGAAGCACTGGATCTTTTCAACAGGGCAACCAGAAAAACAGCCAGACAGAAGGACCTGGGTGGTCAGCACTCACACAGACACTAGTGTTCCCGTTTGGAAAAATGTTACAGTCTATTCAAGCAGCCCAATGTGTGTTTTATTCATTCTTTCAAAGAACTCTGTGTACCTGCTGTATGTGTATCTGCTGAATGCCAGGGAGCATTCCTGATGCTAGGGGTACAGAAGGGAAGCAGAAAGAGCTCTGCCCTCAGAAGCCTCTGCCTAGGAGAGACAAACAGTCAACAACAAAACAGACAGGAAGGACGAAGGGAAGTAGAAAGAGCTCTGCCCTCTGAGCTCCTGCCTGGGAGAGACAGTCAAAAACAAAACCGACAGGAAGGATGGTTTCAGATGGGATATGGTAAGTTGTAGAAGGATCAGAAAACAGGAAGTCCTTGGGGGCAGAAACAGATTTGGTTAGGATCAGTGAGAAAACCCCAGAGCACAGCAGGAGAGCAACTTGGGGCTGACCTGTCGGAGGTGAGCTGTGAAGGGCTCGCCCTGGGATTTGGGATTTGGAGTTTCCCAAGGGCCCTGGGGTTTGGGATGTGTTCTGTGAGCAGCGGGAAGCCGTTGGATCATTTTCTGCAGTACAGTGATGTGATGTAATTGGTGTCTGAAAATTCCCCATCCAGCTGCTGCGTAGAGGCTGCAAGTGTGGACGAGTGGAATACCAGCCACCCTTGCAGGTAGCTTTATGGCTGCTCCCCATGTGGGGATGCCACAAGCATGAAGTAAAGCCACTGTCTTCTCAGATGGTGGTCCTGGGTTCAGAACCCACCACCACCTGCCCACCCCGCCCGCTGAGGTGGAACATCCTGGTCTCCTAGTGGCTCTCTTCACGTGGGAGTTTGAGACTCTGCTCTAGCTCCATGCTACTGAAGTGAGCACCCCTGCATCAGGGTCACCATAGAGCTTACCAGAAATGCAGCTCTCAGACCCCAGTCAGACCTGTGCAGCACAGTCTGCCCTTCCTTGATGATCCCAGAGGCTCTGCTGCCATATCCTCTCTGGGGCTGTGTCCCCTGGTTAGGCTGCCTTTCTCACCCCAGCTCTATGCACACACTCCCCACAACCCCACACCACACCAACACACACACACACCCAGAAATCCATACACACCCAGAGATACACACAGAGACACACATACCCTGCATCTTCCCACACCACACCGATACACACACACCCAGAGATAGACATACAGACACACCCTGCATCCTCTCACACCACAGCAACACACACACACACACAGAGATACACACAGAGACACACACCCTGACTCCCCCCATACCACATGAACACACACTTACAGGTACACAACAGAGACACACACACATCAGGAATCACCGTGGCCATACATGAGACAAGCTTTGTGCCGAAGGCCTGTCTGGCCAGCTCAGGGTTGAGGGTCCTGGACCATGGGCAGATGCTACGGGAGCCACATGTGAGGAGTGTGAGATTCACAGACAAGGCCTGTGGAGCTTGATTTGTTGAGAGTCCTGTGTGCAAATTGGTGATTTGAGAAAATTGACCTGGTGGCAATGAGCAGGAACTAGGAAACCCTGGCCAGAGGCAGGGCCTGGGCAGTGGGAGCTGGAGGCTGTCATAGGAATATGAAGTCCTGGAGTTATGGCTACCCAGTGGACATGGCTATGTGGACGCTGTATGCTTTTTTTGGTATGACCTATCACATTCTGAATTTTCTATAACATATATCTGTTTTTTTTGCAACCAAGATTAAAACAAAAACTGCCTTGGCTCAGTACAGCGTGGGCCAGCTCTGGGATGTAGGCAGTGAGAAGAGCAGGCAGCCCCGTATGGGGAGGAGCACATGGGAGGCTGAGTTTCGGGGGCTCCTGCCTGTTCTGTAGAATTCCCCGTGTGCTTCTTCTGGCAGCACAGGGCCTGGCATGAGCGGGTCCTTGGTGTGTGCTTATCAGAAGACGTGATGGATGTCACGTCCGGGCACCTGGCCAATTGATGGTCCTTTTGAGAGAAATACAGGATTCTGGGATGTAGCTAGTTTAGGAAGAAGGCTCTGAGTTCGTTTTTAGGTGCCCTGACTTTGTCATCATGATGAGGGAGACACCAAGTTGTTAAGACAGACAGAAATGGGCAAGAGCTGGGCGCGGTGGCTTACGCCTGTTATCCCAGCACTTTTGGAGGCAGCAGTGGGAGGATCGCTTGAGCCCAGGAGTTTGAGATCTGCCTGGCTAGCATAGCAAGACCCTGTCTCTTCAAAAAATAAAAAATGAGCTGGGTGCAGTACCATGTGCCTGTAGTCCTAGCTATTGGGGAGGCTGAGGTGGGAGGATCACTTGAGCCCTGGGGTTAGAGGTTACTGTGAGCTGTGATTGTGACACCACACTTCGGCCTGGGTGACAGAGAGACCCAGTCTGTAAAACAAAACAAAGCAAAACAAAACAAAACAAAAAGGAGAAGAAAGGCCTGGGCTGGACCAGAACTGGTCCCTCTGGAGTTGTCCAGGGACTGATTAGCCACTCTTTATCCCTTCCTGTTTGGGTTTTCCTGGGGTTCTTGGGACCATCCCAGTCCTTGCTCCTATGTATAGCTGTGATGGGTTTAGACCAGTGTGTTGGCAGCTTGCACAGCTGCGGAGCCTGTGTCGGAGCTCAGCCCTGTGGATCCTTGCATGAACTCTGAGACAGCTGATGCTGCTCCAGCCCAGAGCGCAGTGAGAGCTGGCCATGGTTCCTGAAACACAGTTTAGCTCTCCCGGGTTTCTCAGTGGGAACATTTACAATCAGATTCGAGGGCATATCCCATTTCATGGGATAAAGTGAATTAGGGAAAATAAGCTTTTACTTTACACTGAAATCTCCTAAATTTGAATTCATGGGATTATACAGGGCACAGGTGTGTAACATGATCTTGTTTTGGGCCGTTCTTACAGAGGAAGTTTCATGCTCTTTTCAAAACCCCTGTGTTTTTCTTTTACTCGAAGAGAAGTTGTTTCACAGGTGCAACAAAATAATTTTGAAATAATTTCAAGTAATGGAGAAATAATTTTTCTTGTAAAAGAATAATGGTGGAGTCATTAAGGCTCACTAGAAACCCAGAGAGCCTAGGCTGTGATATTAGCTCTGAGGTCAATGATGCAAGAAGTCAGTGACCCACAGAGCCACACCTGCTGCCCCCGCCGCCCCCCCCCCCCCCCCCCACCCAATGGCAGGCTGAATACAGAGGGGACTCGAAGGAGTGGATAATTCCTTTGCCTGGGAGGAGGATGTTTGCATGTTTAACCCAAATCCCGTACTTTTATTTCAGATCATCAGAAAAGCCCTTACTGAGGAAAAACGTGTCTCAACAAAAACATCAGCTGCAGATCTTGTGACAGAAACAGATCACCTTGTGGAAGATTTAATTATTTCTGAGTTGCGAGAGAGGTTTCCTTCACACAGGTAGGTGTACTCCTCTGGGAAACACCCCCAGTAACCCTGGCCACACTCATAGAGAATGCAGGGTCTGCCGGGGTCAGGGGGCTCTGCTGTTTGTTGATGTGGCCAGACGTGAAGCCCTAAGCCACGCAGCCTAACCTGCGATTTGTCAGTTACTTAGTAAGCAAACTCAGCCCTGTTTTCATTCTTTTTACTGTCATCTTAACAACCATCACGTCAATGCATCCTCTTGTGAATATTGAAGCAGCTCTTTTTACAACACATGCTCAGGAAAAGCTCCTTGCACCCCTGTACTCAACCATTTGTTATTTCTGGAAGGACCCACTAGAAGTGTGACCCACCCTAAGAAGCCTGGAGTGGTGATGTCCCCTGGTGGCCTATGCCTGTTCAGCTGCCTGGGCAACTTTCCCAGGAGGATGGGATGCCAAGTGGCACTGGCAGCCGCGTGGGGCCCCCGGCCCACCACTAGTGCTTAGTGATGCACGCCCCCTCGCCCAGGCCAGAGGGCGCAGTGGGAATGGCTGCCACAGCCGGGCCCCAGAGCTGTCCCTGCAAGAGGCCTGTATGAGCACCTCTTAACCTTTTTGGGGTCACCCTTTGAGTATTTGATGCTAGCTATTAATCTTTTGTTCAGAAAAATTAAAATATTTACACAGCATTTTGCATAGCATTTTAAGGGAGCCATGAACCCCAGATTGAGACATCTTCTTTAACTCTGGGGGGCTCTAAGGCCCCTCTCTCACCTCTAGAGTTCTGCAGTATAAATGCTGAAGACCATGCAAGGGATCTTTTTTCTTCGTTACATAGAATCTTTTAAAGATGTTGGATTCTTAAAACTGGAATACCAGTTATTGGATTTCTGGCTGTAGGGTATTATAACTGTCAGGTTCCAGGTTTAGATGGACTTAGGTGGCAGAAATATAGATGGTACTCTCCCTCAGTGTCCATTCAGCACATGGTAGGCTTAAAATACTTTTCTTTACATTTATTTTTATATATTTTTTAAGAGATAGGGTCTTGCTCAGTTGCCCAGGTTGGAGTGCAGTGGCATGATCATAGCTCACTGCAGCCTTGAACTCCTGGGTTCCAGTGATCCTCCTGCTTCAGCCTCCTGAGTAGCTGGGATTACAGGAGCCACTCCACCTGGCTCTTTTTTTTTTTTTTTTTTTTCTGTGAATGATTATATAAATGAAAGAACAAGCGAGTGTTAAACACTTACCTTCTTTTTTTTTCCCGTCGTTTCCTTCTAACTTGTTAGGTTATCTCAAGGTTACCAGCTCTCCCTCTGAATTTCTGTTTGCCAGTCGCTCATGTTTGTTTTGTTGACAACCTTTGAGTTTAAGCTTCTCTAACTTCCTATTTCCCTACTCTGCTTGAGGTCAGGATCCCAAGAATTGGTTACAGTAGTTATAGGGTGTAAAGTGTTTGTGATTTTTTTTTTTTTTTTTTGAGATGGAGTCTTGCTCTGGCGTCCAGGCTGGAGTGCAGTGGCGTGATCTTGGCTCACTGCAAGCTCCACCTCCCGGGTTCACGCCATTCTCCTGCCTCAGCCTCCTGAGTAGCTGGGACTACAGGTGCCCGCCACCACGCCCAGCTAATTTTTTGTATTTTTAGTAGAGACGGAGTTTCACCTTGTTAGTCAGGATGGTCTCGATCTCCTGACCTCATGATCCGCCCGCCTCGGCCTCCCAAAGTGCTGGGATTACAGGTGTGATCCACTACGCCCGGCCCCAGTGTTTGTGATTTTTAAAAAGCCTTTTAAAACCTAATTTTAGGGTGGCTCACACCTGTAATCCCAGCACTTTGGGAGGCTGAGGCGGGCGGATCACGAGTGAGGAGTTCAAGACCAGCCTGAACAACATGGTGAAACCTCGTCCCTACTAAGAATGCAAACATTAGCCGGGTGTGGTGGCGTGGGCCTGTAATTCCAGCTACTCGGGAGGCTGAGGCAGGAGAATTGCTTGAACCTGGGAGGCGGAGGTTGCAGTGAGCCGAGGTCACACCACTGCACTCCAGCCTGTGTGACAGAGCAAGACTCTGTCTCGAAAAATAAATAAATAAACCTAATTTTAATCAAAGGGCAATAGCAAAAGAATTTATCATATGGATTCTTTGAGAGGAAGCATGCTGCAGTAACGAGCCGGCTGTTTCCAGGTCCTTTATTAACCATATTGGCCTAGAGGTTTCTGCGGTGATGATCCGTGTGGCCGTGGCATGGGAGGGCTGGCTCATCTGCGTGGGGTCTGGTAAAGGCTTGGAGGAGATGCAGGATCAGGCACAGTGAAGTTATTGGGGCTGTGATGTGTTTCAGTCAGGTCACTTGGACAAACTGCACTCTGAGATTGCACGCAACCCACTGTTGGGTTAATGTGTGCAGTTGGTTCCATTTGTAAAAGGTAAATTTAGATACTCGCTGTTGTGTACACAAGGTAAAAGTTAATGTATTATGGGGTGAGCACAGGTACCTCCCTCCACCCTTGAGGCCTTAGGGTTGCCAGGGACCGCCAGACTCCAGAGTTCCTTGGGAAAACCATGATGCAGAGCAGGGGATTATAGGTAGGGTGAGACAGGCTTACCTGGGAGCGTGCCCGGGCTGAACACCAGCCTCCATCTCTGAAAAGGCCCCCTGGTAGGGTCAGACCCACACACCTGTCCAGGAATCAGTGATTGAAATCTGGGGTTCCCAAGCTCTAGCCCACAAGTCAGTGGACTGTGGCTGCACCACGGACAGCCCCAGTCTGTGTGTCACCCCCATCTTCCCTAGCTCTGAGGGTGAATGTGTGGACACGGTGAAAGCAGCTGTTCTCTTCTCTGCTCAGTGTGCCTCAAAAATTGACATCAAATGCAGTTGTTTTTCAACATATTTATGTGAAGTGAGTTTTTTTTGCCAATGACTAAGATTAAAAAGAAAGTAAATTTTGGGGATTTAATTGTATTTTAGATCATAGAAAAGTTGATAAATTTGTGATGAGAGAAAATTGTATACATATTGTAAAATAGGACATTGTGATTTTTTTCTGCTTTCTAAGTATTTAAATATATCCCTTAAACAATATATTTAATTTGAAGTTGCCTCTCATCCTCCTTTAGGAAAGACTTTTATTCTGAGCTTTTCTCTTTCCTTGATTTTAGTCTTTCATGAAATGATATTAAAAATAGACTTAATAACATTTTTTTAAAAACCTGATACAGGCTCCCCAGTTTTATTATTTTATTTCACTCATCCATGAAATCCAAAGGTTTGCTCCTTGACCTGGAAGACAGGTGTAGACTGAATCAAAGAATGATAAGGTTTAAACTTCCTTCTGGTGGGGTGCAGTGGCTCATGTCTGTAATACTAGCACTTCAGGAGCCCAAGGTCAGAGGATTGCTTGAGCCCAGGAGTTTGAGACCAGCCTGGGCAACATGGTGAATCCCCATCTCTACAAAAAAATTAAAAAATCAGCTGGGCATGCTGGTGCACGCTTATGCTCCCAGCTACTTGGAAGGCTGAGGTGAGAGGCTCGCTTGAGTCCTGGAGGTCGAGTTGTGATGCTGCCACTGCAGTCTAGCCTGGGTGACAGAGCAAGACCTTGTCTCAAAAAAAAAAAAAAAAAATGTAGATTAAAAGGAACCCTTGCAGACTGTTGGTGAGAATGTAAATTGATGCAGCCGCTATGAAAAACCCCACTGCACTGCAGCCTGGGCAACAGAGTGAGACCCTGCCTCAAAACAAAAAAATAAATAGGCTGGGCGCGGTGGTTTACACCTGTAATCCCTGCACTTTGGGAGGCCGAGGCGGGTGGATCACCTGAGGTCAGGAGTTCGAGACCAGCCTGGCCAACATGGTGAAACCCCCATCTCTACTAAAAATACAAAAAATTAGCTGGGCATGGTAGTGCGTGCCTGTAATCCCAGCTACTCAGGAGGCTGAGGCAGGAGAATCGCTTGAACCTGGGAGGTGGAGGTTACAGTGAGCTGAGATCACGCCACTGCACTCCAGCCTGGGGAACAAGAGCAAAACTCTGTCTCAAAAAATAAAAAATAAATAAATAAAATTGCTTCTGTCACTGGCCCTAGCAGCTTTGGCAAATCTCACCACTTAGGGCCTCGAACTCCTCACCTGTGAATGAGGGACCTGACCATGGTCATCCCTGAAGTCCCAGCATTTAACTCGTAACATGACAAAAAGCAAACCAGGGCTGGGCACAGAGGCTCACACCTGTAATCCCAGCACTTTCAGAGGCCGAGGTGGGTGGATAGCTTGAGATCAGGAGTTCGAGACCAGCTTGGCCAATATGATGAAACCCCGTCTCTACTAAAAATAGGAAAACAAATTAGCTGGGCCATGGTGGCGCATGCCTGTAGTCCCAGCTACTTGGAAGGTTGAGACAGGAGAATCGCTTGAACCTGGGAAGTGGAGGTTGCAGTGAGCTGAGATTGCACCATTGCACTCCAGCCTGGGCATCTCAGTGAGACTCCATCTTAAAAAAAAAAAAAAGAAAAGGAAAAAAAAAAAAAAAGGCAGCATGGTAAGGCCGGGTTTTTATAGATTGGGTCTTTGGAGTGTGCTGTTGGCCTTGGCCACATAGCTGTCTCCTGCCATGCCCTGGCTTTGTGGGGCGCCTAAACCTGTTTTCAGATGATGATTTTGAGTGAGATACAAGTGTAGCTACTTGGAAAAGATTCAGTAG
This sequence comes from Homo sapiens, assembly GCF_000001405.40. Taxonomy (NCBI): domain Eukaryota; kingdom Metazoa; phylum Chordata; class Mammalia; order Primates; family Hominidae; genus Homo; species Homo sapiens. The sequence goes on from NC_000018.10 coordinate 12,003,858, forward strand.
CATCCCTGAGCTATAGTGATAGAAACCCCGTCCTTGTCCCTTCTGTGGAGCAGCCTGTTGGAGCTTCTCTGGGTTGGCCTAGGCCCAGAGATGAGGTCAGCAGCTCAAGGGTCTAGTGTTTTTAGCTGTCTTCCCAGCCCTGCTCCAGAGCCCCCATGTAACCTGCTGCCCTGCAGTGCCCAGCACAGAGCAGTGTCTGTTGAATGCGTGAGTCAAGCAAAACATCAAACAGAATCCTTGACATGGGAAAAACATGCTCCCAGCCACCACCAGCTGAACATTGACATCCAGCTGCTTTCCCACTGGGCAGTGGCTTGTGAAGATGGGGACAGAGTATCATAAATCATCTCCTTTGTGGACAGCAGGGATGATCCTGACCTTCTTGTCACAGACTAAACAGACTAAGTAGCCAGAAGAAAAAAAAAGAAAGAAAGAAAAAAGGGGCTTAAAGGCACTCAGCTGTCAAAATTATAAGGAGGGTTTGTTAAAACTATTTTTTAAAAAAGAAAAGTGGTTAAGTTATGCAGTAGGATATAATATTCTATAATAACTTATTACCAAACTTTTAGCCTTAATCCAGTTGCTATTTTCCTCTTGTCTATTGGATAGACGTATGGAATGTTCTTTTTTTCCCTAAATTTAGTCATGTGCATTTTTTTTCCTATTTATATTGTGGGTTTTTTTTTTTTTTGAGATGGAGTCTTGCTCTGTAGCCCAGACTGGAGTGCAGTGGTGCAATCTCTGCTCACTGCAACCTCCGCCTCCCGGGTTCAAGCGATTCTCCTGCCTTCCAAGTATCTGGGATTACAGGCATGCACCACTATGTCTGGGTAATTTTCATATTTTTAGTAGAGACGGGGTTTCACCATGTTGGCCAGTCTGGTCTTGAACTCCTGACCTCAAGTGATCCACCCACCTCAGCCTCCCAAAGTGCTGGGATTACAGGCGTGAGCCACCGTGCCCTGCCTATATTGTGGATTCTATGTAGATGTTCCAGTGGCTTTTAGGAAGGTCTTTATGATTTCACACATCTGTCTACAGTCATGTCTGCAGAGCAGACTCTCCCCACTCCCTCTGCAGACAGCTGTAAAACATTGTCTTTCATCTCACAGGTATTAGCTTCCTACATGAGTAAAATCAGGTTTAAGTGAATAAAAATTGTGCATCTCTTCCCATGTACCAGGGAAGTATTTTTGGTGCCTCCAAAGACCGAGCACGGTTCACGCCTCTGCTGGCCTTCACACCGCTGCAGCCACACAGTGCAGAAGCCTGCTCCCTGCTGCCCACAAGCATGAGGCAGGTGGGAAGGGGGATGCTCGTGCCACCTTGTAGGCGGGCAGGCAGTCTCATGGGCAGAGGTGTACACAAGGTGGGTGATGAGGAAGACAGCTCTAGGGTATGAATGATCAGCTGCTGAAAAACATCCAGTGCTCAGTGTGGGTACTTAGAGTTATTCTCATAAAAAATGTGAGGCAGAGTTAGTCAGGTGTGGTGATGCATGCCTGTGGTCCCAGCTACTCAGGAGGCTGAGGCAGGAGGATTGCTTGAGCCCAGTGGTTTGTGGCTTCAGTGAGCCATGATTGTGCCACTGCACTCCAGCCTGGCTGACAAAGCGAGACCATGTCTCCAAGAAAAAAAAAAAAAATTTCTAAAAGTACTTGCTGGGTTACACTAAATGAAACCTAAAAAACAAATAGATAAATAATAAAGGTTACACACAGCAGAAGCTTTGTTAACAAATTAACTTATATTAATAGTTGCTGCTGGGAAAACAAGCTGCTTGGTGACTTCCCTAAAGGGTGTCCCACGCATCTGGCGAATGAACAGACAGAGCTCCTGCTCCCGAGTGTCCTGGGAGGCACGTGGGCATGCCGCGTGGGTGGTCTGGGTGCTGCAGCGTGAGTTGTCCTGGGTGTGGAGTGTCAGTGCCTGCAGACCCACACTGCCTCCTCCTTCAGGGCTCACTGGCAGTTTTCTTTCCACCGCTTCAGTTTCCTACTTGAAGTCAGGTTTAAAAAGGAGAAGAATTGCACATTCCTCCTCAGTTTCTTAGAAACTTACCTTTGTGCCTGAGTCATTTCTAGTCCCTCTGGACCTGAGTCATATCTGTTCGCTGCTTTGTCAACCTTGTGCCCAGTTTAAGCTTTCGTAGTTGCTCCTTGTATGTGTGTTTTCAGGGTGTGGAGCGTTTTCTTTAAAAACGTCATTGCAAGCCATTACAGAAGAGGAAAGTCACATAGCTACAGAAGACATGGAAAAACAGATTTAGTGCCTGAAGTTTCTAGGAAAACTGGCAGTGCTGACAGCACTTATGATCACGCCCTAAGTGGAATCATCACCTGTGTGTCTCCTGCAGGCTGCTGTTGTCAGGAGGCAGCCTCTCCACCCCCTGCCCCGGCTGCCATTGTGGCTTCTACCCACCATTTTTCCTCCTAGATCTGTTTGGGGAGCACCAGTTCCTGAGCAGGGGCTCTGGCTGGTGGGCCTGTGCATCACCTGACCTAGAAGCATGTGGACAACTGAGAGTGGAGAGGCAGTTCCTGCAAGGAGCAAGGCGTGCAGTGTAGATGAAGAACCAGAAGCCTGGGTTCACTGCATCTCATCTGCCTTGCCTGGCTAGGCTGAAAGCTCCAGGGGCAGACTGAGCCTGCCCAGGCTCTCCAGGAACAGCTGATGATTCCTTGGGTGTCTTGCTTAGTGCTCCTGGCTTGACTTGACCTGGTCTTCTTGGCTCAGAAGCCCCTGCTTATTCGTGGGTTTCTCCAGGGGGCCGGGGAGGAGGTCGCACAGCCTGAGATGATGTATGCGTGCACTTGTCGTATCCCAGGGTTGTATTTCTAGATAATTTATCAGCAAAATGGAGGGGCTGGATGACTCTGCATCCCAGGCATGAACTTCATAACCCAGCAGTGGAAGGATGGTCCCAGAGTGGATGGGGACCAGGGTGGTTACAGTGTGTATGGCAGCTCCCGTGCATAGAAAAGTGACATCGGGCCAGGCGTGGTGGCTCACGCCTGCAATCCCAGCACTTTGGGAGCCTGAGGTGGGCGTATCACGAGATCAGGAGTTCAAGACCAGCCCGGCCAGCATGGTGAAACCCCATCTCTACTAAAGATAAAAAAAATTAGCCAGGCGTGTGGCGCACGCCTGTAATCCCAGCTACTCATGAGGCTGAGGCAGGAGAATTGCTTGAACCCGGGAGGCAGAGGTTGCAGTGAGCTGAGATCGCGCCATTGCACTCCAGCCTGGGCGACAGGGCGAGACTCTGTCTCCAAAAAAAAGTGACATCGAATACCATGAGATGCCTGCTGTTGCCTCTCAGCATCTCGGTGGGAGGACAGCACTGCCAGCGGCTCTGTCTGTTGCTGCAGGGGTGGCCCACATCTGCTGTGTCCACAGTGGTAGCCGCTCACCCACGTGACTGCCAAGCACTTGAAAGGTGGCTCATGAGACTGAAGAACTGAAGTCTTTATTTAATTCAAATGTAAGCAGCCATATGCGGTGACTGGCTACTGTAAGGCGCTGAGCGGTCACAGAGGTTTTCATTTCAGTCTTTCCATTCACACTCAAGTCTCCAGCCTTATCCAAAAGTTCATTGATGCCAAATCTTAGACCACATGGTTCGTGCGGGGAAAGTGGCTTCCAGGAGGCTGATGACCACAGTGGATAATACACCAAACACCAGAACATGGGACGCTTCTTTCTTTCTTTCCTTCTTTTCTTTCTTTTCTTTTCTTTCTTTCTTTCTCTTTCTTTCTTTCTTTTTCTTTCTTCTTTCTTTCTTTCTTTCTTTCTTTCTTTCTTTCTTTCTTTCTTTCTTTCCTTTCTTTCCTTTCTTTCCTTTCTTCCCTCCTTCCCTTCTTTATTTCTCTCTCTCTCCTTCCTTCCTTCCCTTCCTTCTTTCTTTTCTTTTTCTTTTCTTTCTTTTCTTTTTTTTGAGATGGAATCTCACTCTTGTCACCCCGGCTGGAGTGCAATGGCATGATCTCGGCTCACTGCATCCCTCCCGTCCTGGGTTCAAGCGATTCTCCTGCCTCAGACTCCCAAGCAGCTGGGATTATAGGCGTGCGCCACCACCCCCAGCTAATTTTTGTATTTTTATTTCTTTTTCTTTTTTTTTCTTTTTGAGATGGAGTCTCACTCTCCCAGGCTGGAGTGCAGCGGTGTGATCTCAGCTCACTGCAACGTTAGGATCACTGCAACCTCCGGCTCACTGCAACCTCCACCTCCTGGGTTCAAGCAATTCTCCTCTCTCAGTCTCTCAAGTAGCTGGGAGTACAGGCGCCCACCACCACGCCCAGCTAATTTTTGTATTTTTAGTAGAGACAGGGTTTCACCATGCTGGCCAGGCTGATCTCGAACTCCTGACCTCAGGTGATCTGCCCGCCTTGGCCTCCCACAGTGCTGGGATTACAGGCGTGAGCCACCGCGCCTTGCTTGTTTTTCACTTATTTTCTTTTTCTTACTCTCTGCAGGTCTCCTTTTTCTCTAGTACACATGTGAACCCGGCACAGGAACTGGATAGAAAACCTCTCGGCAAGGCCACATAGTCATGCACAGAACAGATGTTTGCTTAGCGCCTGCCCAAGGCCTCACCCTTAGTGAACTTGGGACAGTCCAAGAGTGTCAAAAGCACTGCCCTGAATGCTTTAGATCTAGTCTTTTCTTTGATCCTGAGAATGCCTTTGGAAGGTGTAAACAGCGGCCAGCTCCACAGGGACCAGCCTGCAGAAGGTGGGCTGCGAATACACCTGACCACAGCATCTTCCCTGTGTGTGTGGGCCTGCGTGTGGGTGGGGTGCAGGAGGAAGGGTGACAGTGCATGGGGCGAGAGTGCTTTCCCTTGTTTTTGGCCTGAGCAGGGGGTGCTGGGAGTTGCCATTCGTGGAGGTAGAGGCAAGTAGAGAAAACCAGGAGTTCCCTTCTGTGCAGGTGAATCTTGAGAGAACATTGTCTCGGTCAGGTTCCTAGCAGGACAGACGCACACTCAAGTGAGGATTGTAGGGGGCCTTGTTTGCAGAGGGACTCATTACAAAGGAGGGGCCAGCCCAGGGCCTGCTGCAGAGTGCAGGAGCAGGCCGCCCATGTCCCTCTAGCAGGAATGTGTCAAGCAGGCCACATGGAGGAGTGGAGCCTGCACAGGGCACATGGGGCAGGGAGCGTCCCAGCCTCTCTCCTTCCTGCAGCCCCACCCTTGCTTGCTCCCAGAGGGAAGCTGGATTTGTGACTGGCCAATGTAGCAAGACCCCACCTCTACAAAAATAAAAATACTAGCTGAATGTGGTGGTATGCATCTGTAGTCCCAGCTACTTGGGAGAACAAAGCAGGAGGATTGCTTGGATCCAGGAGTTTGAGGCTGCATGAGCTATGATGATACCACTGCACTCCAGCTGGGCAACAGATCAAGACCCTATCTCTTAAAAAACAACAACAAAAAAACCAGGGAAGTCAGATACCAGGGCAGGAAGGGCACCTTTGGGAAATGAACCAGCTGCGGGGGGGCTCTGTTTGTCACCTGTGTCTGCAGTTCAGGTGAGCCAGGCTGGGTACAGACGTGGGAGATCTCAGCTGCAAGTGACATTTAACCCCTCGGTGCCCAGGTATCAGCATTGACTGGGAGAATCAAAGTCAGAGTCCTGGGCCACCTTGCTTGGTCATATCTCATCAGCCTCCTCCCCTACAGACTGAAGTTAAAATCGAGTTTAGTTTTGCTTCAGAAGATCTGTTTTCCAGTGTTCTTCACGCTTGCATTTCTCTGCCTGGCCTGCTGGAATTCCCTGGTGCTCTTTCTGAACGCTGGCACTGAGGTGTCACTCTGTTTTCTAAATCCTGCTGAGTAGGTCCGCTGGCAGGCAGGTCAAAAAGCACATGGTTGTTTAAAGACTCTGCCTCTGTTTGACCCAGAGAAACCATGATGACATCTGTTTGCTGTGCCACCTTTTTCTTTAATGGGACTGGAAGCAATTTCAGGCACGTTATTCTGTGTCCTTGGTGCATTTTCTCAGGCTGGGTTCTTCCACTGCAGGTTCATTGCAGAAGAGGCCGCGGCTTCTGGGGCCAAGTGTGTGCTCACCCACAGCCCGACGTGGATCATCGACCCCATCGACGGCACCTGCAATTTTGTGCACAGGTGAGCTGAGCAGGGATCGCCTCCATTGCAGGGCTTAACATGTCCTCTTCTGTGAGGTTTTGTCTTTTCAAAAGCAGCATTTTTTAAGGCAGGAATATATAAACAAACCTATAGTACACTCATAGTCTCATCAGAAAGATGATCAGATCTTGATATTTTTAAAATAAGGTTTTCCGTTTGTGAGAGGCTCTTGGAGTATGTTAGGAAATCTGCACTTGTTTAAAAACCAGTTTGTTATGTTAAAAATGTTGGGTTGCATTTAACAAGGACCCCTTGAAGGAGTCTGACTCCCCTCACACCCCACCCCCACTGGAGAAAAAGGTGAGGTTGGGATACAAAGCCTGTGCTGCCCCACAGTGGCCCGGAGCCCAAGGTGTAGAGAGTGGCCTGTGACAGGTGAGACTTGAGAGCCAGCTTCCTGTATGAGAGCAAACCTTGTGGTTACAAAAAGCAGGAGGTTTGGGGAGGTCAGAAGGGCCCGTGTGGGGAGGTGAAGGGAATGGAGCTTCGGGGATGGTGAAGTGACAGGATGCAAAGGTGACAGGGACACGACCACAGGTGTTCTCTGGCAGTGGCAGGTGATGGTGCTGCGCTGCCTGTCTACACGCACAGGTGGCTGGGGGCCTGGGGCACAGAGCATGATGTGGCTTAAACGGAGCGTGGTTCTCCAGCTCTGGAGAACCCTGGAGAGATTCCCATTCCATGGGCGGGTGGCTTGCAGCTCCTGCGCTCACAGTGCACGCCAGCACACTAGGCTGCACGCGCTAAGCAGGAAGGGTGAGCAGAGCCCGGGTGTGGGCTCCTTTATGATCTGCCTCTGATGGCATGTTTATATGTAAAACATGAAGTTATTCCATGCTAAGCACAGCCTTTTTCTAGGTGAGTTGCCTCGAGAATTCAGTTGTGCCTACATAAGGTGACCCTTTCGAGGCAGTGGAGTCGTGCCATCTGGTGCCAGCAAATGTGTCACCAATCTCTCCTCTCATTTCAACTAAAGCATGATCCTTCCCAGGGCTCTCCTCCCCAGAGTATGTCACTGAGTGGAGCCTCATTACTTCTGCCTGCTCGTGGTTCCAGGGTGCTCATAATGGTGACATGGCAGGTGAAGCCCCGTCACATGGTGAAGGCCACACGTCCATTCGAGGGTCTTCAGTGGCTCCAGAGACATAGTTTCCAGTGCTTTCCTGTCTGCACCCCTGGGGGGATCCTGGTACTGGGGAGGTGACTGGGAAAAGAGCAGCAATTTCAGAACAGTCTCCAGAGCTGATCCTGACAGTTCCTGAACCCCACGCTATAGCTGTGGTGATTGTTGTGGTCTGAAGACATCCGAAAGCCACCAGCATCTGCCACTCAGATGGCGCCTGTTCACCCCTGTGCCCACCAGTGCTGGGCCACAGCAGTGGGAGAAAGCTCTCCTGGGCACTGGAACAAGCGTGAGGCCTGGCACATGGTGCATTTGCTCTGGAAGCCAGCGGCTCATCCCAAGGTCCCACACACCCTGGCAGTCAGAGTTGCATTTGTGTACAATTGGTTTTGCATTTTTCCTGTCAGTTTGCAGTACCCAGCCTTTCCTGCCTGTTTTTAAGCTCCAGTGATCTCCCTATAAAGGAAGGATTATTTTGAAGATATTGAGCGGCAATAGCAGAATCACAAAACTGCAGGCAAACTGATCATGAAAACTGTCTGCAGCCGTGGCTGTCCCTGCAGCTGGCTACTGGGCACTCAGGCAGGGATGCTAGCAGTGCCACAGGGTGAGCTGTGGCTCAGAACTGGCCCCCATGGGGAGGCTGTGGTGCCTTCTGGGACCACCTGCCTGGCGCCCCACCTGGGACTGGGTCTGGCCTTTGGGGAGGGCTCTGCTGTCCCTTTAGGTCTGGAGAACCAGAAAACAGATGATTGAGATCCTTCCTAATTGGGCTTCAGAGGGTTGTTGAGTTACATCAGTCTTATGTGACTTTCACAGTGCTGTTTTCTTTCAAGGTTAACTGTCTTACGACATGGTCAGTTTATTCTGTTTGTCTTGGAAGCAGTTAGTGAAACTGTGGGAAGTAGTTTTTAAACAACCAACCCACCCAGAGTGTAGGAAGGTCCTTCTGAGCCTGCGGGGAGCCGCACAGCACACAGGCTCCCGAGAGCTGCCGCTCTTGTTCCAGAGAGTAAACCTTTCTATTTTCCTTTGCAGATTCCCGACTGTGGCGGTTAGCATTGGATTTGCTGTTCGACAAGAGGTGCGGGTGTGGCCCAGGTCCCCAGGGCCCCTCCCTGGGCTCCCTCTGGCCATCCTTCCTTTCTGGCTTCAGCCTCTGTGCGCCTGGTTTGCTGTTTGCCCTGTGCCTTAATCATGACTGGCAAATCCAAGCCTGTGGGTTTCAAATCCGAGAAAATAAACAAGTCCAGACTGGCTTTGGGGTGTGCGGGGTGGGGCTCCGTGGCTGGCCCTTGTCCCCCGTGGAGGGCTGGCCTCGTGTCAACCGTGGTCTATTTGTGACACTGCTGTGGAAGCGGAAGTCTTAAGTGAACGGTCCAAGTGCATCTCCAGCTGACCCCTAGAGCGTGTGATCTCACAAACTAAAAGGAGCACTTAGTTTTGGAGAGCATCCTCAATCCCAATATTCTAATAATTCTTTCTTATCTTCCTCTGGTTATTAGCATGAGAACATAGCTCTTTCATGGTTCCCATAGACCTTCTGAACTACACAGTGTTGTGCGACCTGCATGGAAGGCGTGGGGCTGAGGTTTAAAGCTTATTAAATAATTCAAGCAGCAGCACTGAGAAGAGCCTTAATTTCTTTCTAATTGAAACAGTTTTATTTAAATAGGGCCGAGGGCTGCATGTTTCTCAAAAGCAGCCCTGCTTCAGAGCAGCATTTGTGCAGCTTCACCTTAGTCTCAGCACAGACTCCCTGGCAGGGGAGCTGAGAGAAGTACTTAAGTTGAAGTATTTAAAGTTAAGTACTAAAGTATCTCAAAGTACTTAAGCTGAAGATAAGTAAGAATTGTAATACTGTAATTTGTCTAAGGATGCAATGATTGACGTCTTTCTCTGTTAAATAATATTGTGGTGCCCAGAGTGGGTGGGAGGCTGAGCAGTACTTCAGGGGTTGATTGATGTTCTGTGACTGTGTGAAGGGGCTGCTGGAACAGCTGGCTAGGTCCTTGGCCCTTCTGTGGGTTGGCTAGGGTCTGTCCTATGTTACTACACTGAATACGGGAGCTCCTGGCTTTTCGTGGTGGGCTCCTCCCCATGGGAGTGGGGGACATTCCTCTGCACTCTGGGAGCTCTTCACAGGCCTCAGGAACCAGCCGAATTCTAGGACTGACCTGGTCATGAGGATTCCTTTAAAGCCAGGGTACCGGAAGGGGAAGGATGATGAAATGCTGCCAGACACCTGCAGGCTCTGAAAAAGCGTTGACTGAATGACGCCTCCAACCGCCAGAAATAAACCCTTTCTCTGTAGCTTGGGGTGTCCACTCTAGGGTGTTTGTGCTCACCCCAGGGCCAGCCAAGGCTTTCCTAAGGCATTTGGCCAGGGTGTTTTTTTAATTTTCCAGAGAGGTGAACACTTGGCTAACTTGCTAAGCAAGCATGCTGGCCCTTGTTAACCCTGAGTGGTGAAAAGTCGGTAGAGGAAAGATCACAGAGGCACGCGGCCGTGGGCTGCCGTCCTTTTCCACGCTGACCTCTTCCTTTTGCTGCTTCATCCTGGGAGGCTGTGGTCTGATGCTTTGTTCCCTGATGTGGGGCAGTCGGGCCACTGTTCAGCGCACTGCCTGCTCACGGATCAGTCCCCAGTCTGCGGCGGTGCCTCTTCCTCGCTGGGGCTGTCCTTGGGCTTCTGAGATTCCGCTGGCTTTACAGATGCATTCTCCATTCTTCACACATCAGCAATTTTGAGGATTTCTTGTGGGGTTTGGTTAGAGTCACAAGTAACATTCTTTTTTTCAGCAACAAAAGGGGCCTTTCTAAAAAATTAAGCTTTTTCAATAACTTCTGGTTACTAATACTTGATTATGATGTTAATTTTTAAAGTTTTGTTTGTCTGAATATATTTTAAAATTGTACTTATTTAGCAAAAGCAAGCTTGCTTTTATGTCCAGGTCTCATTTTAAATGCAGGCACTGCTTTTTCTCAGTTCCTTTTGGAAAGGTAATTTCTGTCACAGTGTAATGTGTTATCCTAACGCCTAGCGCAGCCTTCATCTTTGAATAACAATGTTTTTTCCCACATCAAACGAGTGAACCATCTTTGTTTTCTGTCCTGCCTCTGCCGCCCACAGCTTGAATTCGGAGTGATTTACCACTGCACAGAGGAGCGGCTGTACACGGGCCGGCGGGGTCGGGGCGCCTTCTGCAATGGCCAGCGGCTCCGGGTCTCCGGGGAGACAGGTGGGCTTCACAACGCTCGTCTCAGTTTACTTCTGAAATAAAAGTGTGAAAGGAGAATGCCAAAGCCACCATGATGTGGGACGGTGGTGGAGGTCCCTTGCTGATGGTGTCATCTCTTTTTAGGGACATCGTGTCCCTGATGAACTGGAAATGGAGCCAGTTCTGTATGTTAGTGTTTTTGTTCACGTGGCCAGGAGCTTTAAATAACCTCATTCTGCTTTGCGCTCACATCCCTCATCTTTCAGGCTAAAAGTACTCCAGTCGCAGTCACGATTTGGTTGTAGTGGGATTGGGTGAGCAGCCCGAGGCCAGGTGCTTGTTCCCCTCAGAGCACCCGGCACACCTCGGTGGTCCCGATTTTGCCCAGGCACTGCTGCCCAGGTGCAGTCTGTGGCCCCTGAGTGTGCACAACAGTAACTGGCTTCAGCTTCTGTGAGAAGAGCCATCCTGGGGAATGAGTCATGTGAAGAGGCACCTTAGCCCCTCTGCAGTTATGGCCTGCCGTGATTTCCTTAGCCCAGAATCTCAGGGTCATCCAGTGGCTCTGAGAGAGGGGTTCCCATTCCCTGCATACTGCCTGGAACCGCCTGTCCTGAATGGGCCAGTTTAGGTTTTCACTGATTCTTTTCGGCCTTTCTCCCACATGGATGAATCTGGTGATATTTTAACTGCATTGTGAGACAGGTACTGTAGGGAACAGAAGAATGCCAGACAAATGAGAGAAGCCTCAGACTAGCAGCAGCTGCATGGGAGATTTTACAAGCTCCATAATACCTGCATGTCTGGGTTTGAAAAGGCGGAAGTGCACTGCTGCTTGTTTCTGCCTTGTGTGTCTCTGGCGTGGACATCATGCAGGGCCCCCCATCTCATTCCCTGCCAGTTACACTCTTTCTTCTGCTCTCCCATCAGCCTCCCTGCCGCCTCCCCTCTTGACCCACTTCCAGCCTCTCTTAAAAATTCCTTTCCTGGCAACCTTTCTTCATTGTCTCTATTTATTCCTACTTCTTTCCTCCCTGGCTGATGCCTGTGTGCCCAGATGGCCTTCGAGGCAGCGAGAGGAGCTATGGCCATGGCCCATCTCTGCTGCTGTGAGCCCGTGCGGCCAGGAAAGTGGCGGGCCAGGATGGATGAGGTGTCAGGAGAGGGCCCGCCACTGTGTGAGGGACACGAAGGGCAAGATTGTGCAAAGGAGAGGAGGTGGCTGCAGGAGAGCCCAGAGCAGGGGAAGGGAGAAGTCATGGGGGCCTCTGAGGGGCAACCAGCAGTTGGACTCACCAGTTAGAGCTTCTGATCCCAGAGAGGCCTTGGAATGGCCTCTGGCCCTGCCTCACCTTCCCTCTCCAGAAGTGTTTTGTTTGGCAGTGAAAAAAGTAGCTTTAATTACAGCTGTGCGTGCCAGGAGGTGCCCACTCCAGCCTCATTGTGTAACTGGTGGTGAGGAAGCATGCTACTAAGCATGCTCGGGTGAACTTTGCTCTATATTTCACTGGATTATAACACTGAACTCTATTAACATGCTCTTGGCATCCTGGCTGCCCGCCCGTGTAGCTCAGTCAGGCTGCAACTCTGCGTCCTCCCAGCCTGCAGGCTGCTAGCTCAAGCACCAACTCCACTAGGGCAAGGGCTTTGTCCAGGGCCCCTTTATGTGGCCCCCAGTAGGCCTGGTAATTTCGTAGAATGAAGGAAACATGAAGTGCTCATGTTCTGAAACTCATTTGTGACTTTAGAAAAATTCTGATGGATAAAATGCATAGCAGATAGCTGCTGCTAGTCTGAGGCTTCTCTCATTTGTCTGGTATTCTTCTGTTCCCTACAGTACCTGTCTCACAATGCTATAAAATATCACCAAATTCCTCCATATGGGAGAAAGGCCAAAAAGAATCAGTGAAAACCTAAACTGGCCCATTCAGGACAGGCGGTTCCACGTGTTTTCTACCATGGTTGTTTTCTTTCCTATGGGTAGATGGACTTCAGGAGGTGACAGTGCATGCTCTTCAGCAGCACGGTCTCTTGGCACCATGCAGACCCAATTTCAGATCCTGATTCTGCCGCTTTTTTTTTTTTTTTTCTGAGATGGAGTCTTGCTCTGTCACCCAGGCTGGAGTGCAGTGGCACAATCTTGGCTCACTGCAACCTCCACCTCCTGGGTTCAAGTGATTCTTCTGCCTCCCAAGCAGCTGGGATTACAGGTGCGCACCACCACACCTGACTAATTTTGTATTTTTAGTAGAGACGGGGTTTCACCATGTTGGCCAGGCTGGTCTCAAACTCCTGACCTCAAGTGATCCACCCGCCTCGGCCTCCCAGAGTGTTGGGCTTACAGGTGTGAGCCACCACACCTGGCCGATTCTGCCACTTTCTAAGGTGACTAGAACTCGAGCAAGTTCCTTAACCTCTCTGAATCTCAGTCCTCATATTGAAAACGGGGATGCTGATGATAATAAAAATAACCGAGAGGATTAAATAAGTTACGCATATAAAGCACCCAGCATAGTGCCTGGGGCACAGTATCCTAAAATGAGAACCATTATCAAAGAAGAAACTTGAATCTTTGCACAAAACCAATCAAGTCATGCCCCGTTGTTAAAATTAGGACTTGTTTCTGGAGGACACAGTCATTAAAACAAGCACCACTAATCTCTCTCTCTTTCTCCCTCTCTCTTTCTGCTTCCCTTGGCTTCCCCTTTCTTATTTCTATTATGCCTTGCTGGAATATCTTCAACTCACAAGTTAAAAAACAGCACTGGATAGAGGTAAAGGATTAGAAGAAGGCAAGAATTTTATTAGCTGCTTCTTCAAATTCTACCATGCAAATTTCAGACATACACAAAGTACACAGAAAAAGCAAAATGATGCCCCATGACCCCTCACATGGCAGCACGCCTGCTTCGTGTGTGTCCACCAGCTCCCGCCACCCCCAGCTGCCTGGAGCCAATCCCAGGCATCAGGTCACTTCCTAGTCAGTACTTCAGCGTGTCTCCAAAAACAGACTGCTCTCTTACAAATACAATCACATCATCAATATCACTCTCTACCCAAAATGCATCCCTAAAATCAGCAAATAATCCCATCAGTGTTCAAATTTCCAATTGTCTCGTTTTTATGGAAAGTGGCCTCCTAAGGTCATAGTCTGCGTTCTGGGGGGACTTCCTGTTCCTGGGTCAGTCTTTGTTGCCTTTTCACTGGACTGTGCTAGGAAGTACGTATTTTTTATTTGTTTTGTTTTGTTTTTTGAAACAGGATCTCACTCTGTCACCCAGGCTGGAGTGCGGTGGTGCAGTCTTGGCTCACTGCAGCCTCCACATCCTAGGTTCAAGCAATTCTCCTGCCTCATCCTCCTGAGTAGCTGGGACTACAGGCATGCGCCACCACATCTGGCTAATTTTTTTGTATTTTTTAGTAGAGACGGGGTTTCACCATGTTGGCCAGGCTGGTCTCAAACTGCTGACCTCAAGTGAGCCTTTTGCCTCGGCCTCCGAAAGTGCTGGGGTTACAGTTGTGAGCCACTGCACCTGACCATATTTTTAAAATATAGAGTCGATAATGAGTTATACTGGGTTTTTTTTTTTCTGTTTTTTTTTTTCTGAGATGGAGTTTCACTCTTGTTGCCCAGGCTGGAGTGCAATGGGGCGATCTCGGCTCACTGCAACCTCCGCCTCCCTGGTTCAAGTGATTTTCCTCCTAAGCCTCCCAAGTAGCTGGGATTACAGGCGCATGCCACCATGCCCAGCTAATTTTTGTATTTTTAGTGGAGACAGGGTTTTGTCATGTTGGCCAGGCTGGTCTTGAACTCCTGACCTCAGGTGATCCACCCGCCCGGGCCTCCCAAAGTATTGGGATTACAGGCATGAGCCACCACACCCGGCCTCAACCCCATCTCTTAAAAAAATAAAAAGATAACCTTTGCTCTCAGTAACAGTTGACAAGCTTGTTCTATGGGTCATGTCCTCTCTCTGTCACCTGTCCACCTCTGGATGGTTGTGCTGCATCCTCATTGGGATAGCACCCAGCCACTGTGTGCCACGCTCTCACCTCAAAGCCATCATTCAGTCATGGTTCCACAGGTGGGTACAGATTTAACGCCACCACTGTCCTGTGTGCTGATGCTTCTCCAGTCATTCTGGTTGTGTGAAGTACATTCTCTAGTATAGCATTTTTAAAGCTTTTTGATCTTAGGACAAACCCATTCATACTCCTAAAAAAATTACTGAAGGCCTTTAAAACATTTATTAATTCATTTTAAGATTAAAAATTCATTACATTTTAACGTGAATAATATATTTTTATGGGAACTAATCATATTTTCCAAAATAAGAAAGCTTTAGTGAGGAGAGTGGGATAGTTTTACATTTTTTCCAAATTTCTTTATGTCTGGCTTAATGTAAGACAACTAGATTCTCATATCTGCTTCTGCATTCAATCTGTTATAATAAGTTGTTTTGGTGTCTTTTATTATTATTATTATTTTTTAGAGACAGTCTTGTTCTGTTGACCACACTGGAGTGCAATGGTGTGATCGTAGCTCAATGCAGCCCCAACTCCAGGGCCCGAATGATCCTCCCACCTCAGCCTCCCAAGTAGCTAGGACTACAGGTGCTCACCACCATGCCCGGATAATTTAAAAAATATTTTTGTAGAGACAGGGTCTCGATAGGTTTCCCAGGCTGGTCTCGAATTCCTGGCCTCAAGCCATCCTCCCACCTCAGCGTCTCAAAGTGCTGGAATTACAGGTGTGAGCCACCAACCCAGCCTGTTTTTGATGTCTTAAAAAATGTCTAACCTCACATAGATACGTAGTTTAAAAAAGGAGAAGTGTTTTAAATCTCTTTTCAGATAACTGAGGGCATTTTTGTTTGATATCAAACCAAAACTCAAAAAGTAGCAATTTTTTTTGTTTTTGAGATGGAGTCTCACTCTGTTGCCCAGGCTGGGGTGCAATGGTGTGATCCTGGCTCACTGCAACCCCTGCCTCCCAGGTTCCAGTGATTCTCCCACCTCAGCTTCCGGAGTAGCTGGAATTATAGGCACGCACCCCATGTCCGGCTAATTTTTTTTTTTTTTTTTTTGTATTTTTAGTAGAGATCAGGTTTCACCGTGTTGGCCAGGCTGGTCTCAAACTCCTGACCTGAAGTGATCCACCCACCTCAGCCTCCCAAAGTTCTGTAATTACAGGTGTGAGCCACCGCGCCTGGCCAAGTAGAGATTTCTTAAAGGTTAGTTGCAGTGTGAAATCTAGTGGATTTGTTGGTACTCAGTTACATTGAAATCCATTGGGCTATCTTGTACTTTGAATGGATCTTTTGTTCATTGTTGATTTTATAACATCATGTATTGGTCGTTTGGGAAATGGTTTCACTGAGATTTTCAGCGCTTCTAAGTGCTGATGTAGTTTTTAATAAAATACTAAAAATGTCATATTAATATCACCACTCCTCAGGAGAGCTCTTGAAGTGTTGGAAAGTTGTCAGGCTTACAGTGTTAGATACGATTTTTCAAAAAAATAAAAAAATATATATATTTTTGAGACAGTCTTGCTCTGTTGCCCAGTCCGGAGTGTAGTGGCACAATCTCGGTTTACTGCAAACTCCACCTTCCAGGTTTAAGCAATTCTCCTGCCTCAGTCTCCTGAGTAGCTAGGATTACAGGCATGCACCACCATGCCCAGCTAGTTTTTGTACTTTTAGTAAAGACAGGATTTCACCATGTTGGCCAGGCTTGTCTCAAACTCCTGACCTCAGGTGATCCACACGCTTCGGCCTCAAGTGCTGGGATTACAGGTATGAGCCACCACACTCGGCCTTTATTTATTGATTGATTGATTGATTGATTGATTGATTGAAATGGAGTTTCGCTCTTGTTGCCCAGGCTGGAGTGCAGTGGTGAGATTTCAGCTCACTGCAACCTCCACCTCCTGGGTTTAAGTGATTCTCCTGCTTCAGCCTCCCAAGTAGCTGGAATTACAGGCATGCACCACCATGTCTGGCTAATTTGGTATTTTTAGTAGAGATGGTGTTTCTCTATGTTGGTCAGGCTGGTCTCGAACTCCCGATCTCAGGTGATCTGCCCGCCTCGGCCTCCCAAAGTGCTGGGATTATAGGCATGAGCCACTGTGACTGGCCTCTTTTTTTAAATTGTAGAAGAGTTTTCTTGAATTACAGTTTTTAATATTTTTTTTATTTCCCAATTGTGTTGCTTTGTTTTTTGTCTTCTGGGACTTGAATGTATGTTGGGCTTTCACTATCATTTCCTCTTGTACTCTTTTTATCTTTTCCACCAATTATCTTATTTAAAAAAGTTTCCTCTTTTTCACCCTCAATTTCCTGCAAAGCATAATCTCTTGTGTTTATTCATTATGTTCCTTTTAGTTTGTCTTCTTTTCTGAAATATTTCCTTTATGTAATTTTTCCTAAGTTCTGTGACCTGTGATTTGGATTATGCTCTTTTTTCCTGATATTCTTTATTACTCCTATTTTGTGGTTAGATTTCTTTTTTTTGGCAAAATTCTTTTATTGGCATATACATGTTACTCTGCTCCTCACTCTTTTTTTCTTAGGATAATTGTGTGTGGGATTCAACCATAGTTCTTTTTGGTTACCTACTGTTACTTGACATTGGATTCCTGGGCTTTGGGGGCTTGGAGGGCGGGGGTGGGGGCTCCAGACAGCATTTGTAGTTTCATGGTTCTAGAGCTCCCTCTTCATTGTTTTTGTGAAGTATTAAAATATTGGCCTTGTTAGGCGAGGCACGATGGCTCACACCTGTAATCCCAGCACTTTGGGAGGCTGAGGCAGGAGGTTCACTTGAGAGCAGAAGTTTGAGACCAGCCTGGGCCACATAGCAAGACCCCAATCTGTACAAAAAATTTAAAAATTAGCTGGGTGTGGTGGTGCATGCCTGTAGTTCCAGCTACTCAGAGGGCTGACATGGGAGTTCAAGGTAACAGAAGTTCAAGGTAACAGAAGCTATGATTGCACCACTGCACTCTAGCCTGGGAAACAGAGCAAGACCCTGTCTCAGAAAAAACCTCCAAAACAACACACTGATGAAAGTGTAGTCACAGAAGTTATATATCCAACAAAACCAGCTTGTGCCACAGGCATGTTTTATAGGCTTTAAAGCACAACTGCCTCTTACTCTGTGAGTACGTATTTCTTTTTTCTTTTTCTTTTTTTTGAGACTCCGTCACCCAGCCTGGAGTGCAGTGGCTGATCTCGGCTCACGGCACCCTCTGCTCCTGGGCTCAAGTGATTCTCCAAAGCCAGCCTTCCGACTAGCTGGAACTACAGGCACACACCACCATGCCTGGCTAACTTTTGTATGTTTGGTAGAGATGGGGCTTCGCCATGCTGCCCAGGCTGGTCTTGAAGTCCTGACCTCAAAGCGATCGGCGCACCTCAGCCTTGCAAAGTGCTGGGATTACAGGCATGAACCACCACGCCCAGCTCATGAGTACGTATTTCAGTGTACTCAAATGACTTCTCTCATTATTTGAGTTGTAAAGTTTCCCCTAAGACAGCATACTCTTAGCATTGCTCAACCAGAGCAAGGGTTTCCAAACTGTCGGAAGTCACTGGCTATTCATTTTCATCCTAAAATCTGTTTATTGAAAGAATAAACAGAGATGTCCTATTTCAAAATGTATGAGATATTTTTATTGTAGTAAAATGTATGTAAATATGATTTTCCATTCTAATTACTCTTCAGCATACCATTCAATGACATTAATTATAGTCACAATGTTGTACAATCATCAGCACTATATAATCTCCAAAATGTTTGTTCCTACAAATAAGAACTCCACCTATTAAGCAAGAACTCCCTGTTCCCTGCTTCCCATGAAATCACAGAATATTTGAAATTAAAAAGATATACATTAGGCCGGGCCCGGTGGCTCACGCCTGTAATCCTAGCACTTTGGGAGGCCGAGGTGGGTGGATCAGTTGAGGTCAGGAGTTCGAGATCAGCCTGGCCAACATGGAGAAACCCCGTCTCTATTAAAAATACAAAAAAAATTAGCCGCATGCCTGTAATCCCAGCTATTCGGGAGGCTGAGGCAGGAGAATTGCTTGAACCTGGGAGGCAGAGGTTGCAGTGAGCCAAGATCGCACCACTGCACTCCAGCCTGCTGACAGAATGGGGCTCCATCTCAAAAAGAATATATATATATATATATATATATATATTTGTGTGTGTGTGTGCGTTTAAGACCTAAGATATGGTAAATATAGGACAAAGGGTAATAAAATACAAAAATCATAGTAATTGTGGATAACTAGTCAGAAATAATCATAAGATAATATTAAGTAGGGGTTGTCATAAGTTTTTTCCCCCTTATCTGGAGCAAAATCAAACAGTAGAAAGCATTTTGCTTTTAGGTGGCAACATTCAGACCTCCTTTATACTCTGTTCTTTTTTTTTTTTGAGACAGCCAGTCTCAGTTGCCCAGGCTAGAGTGCAGTGGCACGATCTTGGCTCACTGCAACCTCTGCCTCCCAGGTTCAAGCAATTCTTGTGCTTTAGCCTCTCCAGTAGCTGGGATTACAAATGTGTGCCACCACGCCTGCCTAATTTTTTTTTTTTTTTTTTTTTTTTTGTACTTTTAGTAGTGACAGGGTTTCCCTGTGTTGGCCAGGCTGGTCTCGAACTCCTGGCCTCAAATGATCTACCTGCTTTGGCCTCCTAAAGTGCTGGGATTACAGGCATGAGCCACTGCACCCAGCCTATACTCTGTTCTTGATTTCATGTGGGAAAACGTATGTTGGCAAGAATGAGAAGGAATTAATTCAGGGTGGCCAGAAGAAGAAGGTGCTGGATTCAGAGCAAGCTTTTCACAAACAGGAAAACTATGGAAGAAACCCCTGCCTTCACACAATCACCAGACAAGCTTGGGTGTAAGTCTGGCCCCACCATGTAATGGCTCCATGGCCTGAGCAGCTCATGTCGCTTCTCCAAGCTTGGGTTTCTCATCTGTTGCACGGGGCAGTGGCACGTAGGCTGGGAAGTGCTCGCACAGGCCTGTCAGGAAGAGTGAGGACCTGGTCACTGTCAGCAAGTGAAAAATTGCTGTTTCTTGCACACAAATTAACTTCCCTTTGTGAAATACCCCAGGGCACTTGGTTGGAAGATCTCTGTGCTTCCTACACCAGCCCTGGCATGGGGAGTACCTGCCTGTCTAGGCTGGCACTGGCGGACTTTCCTCCACCCACCCGCCCTGTGCTCATCTCTGCCCTCAGGTGTGGGGAGACTGGGTGAGGCCTTTAAGAGTAGGTGCTTATCTCCCAATGGAAATTGATTGCTCAGCTTCCTAGTTCCTGGGGAGAAATCTTCAGTGTCTTCCTTCATCTCTTCCCAGGGTCATTAACACTGGTGCCAGCAAGTGCCCTGTGTGTTAGGATTTCACTGTCCTGATTTTACTGCTCAGAGAAAATCACTCTTAGAGTGTACCTCCAGGGTGAGCCTGCCTGTTAGGGACTTGGAAATAGTACAGGATCCCTCATAGCCCAGTAGGGTTGAGGGGGCGTATGTATAATTGATTCAGCTTTCCCAGAGGGCAATTTGGAAAATTATATCAAAACCTAAAATATGCACACCGTTTGATTCAGAAATCCCACTTGTGTTCATCTATCTCGAAAAAAATCAGTATGACTGTATAAACCTCTATAGAAAAGATGTTTATGAAGCATTGTTTACAATAAAAATGAAAATTGTTCATCTTCAGGGGAATGGTGACATAAATTGCAGTTATTGCACCAGATGGAATAGAGTGCGGCTGTTAAGAGTAAGATACTGATGGCAAAAGATGTATATGAGATGTTTTTATATTGAAAGAGTGAGCAACAGAATAAGCTATAAAATCATTTTTAAAAAGCACTGTGTGAGATGGGTTGATCACCTGAGATCAGCAGTTTGAGACCAGCCTGACCAATATGGTGAAACTCTGTCTCTACTAAAAATACAAAAATTAGCTGGGCATGGTGGTGCGCACCTGTAATCCCCGCTACTTGGGAGGCTGAGACAAGAGAACTGCGTGAACCTGGGAGGCAGAGGTTGCAGTGAGCTGAGATCGCACCATTGCACTGCAGGCTGAGTGACAGAGCAAGACTCCATCTCAAAAAAACACAAAAGCATTGTATGCACTTGTATGACTTGAAGTTGTTAGATGAGTACATTAGAAATAGGGTGGGATTAGACAAGATGTCACTGCCACTTCACTTTCTTGTCCCCCATGGCCTCCTCTGGGACAATTCATTCTTCCTTGATTTTCCTGGCCAAAGTATCATGCAAGCCATCCCATTTTTTTCTTTTCTCCTTCCCTTCTTTCCTTTTCCTCCCTTGCTTTTCTCCCCCTCCCTCCTCCCTCCCTGCCCTTCCTCCCTCTTTCTTTCACTTTGTTTTTTAGAGTAACGGTTTTAGGTTCACAGCAAAATTGAGCAGAAGGTGCAGAGAGACAGAGTTCCTATACACCTCCTGTCCCCACACACGTACAGCCTCCCCATCCATCAGCATCGCGTACAGAATGGTGCATTTGTTAAAATGAGACACATTATTATCACCCAAGGTTCATAGTTTTCATTAGGCTTCACTGTTGGTGTTGTAAGGCATCCACCATTACAGTATCATATAGAATATTTTCGCTGCCCTAAAAACCCCCCATGCTCCGCCTATTCTTCCCTCCCCTGAGCCTCTGGCAACCACTGATCTTTTTACTGTCTCCATAGTTTTGCCTTTTCCAGAATGTCATGGAGTTGGAATCATACGGTGTGTAGCTTTTGAGATTGGCTTCTTTCACCCAGCAATATGCATTTAAGGTTCATCCGTATCTTGTCATGCTTTCTCATTTCCTTTAAGTGCTGGATAATATTCCACTGTCTGGATGTACCACAGTTTATTTATTCACCTACTAAAGGACATCTTGGTTGCTTCTAAGTGTTGGCAGTTATGAATAAATCTGCTCTTAACACTGGTGTGAAAGTTTTATGTGAAAACAAGTTTTCAACTCCTTGGGTGAACACCAAGGGGCACGATTGCTGGACGGTATGGTAAGAGTATGTTTAGATTTGTAGGAAACTGCCAAGCTATCCTCCAAAGCAGATGCACCATTTTGCATTTCCACCAGCCATGCATGCGAGTTCCTGTTGCTCCACATCCTGGCTGGCACTTGTTGTAGTTAGTGTTGTTTCTCCATTCTAACAGATGTGTAGAGGTGTCTCGTTATTGTTGTTTTGAGACGGAGGCTCACTCTGTCACCCAGGCTAAAGTGCAGTGGTGTGATCTTGGCTAACCGCAACGTCTGTCTCCCAGGTTCAAGCGATTCTCCTGCCTCAGCCTCTTGAGTAGCTGGGATTACAGGCACGTGCTGCCATACCCGGCTAATTTTTGTATTTTTAATAGAGACGGGGTTTCACCATGTTGGCCAGGCTGGTCTCAAACTCCTGATCCTCCCGCCTCAGCCTCCCAAAGTGCTGGGATTACAGGCGTAAGCCATGCTCCTGGCTTTGTCTCGTTGTTAATCTGCATTTCCCTGAGGACATATGATGTGGAGCATCTTTCTATATGCTTATTTGCCATCTGTATCTCTTCTTGTGAGTCCAATTTCTATTTTTTAATTTTAATTTAACACGCATTCCCCAGATTACCATATTATTATATTTCAAAAGAGCATTTTTTTTTTTTTTTTTGAGATGGAGTTTTGCTCTTCTTGCCCAGGCTGGAATGCAATGGTGTGATCTTGGCTCACTGCAACCTCCGCCTCCCGGGTTCAAGCGATTCTCCTGCCTCAGCCTCCTGCTAGCTTGGATTACAGGCATGCACCACCATGCCTGGCTAATTTTGCATTTTTAATAGAGATGGGGTTTCTCCATGTTGGTCAGGCTGGTCTTGAACTCCCAGCCTCAGGTGATCTGCCCGCCTCAGCCTCCCAAAATGTTGGGATTACAGGCGTGAGCCATCGCGCCCGACCAAAAGAGCATTTCTAACTAAAATATTCGTAATTCAGAATTAGTTTACCCCCAAAATCAGTATTGTATATAGTATTTAGATTCTTAGATTAGCCAACAAAATTCTGCCTCAAACATTTCTCCCATAAATTAAAATACTAGTAATTTAATGAACCAAATCAAAACAAAGACTCCAATCCTACCTTCTTGAGCGCTGGCATTTGAGGGAAAGCACTCATTCATTCAGTAACTGTTTATCGAGTGCCCACTCAGCCTGGGTCTGCTGATGTCTCTTTCTTTAATGGAAGCCTTCCCCACCCCCACCCCGGAAAAAATACCATCTGTTTGTGGCCAGGTGAGGGTGGGGTTTGGAGGGTAAGGAATGGAAGGGTTGCTGGAGCCTGTCTGCAGATCCTGTGTGGATTAGGGAGCACCTGGAACAGCCGCCTTTTGTCCCAGCTGTGGGTGGCAGCTGCAGGGCTCAGGTGGTATCTGTGGAGGGCCTGCTGCCAGTCCCAGGGCAGGAGTGCCCTCATAGCTCAGCTTCAGTGCTGGGCATGGCCGGCGGTGAATGATCTGGACCTCCTGAGGGCAGGCAGGTTGCTTTGGTGTGGAGCCAGGTGTTTTGCAGAAAGTGCTTTAAGGTGTAAAATGAGAGTTTCCATGGAAGAAAAGGGACACTTGGACCTGGATTCTGGCTGAGAGATTTCCTGGGTGAGCGGAGAATTTGAAAGTGGTGACACAGAACTGGGTCCATTGAGTGCAGTAATGTGATAGGATTTGTTTCCCCCGACTTTGGGAGTGGCTTTATTTTGTCATGGAGCACACCTGGTTTGGCACTGTCCTGCCCGGGCAGTGAGGCCTGACGGGACATGACCGAAGTTTGGCTGTGTTTGGGTGTGTGGCACAACAAGGACAAACTGCTCTGATCCCCAGCAGTGAGTCAGGGACAGGAGCAGAATCCCGGTCACGTCCTGCCCTGAGCCAGGCTTGCCAGCCCTGGCAGCCTCGCCTGCTGTTACATAAACGGCAGGCCATGAATTCCAGGTGTCGGCACCCCCCTGCATCCAGAGGGCTCACTCCTGCAGCTTCCCTTTCCAAAGCAGCATTATTTAAAAGTTGCTTTCTCCAAGAAAATGGTATTTCTATCGTTGCGATTGCAGCAGTTAGACGATTAATGAAGCATTTTTTCCCTCCAAACATTGAGTGTTCCCAGTTTGGAGTCATTTTGCTTTTCTTTTTGGTTGAATGATGGTGATTTTTTTTTTTTTTTTTTTTTTTAAAGAAACAGGGACTTGCTCTGTCCTCCAGGCTGGAATGTGGTGGCGCAATCATGGCTGACAGCAGCCTTGAACCCCTGGGCTCAACCAATCCTCCCACCTCAGCCTCCTGAGTAGCTGCAACTACAGGCCTGTGCCACCATGCCCAGCTACTTTTAATTTTTTTTTTTTTTGCAGAGATGGAGTCTCACCATCTTGCCCAGGCTGGTCTGGAACTCATGGCCTCAGGTGATCCTTGTTCCCTAGCCTCCCAAAGTGCTGGCATTACAGGCACGATCCACTGTGCCCGGTCCATCCTTAGTTTTCAACATAGATATCAAAAAAGCATTCAGCATGAACCAGTCGAAAGATGATCCTTACTCTGAGAAAGAAAGGCTCACGTTGGAAGCCTGTACTCCTTAGTTAGAACCAAGACTTGATTTTTCTGGTGACAGGAAATTCTTTTTATTGCAGATCTCTCAAAGGCCTTGGTTCTGACAGAAATTGGCCCCAAACGTGACCCTGCGACCCTGAAGCTGTTCCTGAGTAACATGGAGCGGCTGCTGCATGCCAAGGCGCATGGGTAGGAGGTTCAGTTCGGGGAACACCCTGCAGCCCGAGGAGGAAGAACGGAACACGGACTTGCTAAAACTCCCCTGGGATTTGAGGAGGAAGCCTGACGTGGAAAGAGTGGGAGGGGCACATGAACATCAGACTCAGGGAAGCCCTGTGAGGGGCCCGCCTGCAGTAGATACTCCTATAGCCAGGCCTCTGGAGATGCGTGGGCACCTGTGTTGCTTCTGATCAGAATCCATGGAACTGACCTCATGCTGCTCAACCAGCGAATGGTGCAAATACTTACAGTCCTTCCCGAGGGGGCCTGGCGTCAGACAGGTTTATCAAAGCCCAGTGAATCCTCTTTGTCTCTTGCCTTCCCAGTAGGGCTGTGCTGTGAGCCCTAGCCATGTGAGACCACTGACACTTAATGTCACGTTCAGTAGAGGAGGATTCAATTCTCTGGTTGCTGCATCTCAGGTGCTCAGTAGCTAGGTCAGCTGGGAGCTGTCATGGCACAAGGCATTTGCGTCTGGCGGAGGCCTGTTGGTTGGTGGCTCCAGGCCCTATATTCAGCCTCCAGAGCTTTGGCAGAAGTGCTGTGCTTCATTTTTCACTAGGGAAAATGCCCAGCCGGGGTACCTGGCTGAAGTCGGCTTGCACACCACAGAAAAGGCTCCACTCCCGCCTGCATCTGTCCTCCCTTCCCTCTCCCCAGGGTCCGAGTGATTGGAAGCTCCACATTGGCACTCTGCCACCTGGCCTCAGGGGCCGCGGATGCCTATTACCAGTTTGGCCTGCACTGCTGGGATCTGGCGGCTGCCACAGTCATCATCAGAGAAGCAGGCGGCATCGTGATAGACACTTCGGGTGAGCTCTCCTGTCCCTGAAATGCAGCGGCAGAAACTAGACTGAGAGACACTGTGGGTGGGGCACTTCCTGAAGTCCCCACCAACTGAATTTCCCACCTTCCCCAGAGTTTCTGTTTTTTTTTTTTTTTTTTTTTTTTTGAGACGGGGTCTTGGTGTCACACAGGATGGAGTGCAGTGGTACAATCTCGGCTCACTGCAACCATCCTACTCACGGGTTCAAGCAATTCTCCTGCCTCAGCCTCCTGAGTAGCTGTGATTACAGGTGCGTGCTACCATGCCTGGCTAATTTTTTGTATTTTTATTAGAGACGGGGTTTCATGGTGTCAGCCAGGATGCTCTTGATCTCCTGACCTCGTGATCCGCCTGCCTCGGTCTCCCAAAGTGCTGGAATTACAGGCATGAGCCACTATGCCCGACCCCATTCCACATTTTTTCTTTTTTTTTTGACACGGAGTTTCACTCGTCACCCAGGCTGGAGTGCAATGGCATGATCTCGGCTCACTGCAACCTCCGCCTTCCAGGTTCAAGCAATTCTCCTGCCTTGGCCTCCCGAATAGCTGGGACTAAAGGCACTCACCACCATGCCCAGCTAATTTTGTATTTTTAGTAGAGATGGGGTTTTGCCATGTTGGTCAGGCTGGTCTCGAACTCCTGACCTCAGGTGATCCACTCGCCTCGGCCTCCCAAAGTGCTGGGATTACAGGCCTGAGCCACCATGCCCGGCCTCCATTCCATATTTTAAAGCCCCCATCACTCTGATTTTACCACTAGAGCACCTGAAGGCTCACGTATGTGCAAGCAGGTCTCCAGCCCATGCATCCAGAGCTGTTTCATATCCCTCAGGAAGATGCAAGGCTTTATCATCTTGCCCGAGCTTCTTCGAGTGTGGGTCCCGCAGCAGCGGTGCACCCCCAGGAGCTTGTGGGCAGGTAGCCTCAGCCCCACCCAGACCTGTTGAGGCAGAGCCTTGGTTTCACAAGCCCCTGGCTGACCCCTGTGCACAGTCAAGCTTGAGAAGGGCAGCTCCCCTGTTCGGGTCTAGCCCATTGCTTGCATTTCTTAGGACTTTTATGTTCTCCATCTCTTAAGGCAGTGGCAGCTTCAGAGCCGCACTCTGTTCTGTGCAGCCCTTGACTGCATTCACACTGGGGTGGGGCGGGAGAGGCTCCATCCCTCTATTCTTTGCCGAATTCACTCCTAGACCACCTGTTTAATACGAGTGTTGGGGCTTGGGCACGGTTCCATGTGCCATTTCCTGTGCTGTGTGCATGTGGGATAAGTTGTTACACAACATTGTTCAGCCCTCTCTGGTAACCCGGATGCCTGGCTCTCTCTGTCTGTCCCCAGGTGGACCCCTCGACCTCATGGCTTGCAGAGTGGTTGCGGCCAGCACCCGGGAGATGGCGATGCTCATAGCTCAGGCCTTACAGACGATTAACTATGGGCGGGATGATGAGAAGTGACTGCGGCTGAGGCAAAGCTGCTCCCAAGGCCTCCCTGGGCTGCTGTGGGCTCCTGGGGAGGTGGCCCTCGTGGCCCACGCTCCATGCCAGTGGCTCACGCTCTGCTCCTGGCTACCCCAGAGGGAGTTGTCACGCTACAGTGAGTGGCTGGCCTTTTAAATCGACGTCTCTCTCACCAGGATTTGGTGTTTAGCTGTTTCTCTCTTTAATCTCACGTAGCCTTTTTCAGGTTAGTACGTGTTCTTCTGTCAGGGCCAAAACTCAAATCTCCTGTGAAATACGTATTGATAATCCAATCTTGATTTTTCCCCCCAGAATATAAATCTCAGGTAATAAGGCTTTAGAACTGCTGATAAAGCGGATCGTTCTCAGGCCCTCCCCCCGGAGTACTTCAGAATGCAATAAATCAAAATAATGGCCCTGTGTGTATCTGTTTCCTCTATAAGCATGTCGCCTGATTCCCAAACAACTCTGTGGCTCTCATCCACTGCTGTGGATCTATGCTCTCAGGAAGCTTTGCGAATGAAACCCAAAGTCCATGCGAATGAAACCCAAAGTCCATGCGAATGAAACCCAAAGTCCAGTGTGTGCCAGCTGCTGCCTCTGATGAATACCCTGAAGGCGACCCCAGTAATATCATGTGAGTGTTCAGAAGCCAAGACATGGGACAGACAGAAGGAAACTAATCTCTGAAAGCTGTTGTTTCTGTGATCAGCTTTTTTGTTTTTGTTTGAGTTGGGGTCTTGCTCTGTCTCCCAGCCTGGAGTGCAGTGGTGTGATCACAGCTCACTGTAGCCTTGACCTCAGGACTCAAGTGATCTTCCTGCCTTAGCCTTCTGAGTTGGGACCACAGGCATGCACTAGCATGCCAGGCTAATTTTTAAAAATTTTTTGGTAGAGATGGGGTCTCACTGTGTTGCCCAGGCTGGTCTCAAACTCCTGGACTCAAGTGATCCTCTCACCTCAGCCTTCCAAAGTGCTGGGATTGAATCACCACACCTGGCCAATCTGTGATCAGTTTAAAGAGGAGAAACTGGGCCTTACTTGTTTCTCTTTAGGAGGCGGAATGGTATGTAAGAATAATTCTAATGAGGCTATTAACTGGCTGGCCAGACATCTTTCCTGAAGTTTAAGAATGAGAAAGTCTTGGCTGGGTGCGGTGGCTCATGCCTGTAATTCCAGCACTTTGGGGAGCCGAGGCAGGTGGATCACTTGAGGCCAGGAGTTTGAGACCAGCCTGGACAACATAATGAAACCCTATCTCTACTAAAAATACAAAAATTAGCTGGGTATGGTGGCGCATGCCTGTAATTCCAGCTACTTGTGAGGCTGAGGCCCGAGAATCATTTGAACCCGGGAGGTGGAGGTTGCAGTGAGCTGAGATCGCACCCCTGCACTCCAGCCTGGGCGACAGGAGACTCTGTCTCAAAAAAAAAAAGAAGAAAGATTAACTGAATTTAAAAAATAACATATTCCCAGAGGTTCACTGTAGGGTGAGCACTGTGTCCTGCCACGTTTGGAATCGTTTTGTCTTTGAAGAAGTGGAGCCTCTCCCAGGGCTGGCTCGGTGCCCTTGTCTTTCCAGCAACAGCGTTAGTTATAGTCATCTTTGAGACTGGCTTTTCTTTCATCTCTGGAGAGAGCTTGATTCGTCATCTTATTGCTTTGTCTGAACTAATTTTGTTTAGTAGAGCTTTTCAATAAATAGTTTGGATTTTTTAAATGAGTTTAAAATATGCTCATGTTTCTCCAAATTGCTGATTATTCCTTTAGGCCTTCGTTAGCCCATCTTAATTTTCTCAGAATCTACTCAAAACAGATCTGAGTATTTATACAGATGTGCAAGAAATTTCTTACATTCTCATGGATTTTGAGATGTAGTGCTTATTAGTCAAATAATATCTGGAAGTTTTCTTCAACAAAATAACTCTCGCAGCACGTTGAGAGGCTGAGGCAGGATTGAGGCCAGGCATTCCAGATCAGCCTGGGCAGCATAGCAAGACCCCATCTCTACAAAAAAAAACCCAAAACTAGATGGATGTGGTGCACAGCTACTTGGAAGGTTGAAGTGGGAGGATCCTTTGAGCCCAGGAGTTTGAGGTTACAGTGAGCTATGATTGCACCACTGCATTTCCAGCCTAAGCCACAGAATGAGACCCTGTCTCTATAATAAAAGTTTTTAATTAGCCAGGTGTGGTGGTGCGTGCCTGTAGTCCTAGCTGCTTGGGAGGCTCAGGCAGGAGGATGGCTGGAACCCAGGAGGTCGAGGCTGCAGTGAGCCATTATTGTTCCACTGCACTCCAGCCTGGGTGACAGAGCGAGACCCTGTCTCAACAAACAAAACAAACAAAAAAACAAAAAGAAAGAACTGCTCCCCTCCCCAACCTCAGGAAAGGCCCTCCCAGCCCTTGGGTCAGGACAGCAGGAGGCCCTGAGGGAGCTTGAGCTGACTCCTGCTTCTGCTTCTGCTTCTGCTCTGTCCGGAGTCTCAGGCTGCCTTTAGCAAGTATTCCGCATGAGCGTCATCCCTGCGGCTTCAGGAGAAGCAGAGTGAACCTTGGAGAAAAGAGAGGCACCCAAGGTGGGGACCTGCGGGCTTGCCTCATTCATCCCTGGACAAGCCTCCCAGAAACGAAATGGGCTGCTCACCTCTGTGATCCTCAGAGTTAGCAAAACTGCTTGCTATGTCATTTAGACCTCTTACAAAATGATATTCATCTATCACTGGTGATGACATTCATTCTGAATTCCACTCATAGGCTTCAGGATACTTGCCCTCATTTTTTTTTCCCTTCATTTCAACAGTTTTCACTGAGTGTCTTGTGGACATGAGTCATCAAATGTTTTGCTGCCTTTATGATCCAATCCCAAATAAAAAGTAAAACATTTGTCCTAGTGCATCACTGTCACCACTCAGACCAGGAGTCAGGACGCGGATTGATGTTCAGGTAGCTGTGTGGCCTTGAGAGGGCCATGTCAGCTCTCTTTTGGTGCCAGGTGAAGTCTGTACTGGGGGTCTGGCTGCCTCCCTCACAGGGTTGGGAGCATGTCCCAGGACGACACCTAGGAGAGTACCATGAAACCAGAGAATGACGGAGGCAGTCTCAGTCAGCGTTGAGATTTATTTTGCCAAGATTGAGGATGTGCCTGGGAAAAGGACACAAGCCACTGTAGGATCTGTGGTCTGCACTTTTTTCCAAAAAGGATTTTGGGCGCTTCAGTATTTAAAGAGGAAAGAAAACAAAAGAGGGTATGGTCTCATCCTTGATTAGAGCTCGTTAATCCACATACTGCAGGCAAGGAGGGGGAAGCGGAACAGTGGGTTACATGGGGGAGACGGTATTTTTCCTCTCCTCTCATCCCTCACCGGGAAGATATGCTGTTAATTTACATCGTCTGGGTGAGAGAGGCCACCTGGGAAGACACTGCCTTCTATCTCTAGCCATTCTGTTGAGGAACAAAAGGAAGGTCGGTGTTCCTCCTGACTCAGCTTCCAAGCTTACCTTTTCCCTTGGGCATAGTGAGTTTGGGGGTCTCCAGATTTTACTTTCCATACACATCAACTGTGGTTGGTTTTTTGTTGTTTTTGTTTTTTACAGTTAAATATATTATTAAAGCATGAAAAGATCATGATGTCTCCAATAACCAAATGTTATTCAAGAAAACTAGAAATATTTAGATTATACCACAGCTTAGACAGGCTTTGCCTGATTTATTAAGCCATTTACAATCAGTTCTATCATCCATACCCAGGACTTCCGGGCTGGAAAAATACATCCTATAGCTTTCCCAGTAGGAACCACATTCATCATTGCTTTTTTCTGTGGAGGCAATGTATAAATAGAGCAGCTTTTTGAAAACATAAGCAGAGGCCCAAATCAGTGGCCTAAAACTTGGATGATCTGGGGAGGCACCAGGCCATCTGAACCAGCGCTTTGTCCCCAGCAGATGTTGGGACATGCAGGGGCTATGCATGTCAGCACAGGGGGCCACTCAGCAGCCGGGTAAACTTGAGGTACTGGCCTAGCCTCTCTGTGCCCCTCTGTAAAATGAATTAAACTGCACTCCTCCCAGGACTGTGTGGATCAAATGAAATAGTGCATGCACGTGACCACATCAAACAGATGGACAAGAAGAGCAGAAAGACTGCAGGAGCCAGGACAGAGGACCCAGAGTCAAGGGCTTCTCACCCCAACTGCTTCTTGCCTCTTTCTCTGCCCTGGACTTCCTTTCCCAGTTTCAGCCCCACAAATTGCTTCCTCTTTGTGTGAGTGAAGGCTTCAGGGTGGAGTGAAGCTAGTCACTTGTAGAGGCCCCTGTAGAGGAAGATGAAGATGAGAAGTCCATGTAGATGGCATCACCGAGTGCCAGGACTGGATGCCCCAAACACCACAAGCCATGTCGCATCCTGGGGGTCGCCTGGGCAGGCCTCTCTACCATTTAGTCACTGCAGTCAGCTACAGCCCACAGCAGATCTAAAACAAAAGCACCTGTAATCTCAGCATATTGGGAGGCTGAGGCGAGCAGATCACCTCAGGTCTGGAGTTCAAGACCAGCCTGGCCAACATGGTGAAACCCTGTCTCTACTAAAAATACAAAAACTAGCCAGGCATGGTGTCGTGCACCTGTAATCCCAGCTAGTTACATGGCTGAGGTGGGAGACTCGTTTGAACCCAGGAGGCAGGGGTTGCACTGAACCAAGATTGCATCACTGCCCTCCAGCCTGGGTGATAGAGTGAGACCCTGTCTCAGAAAAAAACAACAAAAAACCCCACAAAAGCAGTGAGTGTGGGATGGGTGACGCAGATGGAAGATGAAGACGTAGGGGACAAAAGCAAGGGGCTATTGCAAAGGATCTGGAACTGCAGCTTCAAAGCCAGGAGTGCAGAGCCCGTGGGGCAGGGCCACCATCACTAAACTGGAATGGAGAGGCCAAAATCTGAACCTGAAGTTGGAAGAAGAGGGGAACAACACCGCTGGCCTCTGGGAATGGGAAGATCCTAAGGGGTGACTCCAGTGCCCAAGTTCCTATGCAAGAAGTAGCCACACAACTTCCCAGAGTGTGGCATCTCACAAGGAGCAGAGGTTTCAGTTTGTCACTAGTCACATGTCCCGTCTTACCAGATGCATAGGTAAACAGGAGCCCTGACCTCCAGGAACCCCCTGGACTCTGCAGGCTCACAGTGCCCGCGTGACAGCACCGAGCAGGCCAGCTGGAGATGTGAGGGGGGTGGGGAAAAGGATCTGGAGCAGGATGTTCAGGTAGAGGCAGAGAGAAATGGCTAGGGCTGCAGTGGGATAAACACGTGGTTCTGCTTGGCTGCAGGAGGCATCTTGTTGCTTGGAGGGTTGGGGAGGTGATGCTTAAACACATAGGCCAACTCGGGGCCTTGGGCACCATGTGGAGCAGTCCAAACTTTGTGCTGGAAACACGGGGAGGATACTTGTGATACTGCGTGTGTCAGTCCTTCTACTGGAGAGCTGGTTCTAACCATCATCAAGTGAGAGGAGAGGAAGCCCTCAGGTGGCAGGTGTATCTCTATTCGGTGAGAATGTCATGGTTGTCAGTCATGCTATAGGGTTGCCCTCCAGTAGAATGATCTGATATGTCTATGCAGAAAGTAATTTGGAGGGTTTTGACAGTGTCTCCTGTGGGCTTCTCGGACTGAATAATGGAATCTCAGAAGGGGATGTCCCTTAGCAATCACCTGTTCCAACCTTCTGACCTCCAGGTCTCACCAGTCACTAGTTTTGTGGTAGATTGCAGGCATGTCTGGTGCGTCCAACACTAGAAAAGTCACGGCATTGGACAGGGAATCCCCTGCCAACCTTGGGGGAAGGAGCTGGCGTGTAGGGCCAAGAGTTGCTCAGGTTGGATGGTGTGCCACCTCATAGCCCTTGCCCAGATCCAGACAGCTGGCAATCCTCCATTTCCTGCCCCTGCCCGAGGATGGCCTCAGTCCTCATACCTGTGCCGGCTGAGAGTGTCACATCCACCATCTGGACCACGTTCCCCAAAAACCATCTCAGTAAGGGTCAGAATGGCCTGCAACTGCTGCCAACTGGAAGTTTCCATGCTGTGAAGTCATTAATTATCCACCTATAAGTCTGGAATGCCATCAGGTGGTTCCAAGGTCTCCGCCTTTGACAGGGTGGTGGCTCCCAGCCACTCCCATGCATCAGGCCTGCCTGTGCACGGAGGGCCAAGTCTGTTGGGCCCCTTGGCTTGGAGAAGAGTTTCACTGAGATATTAGTAACTGTGAGTCACCACACGCAGCAGTTGTGCAGGTGTCAGGCTAAAAAGAAGCTCAGATAGGACCCAGAACAAATGGGCTCACTTGGGACTAGGCAAGGGATTATAGTTCAGGATGTGTGTGCTATAATGATGGATCAGGGCATATCCAGGGATGTCGTGGCAAAGATAAATTTTTATTTTTATTTTTTTTTGAGATGGAGTCTCGCTCTGCTCTTGGCTCAATACAACCTCTGCCTTCTGGGTTAAAGTGGGTCTTCTGCCTCGGCCTCCCGAGTAGCTGGGATTGCAGGCACTCGCCACCATACCCGGCTAATTTTTGTATTTTTAGTAGAGATGGGGTTTCGCCACGTTGGTCAGGCTGGTTTCGAACTCCTGACCTCAAGCGATCTGCCTGCCTTGGCCTCCCAAAGTGCTGGGATTACAGGCATGAGCCACTGCACCTAGCCAAAGAGGAATCTTTTAAAGACAAACAGATGTACACATGAGCGGCTTTGAAACAAGGCTCGTAGGTGACAGAAGCTCACTGCAGGAGTTGGCTCTGTTGATTGGGGGAGGCGGCTGTTGCC
The DNA here is from genome assembly GCF_000001405.40 of Homo sapiens. NCBI lineage: Eukaryota > Metazoa > Chordata > Mammalia > Primates > Hominidae > Homo > Homo sapiens. The sequence goes on from NC_000018.10 coordinate 12,037,281, forward strand.
AGGTCAGTGTTGCGTGCTGGTGGCAGATCTGGAATACTGCGGCCTCAAGAAGTCCTTGCACTAAGTCGTGATGCTGGTCTGGGTGCAGGAAAGTCTTGGGATAAGTCCTGTTTCAGGCATGTGGGCGTGAGGGCTTCTTGATGGCCTCCCACCACTCCATTTTGCTGGAGTTTAATGTAAGTGACTCCATTTTGGTACCAGCAGCTTTCTCAAAGGTTTTGGGGTTTTTTTGCTTTTGGGTTTCAACAACAGGAATTGAATCAAAGCACTTAACATGTGTTACTATTAAGATATGTCTCTGTTTTCACATTCTATAGAGTTAGTTTTTGTGTTTTTTTTTTTCACTTTGTAAAAGAAGGGAATATATATTTAGGTTTGATATCTCCAGATTTTAGGCCGGGTGAGGTGGCTCATGCTTGTAATCCCAGCACTTTGGGAGGCCAAGGCAGGTGGATCACCTGAGGTCAGGAGTTTGAGACCAGCCTGACCAACATGGTGAAGCCCCGTCTCTACTAAAAATGCAAAAATATTAGCCGGGCATGGTGGCCCACGCGTGTAATACCAACTGCTTGGGAGGCTGAGGCAGGAGAATCGCTTGAACCTGGGAGGCGCAGGTTGCAGTGAGTCGAGATCACACCACTGCACTCCAGCCTGGGCAACAAGAGTGAAACTCCGTCTCAAAAAAGATATCTCCAGATTTTAATAAAATCAATATTCGTATGCAAAAGTTTAACAATGTTTCCCTTTTTGCATTATTTGAACTAAATGCAGTTGGCCTTCTACCTGTTCTCCTGGCAGAAGGCGAAGGTGGAATGTCCCAGCTGCCTACTAGGCAATAGTGCCTATGGCGAAAACAGCTCCTGGCTGGCAGGGGGAAGCTGATTTGGGAGGCGCCATCACTAAGTAATGGAAGAGAGCTATGCTATGGGTGTGGTGATTCCTGCTAGGGGCACCCTGGGGCTCCTGGAGAGACTGGTTTCTGCAGGGAATGAGCTTCCAGGCCAGGCGGCCTCCACACGTGGAGATGTGAGTGGGCTCTGTCCTCCCTCGCAGCCGGCTGTGTGGACTCTGTAAGGGCTCCTGAGGAAGAGGAATCCGGGGGACCGGTTCCTGTCCTGCAGCCTCAGGGTGGGCCGCTGCCAGGCGCGTCCCTGCACGCGTAGAAGGAAGGCGCTTTCAGACGCGAGGGCGGCTTCGTCATCTCCTCCCGGTGGGTGCGTGCTGCCAGCGCGGCCTTTAGATGCTTTGGGCTCCGACTCTGTCTCCCTCTTCTTCAAATCATGAGGGCACTCGGGCACCCCGGTGTGAGAGGCAGGTGGTCCCAGAGTCCGTGTCACCTGGGTCACATCTCCAAGGCCCCAGGCCGCCCCCGGGCGGCCCGCCCCCAGTCCCCGCAGCCCGGAGCAGGATGGGCCCGGGCTGGACTGAGGGGCTGGGGCGCCCGTCTGCCCTGATGGGCGCAGCTGTCTGGGACCACGCGGTGCCCCGGGTCGGCCCCCAGCGTCGCCATCACCTCCCCCAAGACGTCCCCACGCGGCGGCCACACTGCGCTCCAACGACCCGCGCTCTCGGACCCGGTCACACTGACGGCGGTGACTCCCGAGTTCCCGGGACCAAGCGGGCCCGCCCTGGGAGCCTGAGCTTTCTCCTCACTCTCAGGGAGCCCTGGGCTGCGAGGCGACAGCACAACGGGAACAGACTCGCCGGGACCAGCCACCACTTGGGGTTGTCTCTGCAACCCACGCTCCGCGCCGCCCTGACCCGGTACCGGCCCGCGCGGCGGTATAGGCGGGCGCTGGGTGCTGGTCGCTGGGCGCGGAGGCTTTCTTTGCCAAGGGCAGCGCGCCCCCTGCTGTCCGAGCGGAAGAACTGCGCAGCACGCGAGGCCGCAGACGCCCTCTGGTCAGGGCCCTGCAGAATGGCTTGGGCTTGGGACTCGTCCTGCGCCCTTGGGCGAGGCCATTTGTCCCTGGGTCGGGAGGAGCTTAACCGTGGGGCTCGGCTGTATCCGCGAATGGCAGGGGCACAGGACAGCGGGGACTGTGACGGAACACATGCCGTTATTCCATGCGTTGTGCCGTGCTGTGAGTGCATAACCAAAAAATACCAACTCAGTCCATGGCTAAAGTAAGGATATGCAATAAAAATTTAAGCCTGATGAGAAAAAAAGTGAGAAAACTAGTTCACCCAGAGTTTAATCAAGTTTTTGACAAGAGGGTGTTGTTTTTGTTTTTTAAATTGAAACAGGATTTGGGGGCTGAGTTATTGCATGCAGCAGGGTTAAACAAATTTACATTTTATCAAAATAAAAAGATGCTTAAAGAATACATTGATAGGCCGGCACGTTGGCTCACACTTGTAATCCCAACACTTTGGGAGGCCGAGGCAGGCGAATCACCTGAGGTCAGGAGTTCAAGACCAGGCTGGCCAACATAGTGAAACCCCATCTCTACTGCAAATACAAAAATTAGCCAGGTGTGGTGGCAGACGCCTGTAGTCCCAGCTACTCAGGAGCATGAGTCAGGAGAGCCTCTTGAACCCAGGAGGCCAAGGCTGCAGGAGCTGAGATTGCGCCATTGGACTCCAGCCTGGGTGACAAGAGCAAAACTCCATCTCAAAAAACAAACACACAAAAAACAATGATAGCATATATTTTATCTCTTGTAGTACAAATCCTCATATTGACTGTTGCAGAAAAATACCTGTAATGCCTTAAACAACAGTTTTAAGAAACATCAATGACCAGCAAGTTACAAACAAAATGCAGTGATCAACATATTTAACTGTCCATGTATGAAGCTTTTACAAACACATTCAGTCTTCACTGTCTGAGCAAATCAGTTTTAATTTCTTCATAGTCCTTCATCTGTCTTTTCACATGACACTTGGCCAGTGGTGAATTTATAATGTAACAGTATTTTAGACCAGTTTCCCTCTCCATACTTCCTCATGCTAGATCTCAAATTCATGTCTTCTTCCCAAAGCCATGCCTGTTTTTTTTTTTCTTTTTTTTTTTTCTGGATAGATGTTTTTCAGCAGTCACTGGTTGACTTTGAGGTACTCTCTTGTTTTCTGTGGCTCTTCTGATTTGACAAGAGGTTGTTTTTGTCTTTGTATGGCTACAACAGTAACTTTGGGAAACCATTTAATCAGGTTTGGCTAAGTATAAGATGGAATCTGAGTTATGCTTCCGGACACTGACGTGTGCAATTTTGTGTTGGTAACAAGTATTGCCAATTAAATAAATATTTGAAGAACGGAGCCATGGCTTTATTTTCAAAATCTTCCCAGAACACTCAGAAAAATCTTATTTAACTCGACTGAACATGCCAATCATCATTTATTTAATATGTCCCAACTACATCAGTTACTAGCTATGAGAGAGACCTTGGACAGGATTTTTACATTATCTGTGCCTCAGTGGCATCATCAGTGAAATAAAGATAATCATGGTACCTATTCATAGGTTAAGGATTAAGTGAGAGATATATTGCTGGTGAGGAAAAATGTTTCCTCCACCCTCTTAGGTTCAGTTAATGGGGACCTGCAAATTACACTGAAAATAAAGATTAATAAGAGAAAAAGTATACAATTTTTGTTAATGTTTATGTGCATAGGAATTCACAGAAAAGAAGTGGAACTCAAAGAAGCAGCGAGACTCAGGGGCTGATAACTTTAACAAAGAAAAGAGGATTTGACCTTGAGGGAGGACAAGGCACTGGGAAGTGACTGGGGAGTATTTGGGGAAGGTGATGGAAGACAAGGCTATTTCAGAAAGGCTTGTTTATGTGGACTCATCTTGGTGCTAACTCCGGTGATAAGAGCCACTCTATTCTTGGTGGGGGCGAGGGGGACACCTTCACAGGGTACTTTATGCCACCTTCACAAGAAGGCATTTATGATCTGATTTCAGGCAGAAAAGGAGAAGACAGAGAACTCTTTCAGCACCTGTGGATCCTCCATTACCTTCAGCTCAAAATAATCCTTATGCCACAATGGCATATTGTGGAGTGGCATCATTTAGGCCCTTCATTTCCCTGTCTGAAACTTCTCTATGATGTGTCACATTCCAGAAGCGAAGTTATTTGATTGTTCCCATTAAACCAGTCTCTCTGCCCTGGGAATATCTCAGTCCAGTTAAACAGCTGTGTCTCATTTCAGGAGGTGGTGGTGCAGGTGGGGGTGGGGCACCCCCAAAGGTGGGTCTTTATGTGTGCAAGCAATCAGGCATTGAATGAGGGCATTTCTATGGATACAAAAGAAATACAAAGATTAACCATCGGTGCTGACTATAGATCCTGTTTCTAAGTTCAGAGGGCCATTAGTTCAGATTTCTAGATATTGGTCTCCAAGGATCCTTACATAGCGGAATGAGGATGGCAGTTACAGCATCGCAGTCCTGTTATTTCCTGGCGCTTGGAGGATTGTGCTCTGGTGAACTTTCTGAGTCACCCAAACTGCTGTGGTGATGATTCTGTTAAAGTTACACTGAGTGATTCAGCTTCAGGTTTCAGGGTTTCTGGAAAAGGGCAGTTTTAGTTCTCAGTGATGCCAAATTAGGACAGGGGAGAATACTGGAAACACTCATTACTGACAACATGCACAAGACGGCCAGATCCAGTTTACAAAGAGGTGAAAATAACTCAAAGACAGTAAACATGACAAGTATTTGATAACCCACCAGGATGGGTTGTAGTTTTCCACTGAAACAAAATTTCTCTCTAGAATCACCTCCATTTTTATCAAAGATAATCAAGACAGGCATGATGGCTCATACCTATAATCCCAGCACTTTGGGAGGCTGAGGCAGGAGGATTGCTTGAGCCCAGTAGTTTGAGACCAGCCTGGGCAACATAGCGAGACCCCATATCTACAAAAAAATAGAAAATCTAGCCAGGTGTGGTGGCATGTGCCTGCAGTTCCAGCTACTCAGGAGGCTGAGATGGGAAGATTGAGACTTGGGAGGTTGAGGCGATCTTTGTGTTTTTTTTTTTCTTTTGAGATGAGTCTCGCTGTGTCACTCAGGCAACAATATAGTGGTGATCAAAACTCACTGCAGCTATGTTGAGAGTCCCCACCCCAACATAATGCACTGCTCCTTCTGTGCACCCAGCACTCGGCTGTGTTTCTACAGCATGGAACACTGATGACCTTGTGTACCTGTTTGTGTTCATGTTTGTCTCCCTTTGCTTCAAATTGTCAACTTCTTCAGGACAGGAATGATGTCATTATAATACTGTAACTCCAGCACCCAGCTCAGAACCTAACTATGGTAAACAAAAAAGTAATAAGAAACGTTTAATATAGGCACTCAATATGGCCAGGAATTGTGCTAAGTGCTTTATATACTGAATATACACCCCCAAATATGCCACTTTGGCATAAGGATTATTTTGAGCTGAGGAAACTGAGAATGGGCACATGCAGGACGAGCTGTCTGCCCTCCCCTTTTCTGTGTGAAAGCAGGGCATAAATTCCCCTGTGAAGGTGCCCCCTCTCTCCATGCCAGGAGGGGAGAGTGGCTCTTCTCACTGGAGAGGGAGTGAGCATGAACAAACCTTGCTAAACTCACCGTCACCTTCTGTTAGCATCCCCCATATGTTCCTAGCCACTTCTTCATGATTTCCCATCCATGAAGCCCAAACCTCCTATTCTCTGTTAAAATGGCAGGTAAGCCCGAGTCTAACCACTTTTTTGAGTTTCACTTCTTTTCTGTAAATTCTCATGCACATAAAACATTTATTTAAACATTTTTGTTATTAATTTGTTTATTTTTGTAGAAATGGGGTATTGCTATGTTGCCCAGGCTGGTCTCAAACTCCTTGTCTCAAGCAATCCCCTGCCTCAGCCTCCCAAAGTGCTGGGATTTCAGATGTGAGCCACTGCACTCAGCCACGTAATTTTTTTTTTTTTTTTTTTGAGACAGAGTCTCACTCTGTCGCCCAGGCTGGAGTGCAATAGCAGATCTCGGCACACTGCAACCTCCATCCCCAGGATTCTAGCGATTCTCCTACCTCAACCTCCCGAGTAGCTGGGATTACAGGCGCCTGCCACCATGCCTGGCTAATTTTTTTATATTTTTAGTAGAGATATGGTTTCACCATGTTGGCCAGGCTGGTCTTGAACTCCTGACCTCAGGTGATCCACCTGCCTCAGCCTCCCAAAGTGCTAGGATTACAGGCATGAGCCACCGTGCCCAGTGATTTTTTTAAAAATATTTGCCTTTTTCCCTGTTAATTTGTTTTTTAAAAAAGTTTAATTCACAGGGCCCCAGGCAGTGAACATAAGAGGATAGAGGAAAAGTTCTTCCAGTTAGAGAGTTTTGGCAGCCGCAAAGGAATGACTGGGGCTCACTCCTGAGGGTGCAACCAAGATCTCTCGACACTGACCACGCTGACGAAAGGAGGAATTCTTACCACACCAGCCCCCCACAATTCTGCTCAGAATCTGGTCGAGCGAGAGTGGTAAAAAGTCTATCTTTGTATTTCCCTTTCCAAATTCGAGTTAGTAGAAGAACATCTTTGGAAGAGCTCGTTCTTTGGGTGACCCTTGTGAACTCGGTTTTCAGCACTCATGTGTTGGGTCCTTTCCTCCCAGGGACAGCCATTGTTTTCCTCTGTCTTTTCTGTCATTGGTCACAGGGGAGAGCACAGGCACAGGTCCCAGCAGCGGGTGAGCTTACGGTTCTCCCAGCAGCCTCTGCTCCACCCGGCCTCACACACTGGTGATCTTACGGTTCTCACTGGACCAGCATCTGTTTGGACCCATTTTGCTGTGGGTCACCAATTTCTGAAAAGTCCAGTGAAATTCTCCTTCTGTTTTATTGTGTGTCCTGACAGCATGGCATGGATCTGGTGAGAGAGTTCTCTCCCTGGCTTTCTGCTGGCTGGAGCACGGATCCCTGGCCTGCATGTGGATGTGACTGGCTGTCAGGAAAGGGCTGCACGAGGAACATTTTCTGTCCGACTGTTCCAGCTCTCAGGGGACTTTGTCTCAATAAGGTCTCTCAGCCCATAAGGGACCTCTGTCATCTGTCCCCTCGTTGCCTTATTGACCAAGAAAGTCTCATCTCAGTATCACCAGTCTGGTGTCACGGATTAGCAGGTTTGTGTGACTGGAGGCAGCTCAGGATTGTGGGAGACCAGAGACAAGTTTGCAGAAACACTGTTCTTAATGCCTGTGACAACGAGGGCTTGTGCTTTCTTTCTCTCTGGCCATCTTTGGGAGTTGACTCTGGATTAAGGAAGCTGCAGCTTCTGCACCCTTCATGGGGACACCTGGGCTATCCATGGTTCAGCCATAAAAAGGCCTATTGGTTTTAAGTCACGTATACAAAAGGTATATTTCTGGGGCTATCCTTTGGTTTGGAAAAACTTTCGCATTTGAAAGGATTTTTAGAGAACTTTCATCCTAAACAAGTAACTATTGGGACCTAGGGGAAGCGTCTTAGTCACTTTGGCCTGCTCTAACAAATTACCGTAGATGGTGATGTAAACCACAAACACTGATTTATCACTGTTCTGGAAAGTTGCAGGGGCCCGCATGGTCAGATTCTTGGTGAGGGCACTCTTCCTGGCCCTGTCCTCATCTGGCCTTCCCTTGGTGCATGCATGGAGAGAGATACAGATGCAGGGGAGGAAACTTTGTGTGTCTCTCTTTTTATAAGGACATTAATCCCATCATGAAGGCCCCACCTAATCTAACCCTAATTGCCCACCACAAGCCCCACCTCCAAATACCATCACATGGGGATCAGGCTTTCAACAAATGAATGTTGAAGGACACATTCAGTTTTTAACAACATTCCATCCCTGACCCCTCAAAATTCATGTGCTTCTCTCATACAAAATACGTTCAGTCCATCCCTACAACCTGAAAAATCTTAACTCCTTTCAGCATCAACTCTAAAACCTAAAGTCCAAAGTCTCATCTAAATATCATTCAGGCTGGGTGCGGTGGCTTACACTTGTAATTTCAGCACTTAGGGAGCCCCCCACAAGTGATCCTGGGAGAATCACTTGATCTCAGGAGTTCAAGATGAGCCTGGGCAACATGGCAAAACTCCATCTCTACAAAAAATTTTAAAAATTAGCCAGGAGTGGTGGTGCAGGCCTGCAGTCCCAGCTGAAGTGAGCAGATCACTTGAGCCAGGAGGTCAAGGCTACAGTAAGCAGAGATTGTGCCACTGCACTCCAGCCTGAGCAACAGAGTGAGACCCTGTCTCAAAAAAATAAAAATAAAAAATAAATATAATCTAAATCACATATGGTTGAGACTCAAGGTATGAGTCATTCCCAGGCAAAATTCTTCTCCAGCTGTGATCCTGTGAAACCAAGCAAGTTATGTAATTCCAAAATACAATACAGGTATTATCAGAAAGGGGTCCTGATCCAGACCTCAAGAGCGAGTTCTTGGACCTCATGCAAGAAAGAATTTGGCTGGGCACAGTACCTCCTGCCTGTAATCCCAGCACTTTGGGAGGCTGAGGTGGGCAGATCACCTGAGGCCAGGAATTCAAAACCAGACTGACCAACATGGAGAAACCCCATCTCTACTAAAAATAGAAAATTAGCCGGACATGGTGGCTCATGCCTGTAATCCCAGCTACTTGGGAGGCTGAGGCAGGAGAATTGCTTGAACCCAGGAGGTGGAGGTTGTGGTGAGCTGACATCGCACCACTGCACTCCAGCCTGGGTGACAAAGCAAGACTCCATCTCAGGGGGAAAACCAAAACAGTGAGATAATGCTGTCACTCACACCTGGCTCATGCGCCAGCAGGAATTGGGCACCCTCCAGAGACTGCAGGAGAACGGGGAGGACTTCTCCTTGCCCTGGCTGTTCCTCCACCACTTCCACTGAGGCAGTATGGCACCTGAAGCTTCCTACCCACCCAAGGCCTGGCTGGGCAGGCACCGCAGTGCTCCTACTCCTCCCCTTCCCAGCCCCCGGACTTGCTGTTGCTGCCGCCGCTAGTGCCAATGGCAATACGACTGCTGCTGTCACCCTCAATGCACTGGCCCACCCTACAAGGCTCCTACCATCTTGACCACTGCCGCAGCACTGCCCCTGCCATGGCCACAGCCAGCTGTCTTCCTACCGCATGCTGCAGTCTCCATAGCAGCCACCAAATGCAGCAAGGCAAGCGGCAGCCGTAGGCCATCTGCAGGCTCCAGCCTCCAGTGTGCGACAGGTGACCCTCCTTTTCCTGGCACAGAGCAGCTAGGCAGGCAAAGCCAGAAAAGCCTAGAGGAGGATGCAGGGAGTGGTAGCGTTAGAGCCTCACCTTATCATGCTGGCCACTGGGTGGCAGGGGCCGGTTTCATTGAAGGCACTCATACCCACCCTCCAAAGTCCAGCCTCTCCTTTTGGCCCAAGCTGGCCAGGAACTGGGGACTGGAAACAACGCATTGCCCAACTCCCCACTCCACTGGAACTGCTGGGCTCCCCAGAGCTATTGTCCTTGGGGAGGAGAACCAGCAGCAACTCAGACCCAGCCAGCCCTCCCACCCAAGTGCTGGTTCCCGATCCTGGTGCCTCCACCCACAGAGCCCCATCCCCCTGTGGTGTCTGCTACTCCCTGTCCTGCAGGCCCAGGGGTCCCAGGCAGTCTCCATAACACAGAGTAAGAGGGTGCAGGCCCAGGAACCACCACGGGTGTGGGGGCCCTGCCATGCTCAGGATTCCTGAAGAAACAGTGTGCATTTGCCCTGCTCGAGCAGGAGCAGGAGGAGGTCACCTTCCAGAGTCTGGAGTCCGGGGAGAGGAGGAAGACTCCTTCCTTGGAGGCTACTGCTGTTGCTGCAACCTTTGCTGCCACCAGCAGGGCAGCCCCTGATAGTGCCTCTAACCTGCTGCCTGCTGCCAACAGTATAGCCCCGGGATATTGCCCCTAACGCCCCCGCTCCCTACTCGCTGCCACAGTGTAGCACCTGATAGAGCCCCCAACCTCGGACACTGCAGCACCAGATAGTGCCACCAACCTGCCCCCTGCCATGGGCAATGCAGCCCGATAGTGCCCCCAACCCGCTCGTTGCTGTGGGCCATGCAACCATGGATAGGACCCCCAACCAACCCCCCACTATGGGCAGTGATGCCCCAGAAAGTGTTGTAACCTGCTCCCCACCATGAATAGTGCAGTCACAGATCCTTAAGGCCCCCAACCCACTCCCCATGATGGGCAGTGCAGCCCCAGATAGTGGATAGCACCCCCAACCATCCCCCAGCCTTGGGGAACGACACCCTGGATAGCGCACCCAACCCACACCCCACCATGGGCAGTGCAGCCCCAGATAGTGGATAGCACCCCCAACCATCCCCCAGCCTTGGGGAATGACACCCTGGATAGCGCACCCAACCCACACCCCACCATGGGCAGTGTAGCTCCCAAAAGTGCCTCTAACCCATATGCTGCTGCCAGCAGTGTAGTCCTTGATAGTGCACCAAACCCGATCCCCGCCACAGGCAGTGCAGCAGCTGATAGCACCCCTCACTTGCCCACACTGACTTCCATGCAGTCACTGATGGTGCCCACAACCCACCCCACCACCCTGCCTGCCACCGGCTGTGGGTATTGCCCCTAAACTGCCCCTTGCCATGGGCTGTGTAGCCCCCTATAGGGCACCCAATCCACCCTCTATCATGGGCAGTTTGGCCCCCAGTAGCACCCGAAAACCCCCCTACACATCTCTGCACCCCCCCCGTCCCCCACTGGCAGTGTAGCACCATAAGATACTGCCCCTAACCTATCCCCTGCCACGGGCATTGCAGTCCTAGTAGTGCTGCCAAGCCACCCCCCACCATGGGCAGTGCAGCCATGGATAGTGCACCCAACAAGCCCCCCGTCGTGGGCAGTGCAGCCCCAGATAGCACCCCCACCTCGCTCCCCACCATGGGCAATGCAGCCAGACCAGTCAGTGCCCCACCAGTCCCCCCAACCCCCACACCACCGGCAGTGTAACCCCAATAGTGCCCCCAACCTGCTCAGTAGCACTTTCAACCTGCCCCACTGCTGCCAGCAATACAGCCTAGGATAGCACCCCCAACCCGACCTCCAATGAAGGCAGTGCAGCCCAGGAGAGCTTCCTCAATCTGCTCCCTGCCAAGGGCCGTGCAACCCCGGATAGCGCCCTCAAGCGGCCAGCCCCGCAGCCCCCAGCTGTATAGAGGGTAATAGTGCCCCCAACCACCCCCACTCCCCGTAGCATGCAGGCAGCGCAGCCCCAGATAGCACACCTAAAGTAGTGACGCCCAGAATAACACCCCCAACCAGCAGCCCCGGATAGCGCACATACCCTGTTGCCCTTCTACGCTCTGGCTGGCTGCAGTCTCAGTCTTTGCCACCAACCACAGCGAGGTGAGCAGTGGTGCCGCAGGCTCCAGCCTCCAGCTTCCAGCCTCCAGCCTGTGGCAAGTGACTCCTCCTTCTTCCCTTCCTGTAGCCAGGCATGGAGCAGCTCTCACTGCCAGCTGCCTCCTACCGTTCCATCCACTCTGCAGTCTCCATCTAGGTTCCTGGCATGGCAGTAAGAGTTCTACTAATGGCCAACTCAGTACTTCTAGCTCTCCCTGCCTCCCTGCCGGACCTGCACATGCCTGAGGCCTGCCAGTGACACTGGGACTTGATGGGACTCAGGGGGGTTAAAGTGTAAGGGAAGAGAAAGAGATGCTTATAGCAATGAAATAAGCAAAGGAAAAATAGACATGAGTAATTTTCCCATGATGATTACTCAGCAAACCCACATAAACTCTTTTCATTTTTCTCAACCACGAATCCTTAGTCCTCCCTCTATGGGGTGCTCACATCAGATTCTACCCAGGTAAGCACAGAGCTTTCTGTGTCTGGAAGTGAAAGTGCCAAGCCTTGCCAGGGTCACCCAAAGGGGAGCAGGGGTTGATGGCTCCAGGACTTCAGAGGCCACCCTTCCAAACTGCCTCATTTTAAACAGAAAACTGAGGCTGAAAGAAGGAAGCAAATTGCCAACATCTTCTAGAGCTACCAATCCCAGAGAAAGATGAAAGAAACCTGGCAAAGTAAATTAGAGTTCCCAAATCACCACAAGTGTAAAAGTCAACAGGCAGGCACCAAAACTAATAATATCTTCACACAGAACTTGAAATGCAACTCTCTCTTTGATTACCAGGAAACCCCAGCTCAGGGTTCTAAATCTATCATGTACCCTTTGACATTTTTTTTCCTCCATTAACACTCACTTTATCCAAATATGCCCCCTCAGAGATGGAGTCCAAAGCTGGTTTCTGGAAGGAGACAGAGAGAGACCCCTCTGGTCCCGTGTCATAAGCCTGTGGGGCAGGTCAAGACTGCCTCTTGCCATGGCCCTTCTCTCTCTTTGGTAAACAGCAGCCTGCTCCACTTGGGAGCACACCCAATATGGCATGACTGGGATCCCACATGACTGAGGGTCCAGGATGGACATATAAGAGATTTTAAAGAAAAGTTTATCCTCCTCACCTTTTCCCTCTGCCTAGTAACAATACAATCTACACACTAGCTCCTCTAGAAAAGTCTGCACAGTGAGAACTGACTATGTGCTCCCAGCATTTAGAGACTTGCTGTAAAGCCAACCCAGGAATATCAGGGCATTTCACTGCAGATGGTCAGTTGACCAACCCCCTTTGGAAGCTATTCAACAGGTGTGACCATGGCACAATGACCTGGAAACAGGCATCTCTCACCCTTCCTCTGTTAAAAAACCTGAAATCCTGAAAAGGCAGAGCAGATACAATATTTTTACCTTTTCATTTCCATCCTAAACTTTCACCACTCCAAAAAATCTAAAATGATCTTTCATAGAATAACTCCACTTAAATGCCCTCAGAACTTTAGCTGCTATATGCGTTGGTTTGGAATGCAGTTTGAAGTATTTGAGGTTGTTCTAATTCTGCAAAATGAAAAGGGAAGCTAGGCAAATACTGAAACTTGCAACCACAATATCTCATTACTTTGCTGAATAAATTGTATAAATTTAAAATAGAAAAGTCACAGCACTCCCTGCCTAGGCCAAGTAACTATTGGTAGTGCTCACAAGCCTGCAGGGCTTGGAGGATCTCCTGATCCCAGGCAGTACCTTCAAGTCCCAAATGTTGTGGAAGTGCAAAGGATCTCCCAGGCACGCTATTAGCCTTTGCCTTTGGAGCTCCACAGCCACTATCTTATTGGAGTAGCTGTAGTTGCAGATCTCAGTTCCCTTTTTCAAGTGGCAAACCTTTAGCTTCCTCTGAGCTTTGAGGTTCAAAATGGCCACTAAGGTGCTTGACAACAATTTTCTATAATGCACGCATCTTCGGTATCAGTGCAATTCAGGGATCTGTTCCAGCTTATCCACAGAAGAAGGGAGAAAAATTTATAACTGGACTTACTACCCACAGCTAGGGATGTGTCCTTGTTGGAGTTGGCCCAGCTGGCACCGGCCTCTGATCTGGCTCCCCCGGTTCACAGCTGGGTGCACAGGGGTTGCGATGTGCTCAGGGTGTGCGCCAGTCCCACTTTCTGCCTCGGTGGCTGCCACTACCTCTCTGGGATCAGCCACAACCTTGTCCCGTCCCTCCTTGTTTTTCTAGTTTCTTGAAGTAGAAAGTTAATTATCGTTTTGAGGCCTTTCCTCTTTTCTGAGGTTAACATTTAGTGCTGTTAATTTCCCTATCAGCAGGGCTTTATTCAATTCCATGAATTTCTAAAATTTATTTTGAGGCTTTTTCTTTGATCCAAATATTATTTAGAAGTCTGTTGTTTCATTTCCAAGTGGTTGGATATTTTGCTGTTGTCTTTCTACTATGAATTAATTCATAGTTTGATTCATTTCATTATGGCCAGAAAACACACTCGGAATGATTTCAGTTCTTTTATACCTGCTGAGGTTGGTTTATGGCCCAGGATATGGTTTATCTTCCTGAATAGTCCATGAGCACTTGAGAAAAAGTGTATATTTTGCTGTTGGGCACTGTTCCGTAAATGTTGCTTCTACCCTATTGGTTGATGGTGCTCTCCTGTTCTATGTCTGCTAGTAATTTAACGCCTAGTGATTCTACCAACTGCTGAGAGTGAGGTGGTCAGACTTACAACTAGAATTTAAAATGTGCCTATTTCTCCTTTCAGCTCAGTCAGTTTTATTTTGTGTACTTTGAGGTTCTTTTGTTTGGTGGGGACATATTTAGGATAACTGCATTTTTGTTGGATTGATACTTTTATCGTTATATAGTGATCTTTTTGCCCACGAGTTTTCTTTGCTCTAGAGTCGACTTTATGTGATATCAATGGGGCCACTCTTACTTTGATTTGAATAATGTTTGTATGGTATATCTTTTTCTATTCTTTATCAACTCATGTTGTTAACTATGTTATGAATTTCCTATAAATATTTTAGAATTATGTTTCTTGTTCTTTCCACTCTGTCAATTTGTATTTTGATACACATTGATTATTTACATTTAAGATAAATATTGCTATGTTAGGCTGCTATTTTATTTGTTTTGTTTTCTCGGTTTTTCATTCATCTATTACCATTTTCTTATTTTCCTGTTGGTTATATCAACATTTTTTAGATTCCATCTTGTTTATTTGCAGTGTTTCTAAGCACAATACTCTTTATCGTTTTCTTAGCAGTTCTAGATATTAAAGTGTGCATATGTAACTTATCACAGTCTATTAGTCAGCATTTTACCACTTCAAGTGAAATGTAGAAAGCTTCATTCTACTTAGATCCCTTTACCCTCCCCCCTTTTAAATAGAATTAAGTATTTCCTCTACATACAGAGCATTTTTCTCCAAACATCAAATATGATGTCAGAAACTCATGAGAAACAGATTCTATTACATTTCCCCCTATTTCTGCCAACCTCCAATGTTCTTTCTTTCCTGTGTTCCCAGCCTTCCTGCGTTATATACTTTCTATTTAGAGAACCTCCTCTAGTCATCTTTTTAAAGGTAGGTTTGCTAGCAACATTTTCTCTTAGTTTTCCTGTCTGGTAAGCTTTTTATTTCCCTTTGTTCATGAATATAGTTTCAAAAGATAGAGAATTTTGTTATGGTTCTTTTCTTTCAGTATCTGAGAAAATGTCCTACACTTCCTTCTGGCCACCATGGATTCAGATGAGAAATCTGCCATTCTTTTATGTAGGGAATGTGTTATTTATCTCTGGTTACTCTGAAGATTTTGTCTTTAGTTTTCAAAAATTTAATTATGATTTGCCTTCACCATGGATTTATTTAAAATTATCTTATTTGATGTTATCTCAGATTCTTGAATGTGTAGTTTCATAACTTTTGCTAAATTTGGGACATTTTCAGCCATTATTTTTTAAAATACTTTAAATACCTCTCTCCTTTCCTTCTGGTACTCTGATGTTACAAATATTCGTTATATGGTTATCACCCCACTTTCTAAATATTGAGAGAATCAAATCTCGTCTCATTCCCTTTAGGCCTTTCGGTTTTGTCCAAGCCACCACAATCACTCAGGAGGGAAACGACCACAGCTCCTTAATGAGCTCTATATGTTATGCCCTGCCTAGTATTTTCTCTATAGAGAAAATATACAGAAATATAGAGAAAACTCCCATACAAACATAAACCAGACGTTGCTCATTTGTTGAAAATCTACCACTAAATTAAGAATAAAATGAATTTACTGAATAAAGCTTACGATAGGCTCACCTTTGGAGTCTACTGCCTCCTGACATCACCTCCTGCCTTCTCCCTTCAGCCACTGCGACTTTTTTTGTTATTCCTCAAAACCACCAAGCACATTCCTGCCCATGGCTAGCAGCTGCTGTTACCCCTGCTAAAAAGAGGCAGAATCCTCATGTCTCACAGTCATTTCAGTCAAATTTCTGCTCTTCTGTTGATCTCAGTAAAGTTTCCCATGACTATTCCTTCAAGAAGCCCACTCAGTCTAATCTTGCTTTATTTTTTTTAATAGTCTTTAAAACCACAGAACATTTAATATACATGAACATCTGTTTATGTGTTTAGTGCTACTTCTGTGAATTCATTTAGAGGCAAAAAATTATCAAGTCTGCACAACATACCTGAAACGATTATAATTTCTGGAAATACTAAGATTACTAAAAACCTTCTTGTATTCATGGAGCATAAAGTCTGGTAAGAAAATATGTTACAATGGTGAAAATACACAGAAGATTGGCTAATTCTATAAATAAGGAAGTAAGTTGGTTCTGTTTTGAGCTTCACTGAGGAAGCACAGCTGTTGGTTGAAGTATTAGTATGCTGTGTCCTTCATAAGCACAGAGCCATGGCACAGGCAAAGGTGGGGGCCTCCAGCACGTAAAAAATTAGCAAAAGGGCAAACAGCACAGGAGATGAGAATATGGCCTGGTGCCTTCATGAGAAAAATGGCCAGGGAAGTATTCAGGGAATGGGCTACAGAGCAACAGACTCCAAAGCATTTGATCATTTACTATTTTCTAGAATATTATTCAGCATTACAGATTTATATTTAAAAATTATAAAAATAAATAATAAATTCATTTATTATAAATAATTCTTATTTGGATTTTAAAATGAAGAAAACAGCCTAATATTTTATTTATTTTATTGCAATATGTATTCTGGGTTCTAATCCTTTAATTCAGAGACAATAAGGATGTGTAGAAAATGGAAAGATTTTTGAACTGTTATACTTGAAATTTCTGCAGAGTATATAGGAGATGACCAGTTGGATCTTTCTGAAGATCCTCTAAGTGTACGCCTCTTCTAGGGATCACTGCTATGGAAAATGGAGAGCAGAAGGTGAGACGTAAGCATAGAATGAAATCACATTGCCAGGTTTCCTCTATAGAAGCAATTCTCTTGAGAGAGGAGGGAATAGATAAAGTATAAAACAAGACCCTTTACATAAACTACTGTAGTTGAAACTGGGATGAAAATAGGGCACTGATAATAGAAGACAGAGAGCAGCAAAACGTGGGAACCAATTCATGGAGAGGAAAAAATGTTTCCTCAGGTGATCCCCATGAACAGTGGCTCAGATACTAGAGTCACAAAGTAAGCCAGGAAAATCAGGGAAAAATAGATTAAACACAGTATTCCAGCAAGATGGGTCTTAAATATACTAAATTCGAAGCATAATATGGAGATCAAGAATGAAAATAAGGATTTGAGAGACATTGATAATTTAGTGGTGTTCAAGCCCATCAAGAGTGAATCAGAAGGTTGTGAGGGAACTGAGAAAAGAAAATAATCAGGAATAGAATCTGAGGGTAAATTGGCTTTTAACAGGCTTAAAAAAAGAATAGGCCATGGAAACCATGATGGAATTTTCTGAAATGTGGAAATATAGGTAACAATAAATAGTTTTAAAAACCAAGAGATGATCATAGGATCATATCAGTAGATGCAGAAAAGCATGAGAAAAAACTCTTGGCTAACTAGAAATAGAAAGGAATTTTCTAAATGGTAAAACGATGTCTACAAATGTCTACAGCAAACATCAGTACTTAGTGGTGAAATATGGAAAGTGTTTAACTAAAAAACTAAGACCGAGATAAGGATGCCTGCTATCTCCAATTTTATTCAATATTATTAAAAGTTCTTACAATAATAAAGTAAAACAATTATGTACACAGAAAGATACAAATAAAAATATAGTTTTAGAAACAGATTATGAATTCAATACAACAAATGTTTGGTATTTCTAGTTAAGGTAGTGTGACATAGGTGTAAGGATTTTCAAATGCATCAACAGAACAGGAAAGAGAGAGTTCAGAAATAGATCCACATGGATATGGACACTTGATTCATGACAAGGTTTCAGAAAAATAATAATTTCAATAAATTGTTCTAGGTTCATTATAATGAGATTTATTGCCATCTTAAGTGTAAGCAAAATCCATCTTAGACAGTGTACATATCTAAATTTGGAAATTAAAGCAAAAAGTTTTAGAAAATGCCATAAAAAGTTTTTCTTCATGACTTCAGAATAGGCAAAGACTTCTTAAACAGGGCACAAATTACATCAACCATACTCTATGAAAATTAAGAACTCATTTTATCAAAAGATAAACAGAATAAAAATGCAACCCAGAGTGGGAGAAGATGTTCAGAAAACACATATCAAAGAATTCCTATTCCGAGCATAGAAAGAAATTTATCCTTAACACAGTATGAAATTATCCCACTCTTACCTAGCAGAGAAATAAATTGTATAAACTAATGATAGAAGTAGGCCGTCTCAACAGCCAAACTGACAGCAAACATTTCAAGAGAAACTATGAAAGTCAGAAGACAGTGCACAAATTTTGAACAGGTAACTTGTAAATGAGAAAATCAAAATGTAATGACATTTTAAAAAGTCAAAAAGGCAACCAGAAAATTCTAAACCTTTCAAGGACACTCTTCTAAAATAAATATATTTTCCAAATAAAGACTGAAAAAAAAAAAGTGACAACAGTAAACAACGCACAACAAGAAATACTACAGTTCTTCATGTTGGAGAAAAATAATATTTGATGGAAGAACAGAACTGCAGGATGGAATGAAGAAACCTGAAAAGGAAATTCAACGCAACTACAGTAATGTCTATTAGAATCTGACAATCGTAAAAACCAAGTATATCAGAACAATGGCAAAAAAGGCAGGATAAGGGTAAACAAAGTTAAACTGTTTTGAGAGTCTTACACTGCCTGTGATGTAGAAAAGTCCTGTTTCCTACATCCTAGTTTAAGGTAGAGAAAAAAAGTTGAAAATGAATACTGTAATAACCAGAGTGAACACTACAAAAATATAAAATGGTAAATGAAGAAACTACTAGACATAAAATTAAAATTTATAAAATGCCTGTCAAGAGGAAAATGGAAGAATAAGTTATATTTTTTCCCCGTTTGCTATCCTTTATTAAAGGGCCCACATCCTCTTGGGACTCCAGCCAAACCAGTCAGGTCCCCAAATATAGCAGGAGGCCTGGAAGGGGAGGGGAATGACTTATGATCCCACCATGCCTCCTTAGAAACAGAAACCACCACAGACAGCCAGACGGACAGAGGCTGGGGAGAGCTTGTCTCACTCTCAGTCCTCTTACCCTTTCCCCTACTTGAAAAGAAACTCAAACACTGGCTATGCAGCACCCTAGCCCCCACCTCACCCATAGCAGCATTTGTGGGACCCGCTCCCTTGCAAGGGGTGGCCCCGAGGCAGCTTCCTACCTCTCCCTTCACTTTGGTTTGCTCCTGGCAACTCCGCGCCCTCTTCCTCAGCCTCCGCCTCGGTCTCCCCCATGTCTTCTATCACCTGCTCGGACCTTCTCTCTCATCTCCTGAGCCTCCCTGCCCCAGTGCTTCTGGGGGAAGCAGCATCTCAGGTGTCTTCCCTTCTCCTAGCAAGGGACTCCACCAGGCCCTCTGCCCAGGATGTGGGACTCACACAGCCGCCCCACTCTCCTTGAGGTCAGGGGCAGAGCGCTGCCATCTCATTTGTGGGGGAGTAGTGTATGGGGAGTAGCGGGGTCTTGGGGGCCGCTGGGCTGGGTACAGTTGGGGCTGCTGAATGTAAGTTGTGCTTTTTGGCCTAGAAGTGCTGGGGTTCAGGCTGTGCAGAACCCGCTCCCCAGGATTGGCCCCCTTCCTCCAGGGAGTTCCTGCGGAGATGGTGGGACCTTCGGGGACTTGGAGGCCTGCGGGCAGGGGTGGCTGGAGGGGGAGTGACCTCCTCAGGGGGAAGGGGTGGAGCTGGAGCCTCCCCGCTCCCCATCCCTGGCCAGGACTCCAGTGCTGGGCATTGCTCTTGAAGGGGAAGCGCAGCTTGCATCGTGAGGGGTTACAAAGCGGGTTGGGGGCCTGTGCAGCACCCCCGCTCCAGCCCTCACAGCGCTGCAGTCCCTGCAGCTGTAGCTGCTCCTGCTTAAGCCAGCAAAGGTGACCTCGATGGAAGGCAGGGTCCTCCTCTATGAGCCGCGACACCCACTCCCAGCTTGACAGTGGTGGTGAGGGGGACCAGGCTGAGGGCATGTGGTCACTGGGGGCTGCCTCCTCTCATCCTTCAGGTGGGGCCCAGTGGAACTCACCACCTTCTTCATTCTCATCCTCATGATCCTGGGCCAGGGGGATGATCCTCTCCATGCAGACCATGCGGTCCTGCAGCGCCTGCAGCTCCCAGTCCTTGCTGCTGTTCTGCAGCTTCACCTGCTGCAGAATCCCCATGAGCTTGCAGATGTGGGCCTGGAGGTCCTCCACCTCCACCCCTCGGGTTCCCTCCTCGCTGCCACCACCACTGCCAGCTCCACCTCCTTCCTCCTCGCCCACGGTGTCCCAGAAATCCCGGGCCACAGCCCTCCAGGCATCTCTGGGGCCCTCTGGCTTGCCATAGGTGTGACACAACTCCCACACCTTGAGGGTGGCCAGGGCCTCAATCTCAGCCTGCCCGTGGTGGAAGTAAGCCAGGGCCAACTCATAGCAGATCTTCTTCACCTCCTGCATCTTCAGGTCAGGCATGGTGGCCCAGCGGGGGTCTTTGCCTTGCAGCCTTCGTCAATGGGGGATCTGATAAACTCTGCAAGGGGCGCTGCGCTTACCACCACCAACCACAGTGAGGCGAGCCGCTGGGCCGCAGGCTCTAGCCTCCAGCAGCTAGCCAAGGAGGAGCTCTTGCTGATGGCTGCCTCCTACCACTCTAACCATACTGCGGTCTCTGTGGCCATCTTCTTTGACTACAAGGGAATAAAACTAGATATCAATAAGAAGAGTAATTTTGGAAACCATACAATCACATGGAAGTTAAACAATACACTCCTGAATGAATGACTAGTGGGTCATTGAAGAAGATACTAAGATGGCAATTGAAAAATTTCTTGAAACAAATGGTAATGAAAACATAATATACCAAAACTTATGATACACAGAAAGCAGTAGAAAGGCAGAAATTTTTAGCTGTAAGTGCCTACCATCCAAACAGAAGAAAAACTTCACATAAACAATACATCTTAAATAACTAGTAAAGTAAGAACAAACTAAACCCAACATAAATAATAAAGATTGTAGCAGGAATAAAATTGAAATGAAAAAAATACACAAGATTAAACAAAAAGTTGGTTTTCTGGAAAGTTAAACAAAATTGACAAACTTTTAGTCAGGCTAACTAAGAAAAAAGAGAGAAGATTCAAATAAATAAAATCAAGAGACAAAAAAAGGAGACATTACAACTGATACTTCAGAAATTCAAAGGATCATAACTGGCTATTTCATAGGCCAATAAATTGGAAAGCCTAGTAGAAATTGACAAATTCCTAGATTCATGCAATCTACCTAGGTTGAACCATGAAAACATCCAAGACCTGAACAGATCGGTGGTAACAAGTAATCAGATTGAAGCCATCAGGAAAAGTCTCCCAGTAAAGAAAAACCCAGGAACCGATGGCTTCACTGCTGATGGCTTCACACCACACATTCACAGACCTAGTACCAATCCTACTCACACTACTTTAAAAAACAGGACAGAATACTTCCAAACTTACTCTATGAGGCCATTATTACCCCGATACCAAAATCAGACAAAGACATGAAAAAAGGAAACTACAGGCCAGTATCTCTAATATTGACACAAAAATCCTCAACAAAATACCAGCAAATCAAATTCAGCAATACATTAAAAAGATAATTCATCATGATTAAGTGGGATGTATCCCTGGGATGCAAGGGTCATTCAACACACAATCAGTGTGATACACCATATCAACCAAATAAAGGACAAAAACCATATGATCATGTCAATTGAAACTGAAAAAGCATTTGATAAAATTCAACATTGCTTCATGCTATAAATCATCAAAAAACCAGGTACAGAAGAAACATACCTCACTATAATAAAAACCACATGAGAGAGACCCACAGCTAGAATCACATGGAATGGGGATATATGGAAAGCCTTTCCTCTAAGATCTGGAACATGATAAGGATGCCCACTGTCACCACTGTTATTTAACATAGTACTGGAAATCCTAGCTAATGCAAAATCGTAGCTAAAGCACACCCAAACCTTCCCCTTCCCTGCACCGTGGGCATTGCAGCACCCCATAGCCCGCTCAACCCAAAACCCCCCACCTGCCCCCGCGGGCAGTGCAGCCCTGGATAGTACCCTTAACCCACCTCACTGCTGCCGGCAATACAGTCTGGGATAGCACCCCCAACCTGCTCCCTGCAAAGGGCAGTGCAACCCTGGATAGGGCCCCCAACCCACCCCCTGGTGCAGGCAGCACAGCCCCAGATAGCGCACCCAACCAGCCACCCAAGGCAGGCAGTGATGCCTGAGATAGGGCCCCAACCCACCCCAGGCTGCGGGCAGTGCGGCCCTGGATAGCGCACCTACCCCTTTGCCTTTCTCTGTTCTGGCAGACTGCAGTGTCTGTCCCTGTCACCAACCGCAGCAAGGCGAGCCAGCAAGGCAAGCCAGCGAGGCCAGCCATAGTCCCGCAAGCTCCAGCCTCCAGCATGCAGCAGAGGGCATCTCCTACTCCAAGCTGGGAATGCAGCAGCTATGGCGTGACCCCTTAACATGCTTTATATACCAAGTTTATAAACTACATGTTCTGATTGTAATGAAAGGAAAACAGCTAGGCCAACTCTGATTGGACTTTATCTTCTCGTTCTGATTGGTTATTCTAAGACTTGCTCTCATCCAATCAGAACATGAAAATAAAGTTCAATTAGAATAGGTCTAGCAGTTTTCTCTCATCCAATCCAGGAACCTCACTTGCATAACCTCAGTATATAATGCATGCTAAGGGGGAGTCCCGCCGTAGCAGGCTGTTCTTTGTCAACCTGTCCAGCCACTCAGTTTGCAGCTTAGAGAAGGTGGAAGTGGACTCCCCTGCCACACTCTGGAGGCTGGAGCCTGTGGCACCAGGGCTTGCATCTGCATGGTGTGTGACGGTGATGGAGATTGCAGAGCGTATGGAGTGGTAGGAGGCAGCTGGCAGCGAGAGCTACTTCCATGCCTGGCTAAAGGAAGAGAGGAAGGAGGCACCTACTGCAGGCTGGAGGCTAGAGCCTACGGGACTGCGGGTGGCCTCACTGACTCACCTCACTGGCTCGCCTAGCTGGGGTTGGTGGCAGCAATGCACACTGCAGCCGGCCAGAGTATAGAAAGGCAATGGGGTAAGTGCACTATCCGGGGCTACACTGCCCACGGCCGGGATCTGGTTGGGGTGTTATTCCAGGCAGCACCACTTTAGGTGTATTAGGGTGTTATCCTGGGCGTCACTACTTTAGGTGTGCTATCTGGGGCTGCACTGCCCACTGCGGGGGGCGGTGGGGGGGTGGTTGTCAGCACTATCCTGGGCTGTATTGCCGGCAGCAGTAGAGCTGGTTGGGGGCACTATGGGTGCTACACTTCCTGCAACAGGGAGCAGGTTGGGGCCACTATTGTGGTTACACTGGCAGCGGTGTAGGGGTGTGGGGACTGGTCGGTCGGGGCTCTGACTGATCCGGCTTCTTTGCCCACAGCGGGGTGGGGATGCTATCTGGGGCTGCACTGTCCATGGTGGGGGGCTTATTGGGGGCGCTATCTGGGGCTGCAAGGCCAATGGCAGGGCATAGGTTAGGGGCAGTATCGCATGCTACATGGCTGGTGGCGGGGGTGGGGATGGAGAGGTTGGGGGGTGCAGGGAGGTGCTTGGTGGGGGGTTTTCCAGCGCTATCAGGGCCAGACTGCCCATGATAGAGGGTGGGTTGGCTGCACTATTGGGCGATTCACTGCCCATGGCAAGGGGTAGTTTGGGGGTATCCTGCCAGTGGCAGGCGGGGTGGTGAGGTGGGTTGTGGGCACTGGAGGGGGACTGCACTGCAGTCAGTGGGGGTGAATTAGGGGCACTATCAGCGTTGCACTGCCTGTGGTGGGGGTTGAATTTGGTGCGCAGTTGGGGACTACACTGCCGGCAGTTGGGGACTACACTGCCGGCAGCGGCATATGGGATAGGGGCGCTATCAGGGGCTACGTTGCCTGTGGTGGGGTGCGGGTTGGGTGTGCTATCCAGGGCGTCATTCCCCGTGGCTGGGGGATGGTTGGTGGTGCCATCCACTATCTGGGGCTGCACTGCCTATCGCAGGGAGTGGGTTGGGGGCCTTAAGGATCTGTGGCTGCACTGTTCATGGCGGGGAGCAGGGGCGTCACTACCTGCAGCGGTGGGGGGTGGTGTTGTCTGGGGGTCCTATCCGTGGCTGCATGGCCCATGGGAGGGGGCAGGTTGGGGGAGTTATCTGGTGCTGCAACGTCCGAGGCGGGGATGGGTTGGAGGCACTGTTGGGTGCTAAACTGCAGTGGTGAAGGCCGGGTGTCAGGGGTGCTATCCTGGGGCCAACAGTGGGGTGGCGGGTTAGGGGTACTATCAGGGGCTGCCCTGCTGGTGGTGGCAGAGGTTGCAGCAACAGCAGTGGCCTCCAAGGAAGGAGCCTTCCTCCTCTCCCCGGACTCCAGACTCTCGAGGGTGACCTCCTCCTGCTCCTGCTCGAGCACAGGGAGTGCATAGCGTTTCCATGGGAATCCTGAACATGGCAGGGCCTCCATACCCGCTGTGGTTCTGATGGCCTGGGGCTGCTGCTCACCTCGCAATGGTTGGTGGTGGCTACGGAGACTGCAGTGCGCCAGAGTGGTAGGAGGACTGCTGGCTGCAGCCGTGGCAGGGTTGGGGCTGCGGCGGTGGCCAGGTGGTAGGAGCTTTGTAGCTCGGGCCAGTGCATTGAGGACAACAGTAGCGATGGTTGTACTGACATTAGTGCTGGTGGGGACAGCAGCAGCAAGTCTAGGGGCCGGGAAGGGGCAGTAAGAGCACTGCAGGGCCTGCCCGGCCAGGACTTGGGTGGGTAGGAAGCTTCGGGTGCCTCAGTGGAAGCGAGGGAGGAACAGCCAGGGCAAGGAAGAGTCCTCCCCCTTCTCCTGCAGTCTCTGGAGGGAGCCCTCCTCTGCATGAGCCAGGTGTGAGTGTCAGCATATTATCTCACTCTTTTTTTTTTTTTTTCTGAGATGGAGTCTCACTCTGTCACCTAGGCTGGAGTGCAGTGGTGTGATCTCAGCTCACTGCAACCTCCGCCTCCCAGGTTCAAACTATTCTCCTGCCTCAGCCCCCCCCCCCAAGTAGAGTAGCTGGGACTATGGGCACTAATTTTTGTATTTTTAATAGAGACGGGGTTTCGCCATGTTGGTCAGGCTGGTCTCAAACTCCTGACCTCAGGTGATCCGCCCCCCTCGGTATTATCTCACTATTAACAAAATTTAGGATGTGACTACTTGTATATCTTTTTGCTTTTTTTTTTGTTGTTGATATTGGACTTATTCAAATTTCACGAATCAGGGAGTGGAAAAAGGTGTCATAATAGGCCTTCTAATTCCCTCCCCTGTTCTTTTTCCTTCCTTCCAGTCTGTGTTTTCTTCTCGGTATCATCATCTTGTTCCTTCTCCTGTTTTCTTTTTCCCAAGCAATGGCCTTAACAAACAACAAACCATAACTGAGTTTTAAGGATAAACTACTTGTTAGTGTGTTGTATTTTAAAAATAATCTGTCCATAACTATGTTTTAGTGATGAGGAAAAAATTAGTTGCATAATTATTTAGTTACTTGAGTAGCTATGCTTTCATGATCCTGTTAATGTGTCCTGACTCCTCACTCACTGGGTGTCCTGGGAGCCCTGACTCCTAACTCACTGTGTGTCCTGAAGGGCCCTGGACATCCTTTTGTCCCTTGGGTCCAGCTGGGCCCTGACAAAGGAGTAAATGAGGTCATAGAGAGGTCAAGAGGTCACACATGGGATCAAGGTCACAGAAGCGTTCAGTCAGCTTCCTGGCTGGGGATCAGGGTCTCCCTGGGGGGTCTCTTTGCCCTGGAGAGACAGTTTCAAGCCCAGTGGGAGGGGGCAAAGGTCAGAGCTCATGGGGTCACCCACTGTGGCTCCTTTGGCTTTTCTTGGGCCCAAAGGTCCCTGTGAGATGAGGAACGGTCACTGCAGGGGAAGGACGGGACTCGGAGGAGTGCAGAGGCCAGGTCCTGAGTCCACAGGAGCCTTGGGTTACCACAGCAGGGGCAGGCATTGGAGTATTTGGGGACTTTGGAGCCCAGGAAGTATGGGGAGGAAGCATTGGAGGTGTGAGGACAAATGGGGACCCTGAGGTCTCAGCGTGTTATGCTGGAGGTCATGGGAGAAAACAGTAGGACTCGGGATTTATTGGAGGAACAGAGGGCGGTGCTCACGGAGACACCAGGATCCCTCCAGGACCAGTGGGGCTGGATGCTCCCGGAATACCCTAGGGAAGGTAGGGGGCTGGCTCAACTGGATCCTCCTCCCACCTCCTCCCCAGCCTCTGCTCCCTCCCTGACAGCTGAGTCTCAACCCCACCCCTCCCCACCCCCAATCTGAATCCCACCAGGCCCTCTACTCACCACTCACTCTCTGCCAAGGGCAGCCCTGAGGGCCAGGAAGGCCCCATCTCCCTTCTTTCCCTGCCTCCTTGGGGACCTGATCAGTCCAACGAGACCTGGGTACCCCTAGAGAAGGGAGCAGGTGGCCGGGGGATGCAGGAGGAGTCACACACATGGGGGAGAACGGCCAAGTTACAGAGAGGGACAGGGCACAGGGTCTCTGAGTGGCCCTCCCTGAGCAGGGACCCCATGGCCTGGTGCTGGGGGCCTGGAGCAGAGCAGGGGCCTCAGGGTCCCATAGGCTTCAGGGCTGAGGGTGATGGAGTGACACCTGGCTGTGTGTGTGTCACTCACCTTCTCTCTCTTGGCTCCAGGATCGCCCCTGAGGCCAGGAAGCCCTGGGGGTCCTGTGGGAAGTCCCTCTCTCCAGGCAGAGGTGAGACCAAGTTCTCCCCATCGCCTCCCACTTCCTCCAGGGCCTCAGCTCACTGCCCTAGGACACAGGCCCTCATCCCTCACCAGCCCTATCCGAGTCACTCACCAGTCACAGGACTGGAAGGCCTGGCCTGTGGCTCCAGCTTGGCATTGCTGACCCTGAAGATCTGAGGGGACCACAGGGGTGAGGAGGAGGAGCGTCCCCACGCCACACCCCTCTCATGGCCCCTCTCCCTCTCCCCAACCCCAGCCCTGCCCTGCTATGATTCACACTTAGCCCGGGAGCCCTTCAGACCACCAGCGCCAGTCCTCCCTGCTGACCCTGTGGGACCCTGTCTCCCCCAGGGCACCCACAGCATTGGCAGCATCTGAAACACACAGAAGGAGTGTGCATGTGTGAATGCACTGTGTGTGTGCAGTGTGTACGTGTGTGCAGTGTGTGTACATGTGTGCAGTGTGTGTACATGTGTGTGCAGTGTGCATGTGTATGCAATGTGTGCATGTCTGTGCAGTGTGTGTACAGTGTGAGTGTGCAATGTGTGTACAGTGTGTGTGTACAGTGTATGAGTGTGTAGTGTGTGTGTGTGTGCAGTGTGCCTTACTCCTGAAGGGCAGTGGAGGGGGTGTGAACTGGGGCAGGGGTTCAAAGTAGAAGGGGTGAGGCAGGAAGAGGAGCCAAACCCCAGGAGCCTCTCTAACATGGCCTCATGCTCAGACATAGGTCTTTCCTCTGCTGCACTGGACCACGGTCACAGCCACTCTTGCTTCACTGGAACACTGAGATCTGTCTTTGTTCCTGAAAGCACATCCCTGGAGGTGGAGTACGGACGGAATTATAACAATTCTCACTTTCTAGTGATTTGCCACTTAGGAAGTAATTTGCTTAGAGATTTTTATCTCATTACATTTTTATTTCATTATATCATGAAGTTCATGTAAGAATGAGTAGGATGAAAGCTTATGCAAGCCTGTTAGAATTTCATATAAACCAGAGAACTGATCCATTACAGAAGCAGAGTGTAGTAAAAGTCTGAAGTCAAGTTTAAGCAGTTTTCTGGGCAAATGCAATGCTTATGAGATGGTGCAGGAAACTCCTATTCATTTAGCTTTGAAATCACTGAAATCACAGTTACTGGAAATGTCTTCTATAGTCAACTTTTATGAGAAAGAGACAGAAGACAAATAAACCAATGGGTATCAGAGGTTTGTTTTTAAAGTAGCTTTCAGAGCGTATCATGGAGCCCGTTCAAAGGCAGCTCAGAATTTCAGACTTACACAGTAAAGGTCTATTATTCTTAATGAAGAACACGGCCATATGCTTAAGTATTTTCTAAATTGTCTAAAACAGATGGCTTTATTTTGTATAGTTTTGGTGTTCTGTGTGTTATAGTTCTTTGAAAAGTAAAATCTATATATGGATTTTATAATAACTGCATTTATGCAAATACGCAGTCAGCCAGCTTGCCTCTCCATGCACTCACAGCTTATGAGTCCTGTCTGAACTCCCCGCCTTCCTGCCCATCCCCTGCTGCACATCTGGCCCCAGGATAGTCGTCTTCTGTTTCGTCTGCTCTCAGAGTCCTCTGTCTGTTCATGCCATGCTCCTCCACCAGTGCTCAGGGTCTTCTCACTCAGCTACTAAGGAATCTTGAAACGTCCTTTCCTCTGTGTTGTCAGCCTCTGCTCAGCCCCTGGTTCCTACCCTTTAGTTTATAAGGACTCCCATGAGTCTTGCGCTAAAGGGCCACCTTGTCCTTTGGCCTCACCTCATCTCTTTGTCTGTCTCACCTCCACCTGCATTCTCATCCCTTTCCATCTCCGTTTTTTTTCTGGCTTTTTAAAAGAGAAGTCTGTCCTCATTGTCTCCCCTTCTCTACCTTTCATTTAGTTCACAACTCACTGCTCCATCACACTTATCTTTTCCACAATTCCACTGAAACTTTTTTGATACACGTCACCAATTTTCTCCAAAAGTCCTGTGATGAATGATCACCTCTAATCAAAGCTGGCCTCTACTAGATTTGACTCCCTCTTTCTTAAAACTCCTCCATGCACATCTTTTGTTTGCTTCTTTGTTTGTTTGTTGAGATGGAGTTTCACTCTTGTTGTCCAGGCTGGAGTGCAATGGCAGGATCTTGGCTCACTGCAACCTCTGCCTCCCAGGTTCAAGCAATTCTCCTGCCTCGGTCTCCCGAGCAGCTAGAATTACAGGTGCCCACCACCACGTCAGGCTAATTTTTGTATTTTTAGTAGAGACAGGGTTTCATCATGTTGGCCAGGCTGGTCTCGAATTCCTGACCTCAGGTGCTCCGCTCCCCCTCGGCCTCCCAGACTGCTGGGATTTCAGGCCTGAGCCACCGTGCCTGGCCTGCACATTCTCATACCTCCTTTTGTTGTCTTAAGTAGTTCCTCTTTCTTGATCTGCTCTTTAAATATTGTTAATTTCCCCCAGATTCTATGATTGGCCATCTTGTGTCTCTAAATACTCTTACTGAAGTAGCAGAAAAAGAACACAAAACTTGAAGTCATGGAAACCTGGGTATGAATGAGTTGTAAGAGCATGTTCACTATATTTTCAGCAAAATTGCATGAAGGCTGTGTCTGAGTTTTCTCATCACTTTTTTTTTTTTTTTTTTTTTTTTACCAAAAAACCAAAACCAGCTTCCATTTATCGATGGGCCCCACCCCCTGACGTCCTGGGGAGAGGGGCCCCCCAAAGAGCCTTTCTCTCTGGGACAAAATACAAATGGCAGAAAGGGTCCATACAGAAAAGAACGTCTCTGAGGTCCTTGCGTTTCTAATAAAATGGTAAGAATCTTTCGTGTGGGGCCTCCCAGCTGGGCAAGCCTTGACTGGCCAGGAGTCCAGGTGCCCAAGGTGTGACCTCAGCCCCTCACCCTGAGCAGGGAGGCTGGGCAGAAGCCTAGGCCCGCAGAGGCCCGGGGCTGCCGCCCCATCACACACTCATGGTCATCCCTGGCGAGTACTGGCCCGCCGCTGTCACGGTCTTGCTCTGGCCCCCCGGCCGCCCCGCCGGGGCCTGCCCGCCAGGCCCCTCCCGCCTGACACCGCCCTGGAGGGGGGAGAGTCGAAGCAGTCGCTTACGCTTTCGCTTGGAAACAGGTGCAGGAAGGTCCCGGCGGCCGCCATCTCGCCGTCGTCCCGCGGGGTGCCCGGGGCGTTGCTCAGGCCGGCCACGGCGCCGGGGGAGCTCTTCGGCAACCCGTCCATGTCGCCCGAGCCCAGGGATCCGCTTACGTGGTGAGGCTCCATCGCGCTCATGGCGGCCATGGGGCCCTCCGGGCCAGGGCCGAGCGGGAAATTAGCCCTGCCGGCACCCGGCCCGATGGGGTTCATGATAGTGTACATGTTTTCACTGGAGTTGGTAGAATCTCCAGGGCTAGGCATGATGAGGTGTTCCAGGGGGCCCACCTCCTCCTGGGGGTCCCGTGTAGCTGCCAGGGGATGAGGAGGAGTAGGGGATCGAGTTTCCACTGGGGCTGGCCCACGGGCCACGAACTCCTGGGCCCATGTTCATGGCAGGCAGGCCTGGGCCGGCAAGGGAGTTGGGTGGGGGTCGCATGCCGCCTCCATAGCTCTGGGGCCCCACGCTGGCCATGCCGCGAGGAGGCGTCACCCTCCGCATTGGGCCGCCCATGCTCGGATGCCCCTGGGCTCGTGGGGAGGGCTTCATGGCGCCAGGGAGGAGGGGATGGGAGCCGGGGAGGCCTGCGGGAGGCTGACTTAGCATCCGCAGGGTGGGCCGGGGACCCCCTGGGAAGCGCGGTGACATGAAGGGCTGACCGTGAGGCCCCATCACGGGGGCATTGGGGTTGTGGGGGGATGGCTGGGAGCCGGGGGGGCCCTGGAAGAAGCCAGCTGCCGTGGGGCCTGCGGCCATTGCGTCACCTGGGGCCATACTCCCCATCACAGGGCTGGGGGCGGCTGCAGCGCTATAGTCCTGGAAGGCCTTGGCCTCGCCGGAGTGCTCGCAGGCCTCTCTTCGGTCAGGCGCTGCGCAGTACAGGTCCCAGAAGACGCACCACCAGGAGTGCAGGAACCCGGGGGGCTCCCCCAGCGTGATGTTCTTCTCCCATCGGATCTCAGACAGGAAGGTCTGGGCTGACTTCTGGGCACCGATGTGCAGCAGGTACTCATAGACGTACAGCGCCAACCACCTTGCGGCCAGAAGAGCCTCTTCTCCAAAATGACCCAGAGGCTGGGCAGAGGGGACAGTCATCTTTGTGGAGGGGTGGGGCATCCCAAGTCAGCTTCTCGCGGGCCTGGCTGTCGGAGGGCACGGCCGAACCCTTGCCCCTCTTGGCGTACGTGCTGCTCCGCGCCGCCGCCGCCGCCGGGGCCCACACCTGTCAGGCGGCGCCGCGGGCCGCGCTCGCCGACGCCATAGCTACCCCGGGCCCCAGGCCTCACAGCCCAGAGCCCCGGGCGGGCACCGCGGGCATCGTCCGCGCGGGGGAGCTCCAGACGGCGGCTCCAGCTCCGGCCCCGGCCGCAGGGTGGCTTTTTTTCTTCTCATCACATTTTATCAAAAATCTAATTTTAATGTCACATACTACCCACTATATTTAAATAGCATATATAAACATTTTATAATTACTGCATAGTTAGGCTATTTCCGGTGTTCATGTTGGATATTGCCAGGAATTTTCAGTCCCTAACTGTTCCGATAACTTTTTGCTGACGAGTGCCGTATCTCCTAAAAGACACTGGGCTGTGGGGGTTGGCTTCTTTCTTTCTATGATTCCCAACAAACACGCTATGCACACACTCTCTTACCGCCCAATTGCCCCGTTGTTTCTGAGAGTGGGACTAGATGTAGAAAGATAATAGAAGTCAGGGGAAGGTGGGGTGATCATAATAATGATAAGAGCAAGAGTCTGGCTTTCTCAGAAGGAGGCTTCTATTCAGGAAGGACACAGTTGCCCAGTTTCTATTTAGTGCGAATCTTGTGTTTCTGAATTAGGGGGAACGCTGTGGGAAAAGAATGAAATATACTTGTATCTTTTTTAAGGCTGGCTTGTTTGCTTGGTTTCCATGGGAGACATATACATACAACACTATCATTTGAGTTTTGCAATTCAGTTAAATTGACCTACTAGTGAAAATTCCTTTACGATTCTATTTAAGATTCCTAAAGGGATTTTTACTAGTAGCTCAACTTACTCTGTGTGTGTGTGTGTGTGTGTGTCTACTTTCCAGTGTGTCTACATCTACTTTAGTGGGAATTGGTAGAGGAAGCGTTATAGACTGCCAATCAGAACCAATCTTAAACCAGAAATCCTGTAGTCAAGGATTATCTTGGAAAATTCATTATTTGATGATGGAGTTAATTATTTAGGATTCATGTTTCTTTTGAGAGTAATATGGAAGTAAGTTTTGGAAAGAAACAATGTTAAGGTGTTGCAGCACCTTCCGTGCATAGATGAGAGTGTTGAAGCATGGATGTTTGTGAACAGACCTGCCCTAGTCTCTACAAAGAGTGAGTAGGTGTGGCAGGGTCTTTTCAGCCTGACTGGCCAACCCAAAATGAGGGCATAACACATGTGTTGAGCTCATTCAATACCTTCTGGAGTTCAGCTATTTGGATATTAAAAAATTGCTAAGGGCCAAAAAACAAATATTATATTTGTTTGCACTTACTGGGACAACAAAAGAAAATTGAAAAATTCAAAAGCTAAAATGGTAAAAATTAATAATGATAAACATTCATCATTTCTGTTCAGGAAAGTTAGTATATGAAATTTTTAACCTAAAGGGCAAATGTCTTGGCTGCAGATATGCCATATTTGGGATTAAAGGATTAAAGACAAACATCTAATAGAAGAGACAATTCATACAACACACCAATAAAATGTTAAAATTGCTGACAAATCTAAGAAAATTTATTACTAATTATAAAAATATAAGCTAAGATAAAATGTTTTGTAAAAGATAAAACAGCTTTATAAAAACTCAATTCAATTGAGCACATATATTTGAATAAATTTGAGGGTTAGAATTTTGATAGTGTTAATCAAAATTTTACATATACATGTAATCATACTTCTAGGAATTTGCCCTAAAGGAATAATTGAATGAATGTTCAAAGATATAGGTAAAGTTGCTGATCGCATTCTTATGTATAATAGCAAAACTGTAGATATAAATTTACATATTAATCAGAAATTAAATTTTGTTAAATTATGGAACACTATATAAGCAGTAAAGTGATTACATGACTATATTTATAGACATACAGTTAATTATATATTAATATGTAATTAAAGCAGGATTCACAATAGAGTGGTCGTATTTTATATGTGCTGGTCTTAGTGTGTGGGAGTGTCTATGCAAAAATAAAAGATTTTTAGTATTTTCATGTTTTGTAAATCATGATATTTTACAAATAAGGAAAAATATAAAGCTATTTATTTTGAAAAGCGCACTGTTGAACACATGTTGATAGTGAGACTGATGAATTCTGACTTTTGTCTTTTATGAAGGGATCACCTACCCTTCATATACAATGATAAAATATTAAGACATTATGAAAACTGACAAAGGATACATGGTTGATAAAAAGCAAAATATAAACAACAGCAATTGTCATATACTTAAGGGGGTGCCATCTAGATATTTATGATCAGATCAGGGGAAAATAGACATTGCAAGGGAATTAGGTAGATGTGAAAATGATATTTTAAAAAATAATGTCATTAAATATGAAAACTATTAATTAAGGGATGATAAATAATGTTTTGTCTTACCTCTATCTTTTACAATTACTTTTAATCTATTAATGATAAATCTCGTGTGGGAAATAGGACTTGGAAAATTTTATAGATCTCACCATTTAACCCAAAAGGCTGAAATTACTAATTTGCTGAGAAAATTGTGTTACTCGAGTACATATCATCCACTAGAGCAGCCATTTCTGGGGTTAAACAGATTTCAGCTAAATTTTAACAGAAGATCATCTTAATATTGGCAAAGTAAAATGTCACTATTGGTTAATTGAGAAGAAAAATCTATTTTTCTCCTAGAATTTCACATTAAAATTCAATGTTCAATGCATGGTAAAAAGTCTTGGCTCCTTTGATTAGATATGAAAATCTTTTTCTCTCAAGAGTTAAAAATAATGTAAATGAAGCTTCTGGCAGAAAAGTTATGAGTGGTACAATTTCCTGATATTTTAGTTTTATCACCAATTTCCGTGCCAGGCCACATGTTCAGCTGCCTGGCAGCCCCTACAGTATGTGAAAATATTTCCCTTTTTATAGGAATATGCTGGCAAAAAACCACCACTTCCATGAATTATTAATCCTTTTCTGCTAATTATTTTGAAGAAGCAGAGGGGCAGGTCCACATTCAGGTGGCTCTCAGCGGCTGAGACATGCTTCATGAAAAACTGTTGAATTAGATGAAAACTGTGCCTCCTTTGACCACCAGTTTTACCACTACATTAAGTAACCTAGAGGGAAAACGAAGTTACTTTTTTCTGTGGTAAAAATTGAGTAATGAATCAATTGAAAGAATGATTGGTAAAAGTAATCAATGAAGAAACATGATGACCAAGTGAATAATGAATTTACAATATGAAGACAGAGATGTCTGCTTTTCCAGTGATGATGTTCATGAAAATATAAAACTGCAAAATGAAAGGAGCCTGTTAAAAACCCTTTTGTGGCCAGGCACGGTGGCTCACACCTGTAATTCCAGCACTTTGGGAGGCCGAGGTGGGCAGATCAAGAGGTCATGAGATCGAGACCATCCTGGCCAACATGGTGAAACCCCGTCTCTACTAAAAATACAAAAATTAGCTGGGCATGGTGGCACGTGCCTGTAGTCCCAGCTATTCGGGAGGCTGAGGCAGGAGAATCGCTTGAACCTGGAAGGCAGAGGTTGCAGTGAGCTGGGACCGTGCCACCGCACTCCAGCCTGGGTGACAGAGCGAGACTCCGTCTCAAAACAAAACAAAACAAAACAAAAAAACCCTTTTGTGTTATATTAAGGGAGGAGAAAGACCGAAGAGTAACTTGTCTAAAGAAATAAAGATAACCAGAGGCAGAGCTGTTACTAGAATTCAGATGTCTGATTTCAAGTAATAACAAAGCCCTATGGTTTTAAACCACTATTGCAGAAAAATTAGAGGAAATAAAAAATAATTGCCCTTTTTCCATCAGCTGTTGAGAGTATATTAGTGAATGACCTTTGGCTATGTATATTTGTACAGAACGAACTCTCCCTGTGCTTGTGGAGTGTTAAACAAAATTAACACAGGAGAATTCTCAGGGCCTGGATGGAAGGTCGTGTGCAAGGAGGTTTGATGACAGAGAACTTCTATAGGCATTCACAGGCTTCCAGAATTCATCATCAGACACTAAAACTTTGTGGAATAAAAAAGGTGGGTTTTTTTCAGATCTAATCTTTATATTTAATTTTCCCATCTTATAAAATACACATACTATTTTCATAAGAAAAATCACTTTAGTAAATACATAACAGACACTTCTGATGCCTGACAGACAACCTTTAACTGTTTTTAAAAGGATCCACTAAATATATCACTTAGATCTGGCAGTTTGAGAGCTTTTAATGCCTATCCTGAGACAACAGAGTGCCAGCTTGTGTTGGCCAGGCTCAATCACAGATTAAAAAGCTATTTCCCCACAGTACTTTAGTTATGAAATCACCCATAAAAGAATAACTTTCAGACATAATACAAAAATCAATTTAATTAATTATTTCTCTATCTAAGCTAGGTGCATTTTAGGATAACTTGGCATAATTTTATGCTGTGGTAATTAACTTAAAATGAAGCCCTTAAGCCTCCTAATTTTTTTTTCACTACACTAATAAATGGTGAAACCTATGGCCTGTGGTTCAAATTGCCAAAGAACTGTATGTCAGTCACTGCATCACACACAATATTATTACATTTATATCTCAATTATTCAATCCTGAATATTTTCCTGTTTCTTGTGCTGACAGTTAATAAGTTGCCATCACTTGCTTCCAAAGATAACCATAACTTTTCTGTCCTATGTTAACCAGTAAAAGTGACAGCAATCTTCTTCACAGTAAATTTTTACAGAAGTAACTGATGCACTCGTGATTGTTTAAAAGGACTTCCTTCTTAGCATCTGAGGTCATAAAAATGTTTTATTTCATAACCTAATAAAATGATAACCAAGCTTTGCAACTATTTTGCAAAATTGTTCACCTGTATTTGTGCACATACACTTTTCAAATTATACAGAGAAAATAGCATCCCCATTTGATAAATGAAGAATAAGCCCATGGTTAATTAATAACTAATGAAATCACGTCTACTTCCAGTTCAATACGATGCTTCCACCTAAGAAACCCGTCAACGCAGTCAACCATTCTTCCACACGCTGGCAAACAGTTCAACATACACCTCTGGACACCATGTTGCTCAAGTTGAGAGGTGAGCAAAACAGGGTCACATCATAAATATGTATTCTTCGATGGCGAATGTTCTTCCATGTCCACATTCCAAATGTCATTACAATTATTCTAGTAACTAGAAACATCCCACTCCCAGAAATGACTGCTAATCCTGTGGGCAGCTAACCCATCATCTTAAGCAACAATGGAGCACAATATTAATCACAGAGCCAGAATCCAAACGGCCTCTCCCAGTGCAAGGAACATTCACTGCAGGAAAGTGGGCTGTGCCCTGGAGACACAAGTATCAGGAGCAGTTATTAGAAAATCATGGCCCCTGAAGTTCAGAAAACCAATGAAATATTATCCCGCTGACAAGTGAGGTGGCCCATCTGCCTAAGTCTCGTTTATATACATATATCTATTTTCCTTCCTTTAATAACTACATCCTATCAAGTAAAGTGCCTAATGCACTAGGGCCACAGTTCCAAAAACTTATTACCAGAATGCAAGATACTAATTCTTATATATATATTATATATAAGAATATATCTATATTAGTTATATAAATATGTGATATACATATTAGATATATCTAAATATATATTATATATTAGAATATATATGTGATATATAAGTGTGTGTATATATAATTGATATATAAAAATATATTAGAATGATTTAGGAAAACAAGGCTTATTATTTACATTTTAGCAATATTAATGGATCTGAGAAGTTCTACATAAAGAAATATGCAGGTTTTGTTCAGCCCAGTGTTTTCCCCACAGTTGTATACAAAGCACTTTTAGAATTGCAAGTCAGGGCCACATTGTATGAGAAGGTGAATGTGATGCTACAGAAAACTCTTATGGATGAGTCAGGGATCTTGGGTTCTGTTTTCAGGCCTGCCCTAACCTAAGCGTGGGCTTCAGTTTACAACTTGCTTGAGGTTCCCTCTACCTCTATAATTCATTTCTTTATAAGTGATTATATCACAAAAGAAATTGTACATATAAAGTTCTCACAAAGCTTTAAACATAAAGCTTAAGAACACAATAATTCTGCCCCTTAAAAATTATTCAAAGCATTAATTTGCTGCTCATTCATTCTGTAAACTGTGCTTGTCAATTTCTTTCCCCTAGAAGATATCATGTGGACAAGCATATCATGGTTTCAATGTGGTCCCGTTAAGGTAAAATACACCACTTGTAGAATTCACTGCATTTTTAAAACTTATATAGTCCAATCATTTTGAATTTCAAAAAAGCGCCTAAACAGCCTCTCATTTCTCTAGGACATTACAAGGACAATTAAAAGGAATTTACTACAAGATCTGGGTGACTAAAACTCCCGTTACAAAAGATGAGCTCAGGGGTGTGTGGAGAAGAGAAATCCAGCAGGCTGAGCTAAGCAGCCCTGCCTAAGCCACAGTGTGGAGGCAGAGCACTACTTTCTCACCAGCAACCTCTGCTATATCTCTGGACCTTAATGTCCAGGAACTGAGAGTTCATCTCTCCCAGTCCCAGTAACAAACAGGTCATTATAAGAGAAGAGGCAGAAGTATCTCCACAAAATTCTGGAAATTTAAAAGCGTGCTTTTAGTTCAAATATGATAAACATAAACAGGCCTTAAAATATACAGATTGAACTCTGTCACACTACCATTTGTTGACACTGTATGCTACAAATCTGAATTTAGAAAAGTACCTCTTTTGATTTTTCCTCTTTGGTAAATCTTCCAAGTTTTTCAATCATTTCCGCCACAAATATAACATCCATTTTGTCAGAAAAGTTGGCTGCTTCCACAGTGTAAGCCAGTAACTGTAGAGCTGTTGCCACGGCATTGGTAAGATTGAGGGGCATCTGATTAAACATATAAAGAACTCTAGTGACATCATTTGCATACTGACAGCGAGAATAATCATCATCTGCCCAAAAGCCGCCTCTATCACATCTGCGCCAAGCTTTTCTCTCATCCTGTGGGTTTCCGGGATATATCCCACTGCCATGGGTGTTCTGCGTACACTGCAGATACGCAGTAATGCCCGCCAATGTTCTGGGCCATCTGAAATCACCTTTGTTGTTTACCACCCTCTCTGGAGGACAGTACTGTGCAGAACTCTCTAATACCACAATATCCACAGTCCTCGTATTATTCCCACGTTTGGTCTGGACATGACAGCCCTAATTTCCAGTAGATCCAGCCTGATTATTAGAAACGGTTAGGGCACTTGCAATCAAGGAGCAGTTGTGAATCACGTTCTTTTCAACAAAAATACCTTGCGATTCATCGGTTTCAACTATTCTCCCATCCTGATACCACAACACTTGCATGTCCTGATCAATATATGAAGCCATGCACTGGAAAGGAAGGCTGTCTCCTTCAAACACAACTTGGCGATGAGATGGAGTCATGTAGAAAGACGGCAATTCAAGCGGAGGGTCGCATGTCAACAGCTCCTGCTTCACGCCTGTGACTGGTTGGGCCTGCAGTGACTTAGGATAAACACACCTGGTATCCTGTACCGTGATGTTCCTCTCCTTTACC
Organism: Homo sapiens; assembly: GCF_000001405.40. NCBI lineage: Eukaryota > Metazoa > Chordata > Mammalia > Primates > Hominidae > Homo > Homo sapiens. The sequence goes on from NC_000018.10 coordinate 12,076,047, forward strand.
CAGCGATGCATCCACAGTAGGTTACAGTCACACAAAAGATACTCAGTCTGGAATTCCAAAGACCGTAATGAGGAAAGATAATCAAAAGTTCCTTGAGGTAATGAAGAAAACAAATTCCCCGAAAGGTTTAGCCGAGCCAGATTGGTGAGTCCTCGAAATATGTTTGCATTCAGACATCCTATTCGATTGTTTGTCAGATCCAACCTTTTTAGAGATGACAGTCCCCAAAAGGCACCTGGATCTATACGACTAATAAGATTGTTTCGGAGGTCCAATCTTTCAAGGAGAGTTAACCCAGAAAATGAGCCATTCTGCAGCTCGGATATCTTATTGTTACTCAGAATCAGGGTGACCGTGCGGTTGGGCAGAGTATCTGGGGGCAGGACCTGCGCGAGCTCCAGGATGCTGCACACCACCTTGCCCTCGGCGGCGCCCGCCGCCCTGCCAGCCCCTCGGGGACGCCCATCGTGCTTGCAGCAGGCGGGCAGTGCCGCGGCGCCGCCGCCGCCGCCGCCGCAGCCTCCCAGCAGCGCGAGCAGCGCTAACAGCGAGAGCGGCAGCAGCAGCGGCGGCTGCGCGCGGCCCCGCCGGCGTCCGGGCGGCTCCATGCTGCCGGCCGGGGCCTGCTGGGCGAGCGGCGGCGCACTGGCCTAGCGGGCCGCCCCAGAGCCCGGGCGAGCAGGAGCGCGGATCGGGCCCAGTGGCGCCCGGAGCCTCATGGCGGCCGGAGGACCGGCCCTCCCCGGCGCCGACGTGCTCCTTTGTCCTCTGCGGCTGCTCTGGGCCTGGAGGGAGCCAGGGGTCCAGTTTTTTTTTTTTTTTTTAATTATAACCAGATGGTAGAAGGAAGAAGACGCATGATAGGGAGGAGAATAAAAACAGGAATATGGAGAAGGAAGGGGAGACTAGAACACAGTCCCCAAGATAAGACAATACAATGAATAAATAAGAACATTGGCTCTGGGGTCCCTAATCTCTAACTCTTGGTTTCCTCACCTGAAAAGGGGATGTAGTAATAGTACTAATTTCACAGAGTATTTGAGAAGCTTAAGTTAGCTAATATATAGGAAGCTAGCACCTACTTGGTAAGGGATTAATAACCGTAAACTATTTCATTGCTATGTTAATTTGGGGGAAATGCCACTCTTGATTTAAAATAGGACTAAAGATGGCTAGAAATTGTTTGTTTGTTTGTTTGTTTGTTTGTTTTGAGACGGAGTCTCACTCTGTCGCCCAGGCTGGAGCACAGTGGCGCAATCTCGGCTCACTGCAAGCTCCGCCTCCCGGGTTCACACCATTCTCCTGCCTCAGCCTCCCGAGTAGCTGGGACTACAGGCGCCCGCCACCACGCCTGAATAATTTTTTGTATTTTTAGTAGAGACGGGGTTTCACCTTGTTAGCCAGGATGGTCTCAATCTCCTGACCTTGTGATCCGCCCGCCTCGGCCTCCCAAAGTGCTGGGAGCACAGGCGTGAGCCACCGCGCCCGGCCTAGAAATTGTTAAACATGCTTTCCTCACAACCTAAAATTTGGATGCTCAAGGAATTGTTCTTATTTTCATTGTCTATCTTGAGTGCTCTTTGAGATACAGGTATCAGAGCCCCGACTTAAAATGAGAATAGGTGACCCAGGTTATTTTTTCTTCCCTGTAACTGGGAAGTGAGGGAAGGCGAGGGCATCCTGATGGAGTGCACAGAGGCAGATGGGGATGCCATGAGGGGTCAGCCTCCTCTCTCCATCCCTGCTTCCCTCTGCACACGTGACCCATTCTTCCCTCTTACACACAGGCTGTTGCATGTGGCAGCAAACTTGGTCATGGGTGAGCCTGGCTTTCTGGCAGCTGAGGAGAGAGAGCTTCCTACCAGATAGGTGCAGAAACTGGCAGAGGTTCCATCTTGACCCCATGTAGCTAATTGTGGTGCAGCAATGTTATTAGAGAGGAGGGAAAATGGAAGCCACAGAGGTTGATAGGTAGATAGGGTGGAAGAGGGAGGGTGAGAGGAGAATGGACAGGCAGAGCTGGATTCATTCGTAAAGGAGCGATGGCTGGTTTACTTATTCAGGAGGAAACATCCTACCTGAAAGGAGCTTAAAGGCTGGTTTGTCACCCTGGACACACGTGGTAGACACTGGGACCTGCTCTGCAGCTGAATGCAATTTAGTCCAAGGTTTGTTTACCGTGTCTGGACTCTGCCATCTTCCACTCTGCATTTCAATTCTGTTGACTGGATACTGGATCTGCAAAGGACAGTTTCTGAAAGTGAAGAATCACAGTTCATTATTTCTAACTATTTCATCTAAGATTTGAAAGGAAAAAATCCCTTCTATGAATTACAGTTGGCCCTCCGTATCCATGAGTTCTGCACCCACAAATTCAACTGACCTCAGATCAAAATTATTTGAAAAAGCGTATTTGAAAAAAATACAACAATAAAAACACTACAAATGTAAAAAAAGTACAATATAACAACTATTTACATAACATTTATATATATTACTATGTATTATAATTAATCTACAGATGATTTGAAGTATGCAGGGGATGCTAGGTTATATACAAATTCTACACTGTTTTAGATCAGGGATGTGAACACTTGCAGATTTTGGGGTCCACAGGGGTCCTGGAATTAATTCCCTGTGGATACTGAGAGATGACTGGACATCCATTCTGCATGCTATATATTTTCCTTTTAATTATTATTGCTGTTTCGGTTTCCCTGAAAAATACAACATGTTTTAAACTTCTCTATATTATAAATCTCATTTAAAAAGTGTTGAATCAATGAAGTCTGCCAGCTACTTCTTTCCCCTTGTTGGACTGCTTTGGCGAAAGTGAATAGTATTACCTTACCATGTAAAGCATGGTTAATGGCTTTAAAAGAATTCCCTGGCAACTGAATAATGGGCTGCCAGAAATATTCGTGGTGCCAAAGGATCTGGACATGTCTGTTCCATTTATTGTGTGTTTCTTGTTTCATCATGATTAAGTGCTCACAAAAGGCATAAAAATCCAAACCTCTAGGGTATGTGGAGTTTGAGGGCAGAAACCATATTTTAATATATCTAGTCTCATACCTAGCATGTTAAGATGGTTAGGAAAGTATCAATGGCAAAAAATGATGAGCCTGTGGTATGTCAGACACTGAAATTATTAAGTTGATTTCTGGTGAATAGAAAGAAGTCGTTCTGCCACTGCTGTTGTGCCTGGTTGAGTGGCCTAATGTTTATTCTCAGGAGTACTGAGTGTCTTGCATCGAAACCTTTTGACTTGTCCTGCCTGTTTAAATAAGTTTACATTTCACAGAAATAGGAAGGTGGGGCTTATTTTTAAATTAAAACTCCCTGTTAAAAAAGCCTGACAATGTAGTATAGCAAAATCATTTAAATTAAAAAATTTACCTGAATAATAAATGGAACCTATTAAGAAAAAAATTGAACCTATTAAAAACAAAAAATAGGAATAATACTGAAAATATCTTAGAAAACAATGGAAATGCAGAAAAATGTAAAAGGTGCTTTGTTTCTTCCATGAAGCAAGAGAAGTCAAGGCGAGCAGCATCTCAACCTCCTCACCGTCCAATCCTTCCCTCTGGGGACCCTCCACACTTGGCCTGTGCTTGGCCATCTGGTTCTCATTTTGGCAGGAGACTCTCATCTCTCCCACCTTGTAGTCTAGGCAGGCAGTTGTCATTGGCCTTGAACACATTGTGGCTTCCGCAGGTTATGTATTCTCTGCCAGTCTCTTAATTGCTAGGATCTCAGGGGCAGAATAATTGTCTGAGAATTACACATCGTACACATGTATCAAAATATCACACTGTTCCCATAAATATGTGCAATTATTATGTGTCAATTAAAAATAACAATATTTTTAAAAAGAATTCCTGAAAAAGGGATTCTTAATTGTTTTGCATGTGACTCACAGGTCAGAAGACATTCACATGGGACCCACTCCCCTGGGCCAGGGGCCAAGAGAAATTCCTGGGCTGGTTAGCTCAAACTCTGTGTTTTTTTTTTTTACTCCTACTCAGCAAAACACATTGGAATTCAGCCGGAGAAGAGTGACTTCATGTGAGAATATAAGCCTGAATCTGCTTTAAATGTGTTTGTGTGTCTAATCCACATCCGAAATTTAGTCCTTTATTATTTATCAAAATTATTTAAAACACTCCATCATGACCAACTAGTATGAACCCAGGTCCCCTGGCAAAACCCCATGATCATGATCTCCTGGGACTAGTTCAGTCCTTAGAGAAGGCCAGAGAGTTGGCCCTGGGGCCTCCTACTCCTCTTGAGGAAGCCTAATGTCTAGGAGACACTGGCCATCCGAAGATGAAGCCTTTGAGGCAGAGTTCTCAAGAAATAAACCTAAGCACCGTACGAGTTTAATTTGACTTTAGGAAAAGAAGCCAGGTAGCTTTTCAGCTGCCTTTTAGCTGGGGACTCAGTGCTGAACCCACCGTTTCCTATTGACAGAAGTAACTCTATCAGAAAGGCAGTAATTATCAATAACTACCTGCTGTGATTATCAAGCAACTAGTGCACAACACAATTTATGAATTTAGGGGTAGATGGGTATTTACCTGCAATAGTTACTGAAATCAAAATATGTTTACCATTGACTAAGCATCAGGAAAATGTAAACAAATGGCACGGGTTAGCACAAATCCTTACTTTTGGTAAATGCCGAATTTTTATTAAAAAGGTTTTCCTAAAATTTAGCACTTTTCCTTATATCAGGTACTCAGAAAATTATTATATGCCTGTGACGTAGGGAAGAAATATTACATAGAAAAATTGTATAACATCTTTTTTATACCCAGCTGTCCTTCTCTTATGGATTTGGATATACTGTTCTTGATATCAGTTGGAACAGCATTTTTGTGTTCTTCTGATTTAACATGTTTAGCTTAAAAAAAAAGGAAATGTGAATTCTGTGGTCAACACTGGTAAGATAAAGGCATGGTGGGTGATGTGTTGGAACTTCAGTGTCACCTGGCTTTCCAGATTGCTCCACAAAATTACAAGTTGAATTTTAGAACGTACAGCTGTTTGATTATGTTTAACAGGAGAGTTCCACCATATTTTGCTGAGCAGGACACACTTAGATTTTTAGAGAATTATTGGCGTGGCCTAATGCTTTACCAGAGGGGTTGGCATGGAGAGTTCTGTCACATGCAGATTTTGTTGTTGTTGTTGTTGTTTTGTTTTGTTTTGTTTTTTCAAGATGGAGTTTTGCTCTTGTCGCCCAGGCTGGAGTGCAATGGCGCGATCTTGACTCACTGCAACCTCTGCCTCCGTGTTCAAGTGATTCTCCTGCCTCAGTCTTCTGAGTAGCTGGGATTACAGGTGCCCACCACCATGCCCGGCTAATTTTTGTATTTTTAGTTGAGAAAGGGTTTCGCCATGTTGGCCAGGCTGGTCTCGAACTCCTGACCTCAGGTGATCTGCCTGCCTTGGCCTCCCGGAGTGCTGGGATTACAGACGTTAGCCATTGCGGCTGGCCACATTGCAGGTTATATGCACTTAAATCCCTATGTGGACTCGACTTCTGTATATGCGGACTTTTTATTAAATTTTCTGTACTCTACAAAGGCCATCTGGGACTGGAGGTGGGGAGTAATGCATTTGAAGAAAAACCAGTCATCCTACCTAAACATAAAACCAAATATCTAGCGTGTGTGGAAAAGCCGAACAAAACTATCTGAGTCCTTGATGTGCCCTGATTATGTCTCTCCCTTCCATTACAGGCTCAACATGGGAAAAGACATTCCGGCAGATCGGCTTTGAAAGGTAAGCAAGGGTTGGCATGTCTCCATTTTAGTTACTCTTGTCTTTTAAGTAATTTCTTCTAAGTAATTTATTGATTATAAATCAATAGTCCTGTCACCACCATTTTGGTAACTGTATGACCTTGATCAAGTCATCATTTTGCCCCTCCGAGCCTCAGTTTCTTTGTAGAGCATTACTTCATAAAGCCTTGCCTGCACACAGAGTGGAAATAAAGATGGAATGGGGCAATTGATGTGAAAACACCTCTTGAACTGTAAAACAGTACACAAAGTAAGTTACAGAATTAGAGAATCCCAGGAAATGGTTGACTCTCCCCTAGCTTCATCACCTCCTATGTCATAATCAATTCTACAGTTTTAGTACAGAAAAGTTTATATTTGTATTGATGTCTTCCCAATTATTAAAATTGTTAGATCTTTTTAGCTTTAAGTGAAAATCTAAGATGATGTTTTTCTTAGCTAAAAGCATCTCCACACCAGCATCTCCCCAAAAGAAACAAAAATAGACTCATTATAACATCAGAAAATGTGCTGGTAGGTCCATGCAGTTTCTTTTCTTTTTTCTCTCTTTCCTTTCCTTTCCTTTTCTTTCTTTCTCTTTTCTCCTTCCTTCCTTCTTTCTTTTCTTTTCTTTTTTTGAGACAGGGACTTGCTCTGTCACCCAGGCTGGAGTGCACTGGCATGATCTCGGCTCACTGCAACCTCTGCCTCCTGGGTTCAAGTGATTCTCTTGCCTCAGCCTCCCAAGTAGCTGGGATCTCAGGCACCCGTCACCACACCCCGCTAATTTTTGTATTTTTAGTAGAGATGGGGTTTCACTATGTTGGCCAGACTGGTCTTGTACTCCTGACCTCAGATGATCTGCCCACCTCGGCCTCACAAAGTGTTGGGATTACGGGCGTGAGCCACTGCACCTGGCCGGTCAATGCAGTTTCTAAACCACCTACCCTTGGAATTGAAGCGCAGAATTTTGCACAGCTTTCTACCTGTGACATTTAGCATCTTATCTCAAACTTTCAATGGAAATAAGGCTATTGAAAGAAAAAAAGTCATTTTAATTTTATTTTACTCTCACAGTAGGTTTTGACTAGTTCTTTTTATCATAGTGAAAATGTGTTTTTCTCTGTATTGATCAAGCTGACAGAGCACTTAAAGGATATAAAGGAAATAATAAAATACTTGAAAATGCATTATTTCTATTGTAGCAATAGAGAATAGCACATCACCAGACCCACTGTGGTAGCACTTTCTTTGCCATTTGTTACATGATTCAAGGATGATTTATTCCTCTACCTACACTTCCAGTCACATCAGCACCATCGCTGTTTGCTGTCTCAGTAAGTGCTCATCATTCTTAAGGTATTGCGGGAAGTTGATTTGGGATGGTCAAATCCCACAGGCCAACTTAAAGAATGGAAAGTCATGCACAGCTTCAGTTCCGTGTGAAATCTTTTTCTAAAGCATCTTTCCCTTGATCCTTCTTTCATATTATCAAACATCTCAAACATACACAAAAATAGAGATAATAGCAGAAAAAGGTCACTCATCCACTCCCCAGCTCCAATAAATCTTTGCCACACTTACTTTATGTATTTATTTTGGCTGAAACATTTTAAAGAAGATCTCAGATACTATGTCATTTCATCCCTACGTAGGTCAGCTTCATCACCTCATATGTCATAATCAATTCTACAGTTTTAGTTCAGCCATTTCTGGGGTTAAACAGATTTCAGCTAAATTTCAACAGAAGATCATCTTAATATTGGCAAAGTAAAATGTCACTATTGGTTAATTGGGGGCCCTATCTGGGGCTGCACTTCCCTCGGCGGGGAGCGGGTTGGGGGCACTATCCCAGACTGTATTGCCGGCAGCAGTGAGGAGGGTTAAGGGTACTATCCAGGGCTGCACTGCCCACGGGGGCGGGTGGGATGTTTCGGGTTGAGGGCGCTATGGGGTGCGGGGAGGGGGACGGTTTGGTGTGTGCTTTAGCTAGGATTTTGCTTCAGCTAGGATTTCCAGTACTATGTTAAGTAACAGTGGTGACAGTGGGCATCCTTATCATGTTCCAGATCTTAGAGGAAGAGCTTTCCATATATCCCCATCCCATGTGATTCTAGCTGTGGGTCTCTCTCGTGTGGTTTTTATTATGGTGAGGTATGTTTCTTCTGTATCCAGATTTTTGATGATTTATTTATAGCATGAAGGGATGCTGAATTTCATCAGATGCTTTTTCAGTTTCAATTGACACGATTGTACCGTTTTTGTCCTTTATTCGGTTGATATGGTGTATCCCTCTGATTTTGTGTTGAATGGCCCTTGCATCTCAGGGATACATCCCACTTGGTCATGATGAATTATCTTTTTAATGTATTGTTGAATTTGATTTGCTGGCATTTTGTTGAGGATTTTTGTATCAATATTAGAGATACTGGCCTGTAGTTTCCTTGTTTGATGTCTTTGTCTGATTTTGGTATTATGGTAATAATGGCCTCATAGAATAAGTTTGGAAGTATTCCCTCCTGTTTTTCAAAATAGTTTTGAGTAGTATTGGTACTAGGTCTGCCCTCCTGTTTTTCAAAATAGCTTTGAGTAGGATCGGTACTAGGTCTGTGAATGTGTGGTGTGAAGCCATCAGCAGTGAAGCCATCGGTTCCTGGGCTTTTCTTTACTGGGAGACTTTTTCTGATGGCTTCAATCTCATTATTTGTTACCGATCTGTTCAGGTCTTCGATGTTTTCATGGTTCAACCTAGGTAGATTGTATGCGTCTAGGAATTTGTCAGTTTCTACTAGGCTTTTTAATTAATTGGCCTATTAAATAGGCAGTTATGATCCTTTGCATTTCTGAAGCATCAGTTGTAATGTCTCCTTTTTTTATCTCTTGATTTTATTTATTTGAATCTTCTCTTTTTCTTAGTTAGCCTGACTAAAAGTTTGTCAATTTTGTTTAACTTTCCAGAAAGCCAACTTTTTGTTTAGTCTTGTGTTTTTTTATTTCAATTTTATTTTTGCTACAATCTTTATTATTTATGTTGGGTTTAGTTTGTTCTTTACTAGTTGTTTAAGGTGTATTGTTTATTTGAAGTTTTTCTTCTGTTTGGATGGTAGGCACTTATAGCTATACATTTCTGCCTTTCTACTGCTTTTTGTGTGTCATAAGTTTTGGTATATTGTGTTTTCATTACCATTTGTTTCAAGAAATTTTTCAATTGCCATCTTAGTATCTTCATTGACCCACTAGTCATTCATTCACGAATGGATTGTTTAACTTCCATGTGATTGTATGGTTTCCAAAATCACTCTCTTACTTATATCTAGTTTTATTCCTTTGTAGTCAAAGAAGATGGCCATGGAGACAGCAGCGTGGTTGAAGTGGTAGGAGGCGGCCGTCAGCAAGAGCTGCTCTGTGCCTGGCAGCTGGAGGCTAGAGCCTGTGGCGCAGCGGCTCGCCTCACTGTGGTTGGTGGTGGCGGCGACAGAGACTGCAGCACTACCAGAGTGGTACGACAGGGGCTATCTGGGGCTGGACTTCTCACAGTGGGGGGTGCGTTGGGGGTACTCTCAGAGGTGTCACTGCCTGCGTTGGGTGTACCTGTTGGTAGCACTATATGGGGCTGTGCTGCCCATGGCGGGGAGTGGGTTATGGGTGCTCTCTGGGGCTGCAGTGCCCGTGGAGGAGGACAGGTTAGGGGCACTAATCAGGTACTATGCTGCTGGCGGCTTTGTTGGGGGTGGAAGTGGGGGGCGCTATTGAGGCAGGACTAGCCATGGAGGGGGGCTAGTTGGGTGCTGTTGGGGGCTGCACTGCTGGCGGTGGTTGGTAGAGGTGGCAGCGACAGTGGTGGCATCCAAGGAAGGAGCAATTCTCCTCTCCCTGGACTCCACACTCCAGAGGGCGACCTCCTGTTGCTCATACTGGAGTGTGGCAGGTGCACAGTGTTTCCGTGGGAATCCTAAGCATGGCAGAGCCCACACCTGCCATGGTTACTGGGCCTGTGCATTCTGGGTCTGTGCCACAGAGCCTGCCTGGCACCTCTGGGTATGGAGTAGTGGACACCACAGGGAACAGGGCCCTGTGCGTGGAGGCGTCCAGAATGGGAATTGGCACCTGGATGCAGAGGGTTGGCTTGATCTCTGAGTTTCTGCTGCTCCTGCTCAACAAGGAGTGCAGCCCCGGTGGGCCCAGCGGCTCCTGTGGAGTGGGGAGCTGGGATCTGTGGTGTCTCCAGCACCCACCTTAGGCCCCAGTTCCTGGCTAGCTTGGGCCAAAAGGAGAGGCTGGACTTTGGAGGCTGGGTGTGAGTGCCTTTGCTGAAACTGGCCTCTGCCACCCAGTGGCTCACATGACAAGGTGAGGCTCTGACGCTACCACCCTTTGCATCTTCCTCTAGGCTCTTCTGGCTTTGTCTGCCCAGCTGCTCCATGCCAGGAGGAGGAGGAGACACCTGCCATACACTGAAGGTTGCAACACTGCAGCTCGCCTCACTGAAGCATGCCAGAGAGGTAGGAGGGTGGCAACACTAGGAAGGCAGGTGGCAGCAGCCAGGGTGGGGGCAGGCCTATGGCAGTGGTGGAGCTGCGGCAGTGGCCAGGTGGCAGGAGCCTTGTAGGGAGGGCCGGTGCATTGGCATTCAGCCTGGCCCCGCCCTGTCCTGGACTGCCCTACTGTTACCTGGCTGTCTTGGCCCTGCCCTACCCTGCCCTGGCCCCACCCTGGCCCTGTCTTAGCCCTGTGTTATTGTGTCCCTGCCCTGGCCCTGCCCTTGCACTGGCCCTTCCCTGGCTCAGGCTGTGGCCCTGCGTCTGCCCTGGACCTTCCCTGAATCTGTGCTGGCCCGGCCTTGGCTCTGATCTGCTCCTTGTGCTGACCCTGGGCCTGCCATGGCCCTGGCCCTGCCAAAGGTCATGGTCCTGGTCCTGTTCTGGCCCTGACCTGGACTTGGACATGTCCTGGCCCTGATTTGTCCCAGCCCTGCCTTGGCCCGTCCCTGCCCTGGCCCCACCATGTCCCTGCCTGTTCTGCCCTCTGCCGGCAATGACCTCGCCCTGCCATGGCCCAGTTGTGCCATTGCCCTGCCTTACCCTGCCCTGGTTGTCCCCTGGCCCCTCCTGGCACTGGCCGCTCCATGGGCCTGCCCTGACTCTGCCGTGGCTTTTGCCCGGCCCTCACTATGGCCTGGTTCTGGCCCTGTCCTGGCCCCGCCCAGGCCCTGGCCCTGACCCTGGTCCTTCCATATCCCTGGCCCTGACCGTTATCCAGGCCCTGTCCCTGCTGCTGCCATATCCCTGGCCTGGGACCTGGCCCTGCCAGGGACGTGCCCTGACTCTGCCATGGCTCTGGCCCTACTCCGCCTTAGTCCTGGTCCCGACCTAGACCCTTTCCTGGCTCTGCCCTGGCCATGGTCGAAATGTCCTGGTCCTGAGCTGGCACTGGTCGGTCCCTGGTCTTGGCACCACACGCTCTGCCGTGCTCTGGCTGTGTCATCACCCTGCCCTGGACCTGCCCTTGTCCTACTCTGGTTTGACCCTGCCATGGACCTACCTTGGCCCTCACGCTAGCCTTGGCTAGGCCGTGCTCTGGACCTGGCCGTAGCCCAGACCTGGTTCTGGCCCTGGCCCTTGCCCTGGCCTTTGTCCTGCCATAGCCCTGGCCCTGGCCCTGAACTGGACTTGGAGATGTCCTGGCCCTGAAGTGACCTGGCCCTGCCTTGGCCTATCCCTGCCCTGCCCCTACCATCACCTTGCCCTGTTCTGCCCTGTCCCGGCAGTGACCCAGCCTTGCCATTGCCCTGCCCTACCCTGACTTGGCTGTTCCCTGGCTTGGCTCTGGACCTGGCTGTGCCCTGGACATCCTCGGACACTGCCTCAGCCCTGGCACTAGCCTGGCCCTGCCTTGGCATCATGGGCCCTGCCCTGTCTATGGACCAGCTCTGGTCCTGTCCTGCACTGGCCATACCACGCCCTTCCCTGCCCTGACTCAGCCCTGGCCTTGGCCTTACCCCTGGTCCTGCCATATTTCTCATCCTGTCCCTACCCTGGCCTTGGCCCTGACCCTTACCCTGCTCTGGCCCTGCCCTTGTTCTGGCCCTACCCTTGCCCTACCCCAGACCCTGCTCCTGTCCTGGCCCTGGCCCTTCCCTGCTTGAAACCTTACCCTGGTTCTGCCCTGGCCCTGACCCTGAAATGCCTGGCCCCACCCTGGCCTTGCACTGCTTGGCCCTTCCCCTGATTCTGGCCCTGTCACCGTCCTAGCCCCAGCCCTGTCACTGGTCTTGCCGTGGCCCAGACCCTTCCTTGGCCCTGCCCTGCCCCTGTTCTGGACCCTGGTTGTACCATGAACCTGCACTGTCCTTGCCCGTGTTTTGCTCCTGCCCCAAACCTGGTCCTGCCCCTGCCATGGTGATGGTCCTGGCTCTGCCCTGGCCATTCCCTGGCCCTGCCCTGGTATTGGCAATGTCCTGGCCCTGCCCTGGCTCCTAACTGCCCTGGCTTTTTCTTGGCCCTGTGCTACCTTGGCTCTGCCATGCCGTGGCCCTGCCTCTGCCTTGGCTCTGCTCTGGGCAAGGCCTTGGCCTTCAGCCTGGCCCTGCCCTGGACCTGCCCTACCATTACCTGGCCTGTCCCGGTCCTGCCCTGCCCTGGCCAGGACCTTCCCTGAACCTGCACTGGCCCTGCCTTGGCTCTGGCCCTGTCTCTTGTCGTGACCCTGGTCCTGCCAATGGTCACGGTCCTGGTCCTGTTCTGGCCCTGAGCTGGCCTTGGACATGTCCTCGCCCTGATTTGTCCTGGCCCTGCTTTGGCTCTTTCCTGCCCTGGCCACACCATGGCCCTGCCTGTTCTGTCCTCTCCTGGCGCTGACCTCACCCTGCCATGGCCCATTGGTACTGTTGCCCTGCCTTACCCTGCCCTGGTTGTGCCCTGGCCCTGCCTGGCGCTGGCCCCTCCCTGGACCTGCCCTGACCCTGCCTTGGCTTTTGCCCTGCCCTCACTATGGCCTGGTTCTGGCCCTGTCAAGTACCTGCCCTGACTCTGCCATGGCCCTGGCCCTGGCCCTGCTCTGCTGTGGTTCTGGCCCTGACCCAGACCCTTTCTTGGCTCTGTCCTGGCCCTGGCCTTTTCCTGGCCCTGAGCTGGCACTGGTCGGCCCCTGGTTTTGGCACCACATGCCCTGCCGTGCTCTGGCTGTGTCATCACCCTGCCCTGGCCCTGTCCTTGCCCTACTCTGGCTTTGACCCTGCCCTGGCCCTACCTTAGCCCTCACCCTAGTCTTGTCTTGGGCCTGGACATAGCACAGACCTGGCTGTGGCCCTGGCCCTACCATGGCCCTGTCCCAGACCCTGGCCCTGCCAGGTACCTGTCCTGGCCCCGCCCTTGCCCTTCCCCTTTTCCTGGCACTGGCCTTGGACATGACCGTGGTCCTAACCCTGGCCCTGCCCTGGAGCTGCCACTGTCTTGGCCCTGCCCTGGCCCTACATCTACCCTGCTTCTGGCCCTGGCCCTGCCCCAGCCATAGACCTGCCCTGGTTGGCCCTGCCCTGCCTTCGCCCTGTGCTACTCTAGGCCTGCTGTACCCTCCTCTGCCCTGAGTTTGGCCCTGCCCTGACCTTGCCTTGGCCCTCACACTGGCCCTAGCACAGACCTGGCCCTAGCCCTGGCCTTGGCCTGGCATTGACCCCTGTTCCTGACCTTGGTCCTGCCATGGCCCTGGCCCTGGCCCTGAACTGGTTCTACCCTAACCCTGACAGATTACATTAGAATATTATTTAAAATTTTTATTTTAGATTTTTAAGATAACTATAGTAGTAATAATACATCATATGCTATTTATAATAGTAATAGTATTTGTAGTAGTTAATAATCGCTAAAATTTTAACCAGTACTTTCTTTGCTCCTGGTACTGTTCTAAGAGTATAGCTGTATAAATTTGTATATATGTGAGGCATTAATTCTCACAATAACTCTATAGGCTGGGTACTTACAGCATCCCCACTTCCAAATGTAAGAAACAGTCATAAAGAGGTTAAATACTTGGCCTGGCGCAGTGGCTCACACCTGTAATCCCAGCACTTTGGGAGGCCAAGGCTGTCGCATCTCTTGAGCTCAGGAGTTCGGGACCAGCCTGGGCAACATTGTGAAACCCTGTCTCTACTAAAAATGCACAAAAATAGGTGATTGATTTGTTTACGTTCCTTATAGGATTCTGGTTATAAAACATTGGTCAGATACACAGTTTGCACACACTTTCTTCCATTCTGTAGCTTGTCTGTTCAGTTGTTTGGTGATGGCTTTTGCTCTGAGTCAGCTCTTCCAGAAGTTTATTAGATTCCACTTGTTAAGCCCTGTTGTTTTGGCGTTGCTGTTGGGAAACTCAGCCGTATCAATTCTTTGCCCAAGCCCATGTCAAGAAGGGTATTTCTCAGGTTTTCTTGTAGGATTTTTATAGCTCAAGGCCTTCCATTGGCATCCTTCATTTGCCTTGAGTTGATTTTTGTATAGGGTGAAGGTAAGGGCCCAGGGATATTCCTTTGCACGTGGCTGTGCACTTTCCCAGCACCATTGATTCGATAGAGAGTCCTTTCTGCATGGCTTATCTTCCTGGATGTTATCAAAGATCAGGTGGTTTTTGGTGTGTGGGTGTACTTGTGAGTCCTCCTTTCTGTTCCACTGGTCTGTGTGGTGGAAACGGGTCCCTAGCTTTTCCCTGACACTGGAAATCGGGGAGTGTGATGCATGCGATGGAGTCTGGACGTCTTAGGATTGCTTTGGAAATTTAGGAAATTTCATGGTCTCACGTGAGTTTTACCATTGCTTATTCATATTTCTTGAATCGCATTTGCCAAATAGTAAATGATTACACTGTGAGGATAGATTGGGACATGTTGGTCCACGCGTACACTGTGGAATGATGACATCATGCTATTGAGTGTCTCCATGACCTCATACCGCTGTGAAAATCTCTTTGTGGAGGCCGGGCACAGTGGCTCATGCCTGTAATCCCAGCACTTTGGGAGGCCGAGGCAGGCAGATCATGAGGTCAGGAGTTTGAGACCAGCCTGACCAACATGGTGAAACCCCATCTCTACTAAAAATACAAAAATTAGCCAGGTGTGGTGGTGCGTGCCTGTAATCCCAGCTACTCAGGAGGCTGAGGCAGCAGAATTACTTGAACCTGGGAGGCGAAGGTTGTAGTGAGCCAAGATTGGCCACTGCACTCCAGCCTGGGTGACTGAGCAAGACTCCGTCTCAAGAAAAAAAAAGAAAAAGAAAAAGAAAATTTCTTTCTGATGAGAACATTCTGAATCCTCCTTTTCAAGCTTTTTGGAAAGAGGTGCAATGATGCCATGAACTGTCATCACTCTGCTGTGGAACAGAAGAGCGGAATTCCTCCCTGTCATCTGAGTGTTACTTTGTACCTGTTTCTGGTCCCTGTTCAAGTCTTCTCTTCCACCTCCCATCTCTGGTAACCAGAGCTGGGGCTCTGCTCTCCTGCCCGGTGGAGCTTTGACTGATGGAAAGTCTGTCTAGGGACAGGGAGTGGGGTAGAGAAGGAGGCTCCAGGAGGCCCCTGCCCCTGCGCGCAGGCAGAGCAGGCTGTGTTCCAGGAGCCCGGGCTGATTGAGGAACACAGGTGGATTGGCCAGAGCATGAGGGGTTGGGGAAACGCCTGGCTTTTTTTTCCAAAGTTGGGAAGGAGGGGTCCTTCCCTTCCCATTAGAAACCTTTATTTGTCCCAACTGAGGGGTGGGTGTGGGGTGTTAAATTTAAGATTTGAAATAGGTGGGGATGCTGTACAGGGGGGTCCGGGAAGGGGGCTGGGGCCAGGCAGCAGGTCAGTGCACCTGAAGCTGGGGGTGCCCATGGCAGAGGCCTCCTGGTGGCTCAGGGGGTGGGCCAGCTTCTCTGCCTCCTGCTCCACTGATTGGCTCCCGTACCCCCGTCTTCCTTCATCTCTGCTGTGCTGGGCAGCTTGTCTCAGGTCTCTGGACCCCTCAGCAGCCTCACTCCCTCCTCTAGGCCAATGCCAGACAGCGCCTCCAGCAGACCTGCCAAGTCCTCGCCAGCCAGCTCATAGCTGTGCAGGAGGCTGTCACTGGGCGAGGCCGTCTGTTGGTACATGTCCACCAGGCTGCGCAGCCCCAGCCGCTCTGCCAGCTCTGCCCAGCTGCCCTGGGCTTCTGGCCCATCTAGCAGCTGCTCCAGGTTCTGCAGGGCTGTGTCACCAAGTGACAGCCCTGGCCCTGCAGGGCTGGGTGGGGTCAGGGGCAGCTAGCTCCATGGTGTTCAGAGTGGCATTTAGCAGCAAGGTCTTCACCTTGGTGCTGTGGATAAGGTCGAGGCGTGTGGCCCTGGAAGCTGCTTTGGGTGTCCTTCTCAGGCCCCTCTGAGTCCCAGTCGTTATCAGAGGTAGGGGGTGAGGGCAGTGGGCACAGGGGCTCCTCATTCTCAGCATAGATGTCAGCACTAGCCTTCAGAAGGAGGGTGAGGGTTGGGGACTCCAGTCCAGCTGCCAGGTGCAGGGGTGTGTTTCCCACAAAGGTGTGAGCATTCCCATTGGCCCGAAGCTTGGTGACCAGATGGGTGACCAACCCCAGCTCCTCCATCTCTGTGGCTAGATGCAAGGCTGTTTGGCCCCCTGCTACTCTGTGGCCTCCACTTCAGCCCCACTGTCCACCAGCAGATCCAGGCACTTGGGGCTTTGGGCTTGGGCCGCCAGGTGTACTGCAAAGTCAGGCATGTGCAACAGCCGAGGCACAGCGGGAGCTCCACTCCAAAGCAGTGCATGCAGCAGCTCAGAGGCACCAGGGCCTGCCTGCAGTGCCAGGTGCATGGCTGAGTCTCCATGCCAATCAGCAGTGCTGGGTCTGCATCCACCTGAAGCAGAAAGCTCACCACCCTCATCTGCCTGGTGATCACTGCCAGGTGCAGGGGTGTCTGGTGCAGGTGGTTGGTGAGGTTGACGATGCCAAGGTGCTGGGTGTGGTAGATGACATGGGCTATGTGCTTGATGACCCTGGTCGGCCCATGGATGATGGACAGGTATAGTGGCGTGTCTCTGTTCTCGTCCTGCTCCAGCAGGTGGCATTGTCCCGCCAGCAGTGTGCTGGCGTCCGTGGTGACACCATAGTTGAGTAGGGCCTGGGCGCTGCGCTGTGCCGTGCCACACCAGGCTGAAGAGCGTTGTACTCTCGGGCTCACTGCAGCATCTCCAGGGCCTGCAGCTGGCACTGGGGAGGGGTCCTGGAGGGGGCTAGGGCTATGGCCGTGCGGGGCCAAGGCTAGGGCTAGGGCCAGGTCTGCACTAGGGCCAGTGTGAGGGCCAAAGCAGGATCAGGGCAGAGCCAAAGGCAGGGCAGGGCAGGGCAGGGTAGAACAGGCCCAGGGTAGCACAGGGCAAAGTTAGGGCAGAACCAACCAAGGCAGATCTATGGCTCTGCGGCTTCCTCCTGAGTCCCTGCCGGGCACTAAAAGCCTGGCTCTTTTTTTTTTTTTTTCCAGACGGAGTCTCGCTTTGTCACCCAGGCTGGAGTGCAGTGGCGTGATCTCGGTTCCCTGCAAGCTCCGCCTCCCAGGTTCACGCCATTCTCCTGCCTCAGCCTCCCAAGTAGCTGGGACTACAGGCGCCCGGCACCACGACCGGCTAATTTTTTGTATTTTTAGTAGAGACGGGGTTTCACCGTGTTAGCCAGGATGGTCTCGATCTTTTGACCTCGTGATCCGCCTGCCTCGGCCTCCCAAAGTGCTGGAATCACAGGCGTGAGCCAGCCAGCAGGCGGCGCTCGCGAGAGTGCGCAGCTCCCGCGAAGGGCCTCGCGGGCAGGCTGAGGTGCGCATGTGCCCTGGTGCCTAAGGGTTCTGGCCGGGGAGGCGGGGGGCGGTGGGAGGTGGGGGGAGGGCGGGTGCGCCACCACGTGGCGCCCGCGAATGGAGGGCGCGAGGCTCAGGGCTGTTTCTCCGCGGATGGCCTCGTGGGCCGGCTGAGGTGCACATGCGCGCTGGTGCCTAACGGCTCTGCTGGGCTAGGTGCTCCTCCGAGCAGCTGGAGACTGGAGTGTCCCTGACGGAGGTTGCGGCTGGACCTGGTTACGTGCTGGTGCTGCGCTCCAGAGAGGCAGAAAACGAGTGGGAGCTGAGGTGTCTTAAAGCCGTTCCTCAGCCTGGGAGAAGATCTCTGGCTTCAGGATGGAGGTCAGGGGGTCGTTCCTGGCGGCCTGCAGGAGACGCATGGCTACCTGGAGGAAGAATCGTGACAAGGATGGCTTCTCAAATCCCGGGTACCGAGTCCGGCAGAAGGATCTGGGCATGATCCACAAAGCTGCCATCGCAGGTGATGTGAACAAGGTGATGGAGAGCATCTTGCTCAGGCTGAATGACTTGAACGACAGGGACAAGAAGAACAGGTAAGGGGAACAGGAAGCCGGGAGGAGGCCTGGGGATATGGGAGAAGCCCCTGTTCCTGGTTTCGGGGTAGGGGAGATACGGTGTGGGGTGAAGGCGTGGGTGGGGTGGAAGTCAGGTGAGGGTGGGTGGGGTGGGGGACTGTGGTGGGGAGTGGCTGGGGGGCGTTGGATGTGATGGGGGACTGTGGTGGGGGTAGAGTTGGGTGGGGGACTGTGGTAGGAAGTGGAGTTGGGTGGGGGTTGGAAGGGGTGGAGGACTGTGGTGGGGGGTGGGATGGGTTGGGGGACTGGTGGGGAGTGGCTGGGGGGCGTTGGATGTGATGGGGGACTGTGGTGGGGGTAGAGTTGGGTGAGGGACTGTGGTGGGGAGTGGAGTGAGGGTGGGTTGGGGTGGAGGACTGGTGGGGGGTGGGATGGGGTGGGGGACTGTGGTGGGGAGTGGCTGGGGGCGTTGGATGTTGGGGGGACTGTGGTGGGGGTAGAGTTGGGTGGGAGACTGGTGGGAAGTGGAGTTGGGTGGGGGTTGGATGGAGTGCAGGACTGGTGTGGGGGTGGGTGGGGTTGGGGACTGTGGTGGGGGGTAGAGTTGGGTGAGGGACTGTGGTGGGGAGTCGAGTGGAGTGAGGGTTGGCTGGGGTGGGGGTTGGATGGAGTGAGGGGACTGGTTGGGGGTAGAGTTGGGTAGGATGTGGGTACGATGCAAGGGTGGGGGTGGGGGTGGGGTGAGTGTTGTCACCAAGGGCACTGGGCTTTCTACCCTGGCAGCCTCAGCAGCACCTGGGATGTGGAAACCTTGCCTTTCTTCACAAGAAAAGTAACTATTTGTTCTGAAGGCAGAGGGATAACATACTATTGGATGTTTACAATTGCATGCGTCGTTGTATGTTTTGGGACTGTGCACTACAATTGCCTAAAGCGACCTCTCATTCTCACAGGACTGCTCTACTTTTGGCGTGTGCCCATGGCCGTCCAGGAGTGGTAGCTGACCTGGTGGCCAGAAAATGCCAGCTTAACCTCACTGACAGTGAAAACAGGACAGCTCTGATCAAGGTATATGGTAGCCAACTCTTTCAGCATGGGATGGATTTAATTTAAATTCACAGAATAAAATTAATTCACCTCATTGAAATGTGACTAGTTGGTGAATCCTGTGGAAGATTTCCTAGAATTTACAGTCTATTTCTTGGTCTAATACTGACAGGCTGTACAATGTCAAGAAGAAGTTTGTGCATCCATCCTGCTGGAACATGGCGCCAACCCAAATGTTAGAGATATGTATGGCAACACTGCTCTGCACTATGCCATTGATAATGAGAATATATCAATGGCAAGAAAACTGCTTGCATATGGTGCAGATATTGAAGCAAGAAGCCAGGTATGATCAACCAATGTTCTTTTCAAAGTATTTCAAGTATATTTGTTTTACCATTGACATATGATTTTTTTTAGTAAAACATCTGAAACTAGAAGGAAATATATTACGTGCAAATATTTGCTTTACATACAACTATTTAAAAATACATTCATAACAAATATGAAAACACGAGGTCTGTAGTCTAAATGTGTCCCATAGATTTAGGTTAGTTTACCTCCATAAGCTGTGTCAACATGTAAAATTTAGGAAACTCATACACATGTCTAGATTTCAGGCTTCTCTTAAAGGATCACATCTGGATTCCCTTGAGCTCATATCACTGTTGAGTATGCTGTGCAGCGGTTATCCCTTTATGTGAGGCATATGTGCTCCAGTCTGCTACTGTGCCTTCCAGACACCCTAGGAGGGGTATCTGAAAGGGAAGGAGCAACATGTGGGCAAGCACAGTGGAGTGAGAAGGAAGGGATTGCTTTTTATTTACTTTCTGCTTCATGTTTAAGTTCATAGGATCTTAACATAAGGTTTTCAGTTCAGTTGGGAAGTATGTAATTTTGTGAATTATAAATTGTTTTTGCTGTTTTGCAGGATGGACATACATCACTTTTACTCGCTGTAAATAGGAAAAAAGAGCAAATGGTGGCATTTTTGTTGAAGAAAAAACCAGATTTAACTGCAATAGATAATTTTGGAAGGTACAGTAGTTCTTTTTTTGTTCATTTTTAAACCTGAGTGGTGTTCTAGAGTGGTAACAGTCACTTGTCAGAAATATTAAATTGATAAGATTAACTTATTATTATTGGGATAGAGAGAAATACCAGCAGAAGTCATCAGGTAGAAAAACAATTATTTGGACTGGGCAACATAAAAAATAGTGTATTGCAGGATTTGTCTTCTCTTATTATATTGACTGATGTTTGTTGATGGATGAGGTGATACTTTGAGTCATATGATCTTAACTAAAGGGATGTCATATTGGTTTTACTTGTTTTAAAAGTGTAGACTTCAACTTTTAGTTTACTTTGTGACTCAATATTGAAATTTCTTAACTCTTTTATAGTAGTTTCAACCTCTGCTTCTTACATGCTTTTCCTTTAAAAATACTTTGTTAAAGATAAATTAGAGTTGAAAATCATTTTGTGTTTTGGATGACTCTTTGCTTTAGCTTGCTTTCTCTCAAAAATATTAATGTTAGGTTATTCCTAAGTGACTATTAATTGCTATTGCCAGATACTGTGGGTTCATTGGGTTTTTTCTTCTTTTTACTTCTAGTGTATTTTGGTGTTATTTTTAATTAGTATGGGCAGAGGGAAAAAAGCTAGCTTCAACTGGGTGAACTTTTAATGACTACAAGCCATGGGTGACAATGAGAAAAAAGAGATCGGCTATAGATTCACACAAGACTGGGTTTAATTCTTAGCTTTTCTGCTTACTAGATGTGTGACCTTGGGAACATTACTTATCACCAAGTGTTTTCCTTTATGAAACAAGAGGATAATAATATATCCTTCCAGGGTGGTTGTGTATAAGTAATATATGTATATATGGCATTTAATCCAGTGCCTCGCATATGATTATCAGCATTCTTAACTGAAACTACTGTGGCTATTATTAGCATTATTATTATTGTTTTAAACCTGCAGATAGCTCTTATTGACCCCACGCTCATTTTGAATTACAATATATTATATCAGACTAGGGAAGAAATGGATAATTTTTCACTTAAATTTTTAGCTACTTTAGATAAGTGACCTGAGCATAGTATTCTGCCCATCAAAGGACTTTATTTTATCAACTTCTGCTATGTCATATCCCAGTGGGACAAGAGGCTTCCTTGTTGTTCCTTCTGTTTGGCTTTGGTGGCAATTTACAAAGATGAACCCTTGAGCACCCAAGATGTTTGTGTTTATTAGTACATGTAATTGGTTAATTCTACATGGACAGGCATATTAAATTGGTAAAGTTTATAAATTTAGCTTTTAACATAGCTTTGCTAAAGTTCCTAAGCATGAAATTATCTTTCTTATTTTAGAACAGCCCTGATACTTGCTGCTCGTAATGGATCAACAAGTGTAGTCTACCAGCTTCTTCAGCACAATATTGATGTCTTTTGCCAAGATATATCTGGATGGACTGCAGAAGACTACGCTGTTGCTTCTAAGTTTCAAGCGTAAGTGTTAAAAAGGCTAGTGAACACTAAATTGAGGTTTAAAGTCATTGTAACCATTGCATCTTATATATCAAGTGAGATTTCATAGTTTGGTTCAGGTAGTTTTGGAGTGGCAGTGAGTTAGTCCACTTCATCAGCCAGAAATCAAGCATAAGACTAGACAAGTTAGAAGTAGCAATGAGTGTAGGATTCTTTAACTCAAGTCTCTTAAGACTTCTATGCTTAGTTATTCTGTGAGTCCCTTGTTTGTCTTCTCTCTAGCAAATATTAGTTGGGATAGTTCTAACCTGTTAGAGATGTTCAGATAGTGTTGCAGGAAGATATCAAAGTTTTTTCTTCTTTGTTACCAGATTTTTTACCCCAAGCCCCTTTATATCTTATGTAGCAGCTTTTCTTAGATAGAGGAGGGTCCCATGTTGTCCGCAGTGGGCTCCAACTTGTGGTTGGCCCCTCGAGTGATCTGTTTTCCATAATAATAAAAATCTCCCAGCCCACTTGCTTCTCCACCTCAAGTTTTTAAAATATCTTCAAATATTACCTCATAGGAAGCCATTAGTCAGAATTATCTGTCTCAAGTAGGTGAGTTGGACTGAACAGAGCCAAGCTTCATCCATGACTGATCAGCATCCATTTATAAAAGTAGAGCTTTGTGCTTGCTTCGCGGCACATATGCTAAAGTTGGACCAATACAGAGAAAATTAGCATGGCCCCTGCATAAGCATGTCACACTAATCTGTGAAGCAGTCCATATTTTACACAGTTACAAGAAGGCCATTTGACTAGTTTGCTGACAAGTTCCCGGAAAACAGTGTGAGTCAAAGCAAAACAGGTGCTAGCCAATAATGAAATTACACATTTTCATTACAAAAACATTGGAGTAAGGTATCTATGAAATGAGAATGGCGCTGAGTAAACTCGTGGTGTGTTGTGTGCAAATATATTGTTAGTATGTATCTCAGAAATGAAAAAATAACCACTTGCATCTCCTTCATGACCCTTCAAAAATATGAGGGTTTTTGTCTTCCATGTCAGTTGGGGATGACCATGGAGAGGAAGCATCATTCTAACAAAGATCTGCCAGTTCAGAGTTAGAGTCTATAGAGGAAAAATAGTAGTAGTCCAAGCCAGGTCTTGACATCTGTTAGCTTTCTGCCTTTGGTGTGATTGATGACATAAGTAACAATGGATAATCATGTTATCTATTTTAATGAGACAATCTATTTATCAATTTAGTTACAAACTGTGAAATAGTTGAGATGTCCTGAATCATAAGCTACAAATAATAGAACAAGTAACAAGCAAAATTAGGACTTAACAACATTTTCAAAAGATCATAACATTTTAATATTAGAACATATGTGAAAATACACATTGGGTTTCATTTGGGATTCCAAAATAATTTCAGCAAAAAAGTTCAAGAACAAATTATTCCATTGCTTTACTATTTCTCTGAGCACCTTAAAATGTGGTTTCATTAAACATTTATAATAACCTAGTGAATAAGGTAGTAAAACCTTCATTCTTTAGAAGAAGACATTGAGCCTAAGAGAAGAGACTTGTTCAAGAACAAATACCCATTGGTCCTATTATGAGTCAGATCATTTTCCATTATGTCAACTTCACATGAGTTAATTTACTGAGTTATACTGTCCTCACTTCATACTTTTTTCTTCTTTAATTAGAAGCTTAATAAGAGTTTTGTAGAGCTTACAAACTAAAAGTGTATAATTAAAGTTCTGATATTGTTTGATATACTCTTAAGAATTTAATGTATTTGGTAAAGTTTTTCATATCAGTATTAAAATAGTAATTGTATTTACTGCATTTTGATACATAGCATTCGTGGAATGATTTCTGAATATAAAGCAAACAAGAGATGTAAAAGTCTTCAAAATAGCAATTCAGGTATGACTTCTGATAGTGAATTCCTCTCGATGGTCCTGTCATAGATAAAAAAGTAAGAGGAAGGAAGTTTTGATCACAAAACAGCAGTTTAAAAAAACCACTGTAAATTGAATGTATATTTTTTAATTACTTTCTTAGTAATCTAGATTTCAGAATTATTTAAAAAGTTACTTGTAGGCAAGTTATAATCTCAAGCAGTATTATCTGAAAAAAACTCATTATCGTAGTTTCTGAAATTCTAGATGATATTTTTGTGTAAATAAGAAAAAAGATTAAGTTAGTATGTGGTATGTTTTCTTTATAGTCACCTTATGATGAATTGGATTTGTTATAACATTGGATATTTTAATTTATAAAACAAATGCTTTGCATTTAGTAAATACATATTACAGCTGAGCCTTGAGTAGTGTGGGATTTAGGGGTACCAGTCCCCCATTCAGTTTGAAATCTGTATATAACTCTGGACTCCCCCCTAAAACTTAACTACTCATGACTTATTGTTGACTAGAAACCTTATTGATTATACAGTTAATTAAGACATATTAGTTATATGTATTATATACTGTATTGTTACTACAATAAAGTAAACTAGAGAAGAAGAAACTTATAAAGAAATTCATAATGAAGAAAGAATATATTTTTATTCAGTGGAAAGTGGATCATCATAAAGCTCTTCATCCTCAGAGTCTTCAAGTTGGCTAGGCTGAGGAGGAGTAGGAGGTAGAGGGAGATTGATCTTGCCATCTCAGGTGGCAGAGGCAGAAGAAAGTCTGCAGATGAGCGGGCCCTTGCAGTTCAAACCTGTGTTGTTCAGAGATTAACTCTGACATGGTGATTTGTGTCACTTAAAAAGTAACTGTCTTTAAAATAAGAATTTCAATGAGACCTTTCTGGTACCATGAACAAACATCAATAAGAACTGTACCAATACCAATAGGATGTTATTTTTTAAAGATACCTACTGTGTAGAGAAGTCAGAAAATAAATTCCTTATTGAGAAGCACAGGCCGTGTTACATATTCTCATACCAAGAATGTCTCACTAGTATTGACTTAATTCCCCCCAAGTGGAAATAAAATGAGATATATTTACTTCGTTAGGGTGAGATTTGTTCTATCTGCTAGTTAATTGTCATGATAATATCAATTT
Source organism: Homo sapiens (assembly GCF_000001405.40). Classification (NCBI taxonomy): domain Eukaryota; kingdom Metazoa; phylum Chordata; class Mammalia; order Primates; family Hominidae; genus Homo; species Homo sapiens. Next base: position 12,100,832 of record NC_000018.10, read on the forward strand.
TGTTAGAAGAAGACACTCTGTTACCATTAGCTAAAATATTATTATAATAATATTCGAATAGCCCAACTCTAGGCTCAGCACATTATAGTAAAAGTACAGCAACCATTACCAGAACAGACCGGGGGCTGCCTCTTTGAAGTAGGACACATGCTGTGCCACACAGCCCCACAACTTAAAAATACATGTAGGATAATGGTATAATTAAGTATGATGTGTTGCATTAAAAATATGCCACAGCACTCTCCCATAAGCTTTGACATTTATCCTCTCAGGATCATGATTTGCTATTCTTAACTGAAAAACACTTTTTTTTTGCAAGCCATTAGGTTCATTTTGGAATGTGTGTACTTTTCTTTTTTTTAATTATACAACATTTTATTTAAAAACAATTCATAGAATACATTTTCACATTAGAGATTCCCATAGTGGGAAAATAGCAATGTATTACTTATAGTTTCATATTCATGGACAGATTGTTTCAGAACAAGTAAAACACATTTGAGACTTGAGTCTCAGTTTAGAATTTGTAATATTTTGATATGTCTACAAGGGGAACCTTGCCCTTAAATGGAACTTCTCTATATTCAGAAGCACTCCAAGCTTTTCTTCCTAAGATTTAGAAATTCATAATGTGAGATATCAGCATTTCCTAATTTTAAAATTTCCCCAGTATATGTAACCATCAGTAGGTGGTATCTACTGAATAGAGAGGGAAGTTTTCAAAAACTGAACACTCTCTAATTTTCTGCGATGTTTTTATTCATGAATTAACAGTATTTCCCTTTGTCCATCATTCCCAGGGCAAAAACAGAAATTTGATCATATATTAATAGTAATAAAGCTGGATTCTCTTTAAGAGATTGATAAAAGGCAAAAGCTCGTATCATGTTTAGTTATACTGTGACTCTTATGAGAAGCTGGGAGGCAACCCCATTAACTCACCGCAATACAAAACTCAGTCTCACAATTTCTTAGTCGTAATTCCTCTCAAACCTTTTCCTCAAATATTAAATTTGGAAAACAATCTTGTGATTAAGAGAAGAAGGCTGTCCACCAATGGACTTACCCTGTTATTTCTTCCTTATTGTGAGTTGAATGGCATGACAAAGCAGAGGCAAAGAGGCATACATCAGTTCTTCAAAGTATTAAGTCAGAAAGGTCAGAGCTTCCACAGCGTGGCAACAGCTTTGCAGATGCCCACATCATGGTAGTTGAAATAGCAAAGCCCAGCAAAGGTTAAAGCTGAAAGTGCCAGAAGCTCTGCCTTGGGAGCTTTCTGCAAGGCATCCCCATGAACATAGTCAGTAACAACTTGTCCAAGGCCCGAGTAACTATGAAGAGTGAGGGTTGCAGCAAGGAGTAGAGTCCGTCACAGAGCCAAGGATTCAAATAAGCAGCTGGAAGCAGGCCCAGGAGCAAAACACTGACGACCCTCTCACTAGTCCAGTGGAGAGACGCAACCTGGGAACCAGAATGGTGGCTTGGTGACAAGCCAATGTACTCACTCCACACCATTCGGGGGTAGGTCGGTTCTGAAGTAATGCTGAGATAGGAGCAGGTGTGACCACTGGGGTTCGCAGCAACAGAGCTCAGCCTCCTTGGGCACCGCGAAGGGTACTCAGTCTCCAGAGAACCGCCATCTCATTCCTGAAAACTCAAGGTCATCCACCAACCCCCACTTTGTATTTTAGTTATAGTCGGTTAAAACATAAACTCGCTTTTGAAACCTTAACTGCATGTTTTATGAAACCTGTATTATATAAAACTGTTTGTCTGGGGAAAGAGCCAGAATCAGAGAAGAGTTTACACAGCTGTTGAAAAATGAAATTTGTCAGAATAGTAGAGGAAGACATTTCAGATATAATGAACGGGGTGTATATGGATGAAGGTATAAGCAGTAACAGTCATATTGGAAGTTACTCATAATAAGAAGCAGGTTTAGTGTGTTATTATAAAGGTAATATTAGGAAGTAAAGAACAATATGTAGTGTTAGTTTATCTGTTAATACTGGATTTTCAAATTTTGTTTTTCTGATGGTTTTGTTCATTTATATTGTTGGGTGGATTCATTTGTGAGCGAATCTTTGAGATGTTGGTCTATGGCTTGAATCTGGTGACATCTGGTGTCTTGCCAAGTAGTTTGTTGAAGTTTTGGAGAACTAGAAGTAATTCTTAAGAAGTAGATATATCGCTAAAGATTAAGCTTCATTAAAATTCTCAATTTATAGAAGAAAAATATGTTATTTTCTATTTTTATAAAGACTAAAGTTTTTATCTAATTGTTCTAAGTAGTTCATTTTAACTAAATATATGGATTTGTGAGCAGAACAAGACTTAGAAATGACATCAGAGGGAGAGCAAGAAAGGCTTGAAGGATGTGAAAGTAGCCAGCCACAGGTATGTAAAAATTTAATTTCAAATTTCTGGTTTTCTTTGGTAATGTAGCATAATCCAAATGAAATTACTTTTGGACTAGCCTTTTAGAATCAATTGAATGTAATTTAATAGTTAATTTTAATAACATTTTAACTGTTTATAAAATTTAAAGTGTTCTAAGAATCTACAGTGATTTTACAGCTAATATTACCCTTGGAACTGAGGCAAAAAGTTCCTGAGTATTGTTTGCTGTTCCATTTTTATAACCTAATGTAATAAAGAAAGTAATATCAAATATTGAATTATAATTTTAAGCAATAAAAATTATGAATAATTTAACAATGGTGGCTGCTGATTTGGATTCCTGTTAAAGAAGTAATCATTGCCAATGGTCCAAAATTTGCAGTTTTATATTACTGGTGACTAATACCAAGATTAAAAATGTATTCTCCATTGTGATCTCTTACTAATTTCAATATCTATGTTCAGGGCAGAATGGGGTCATAAAATCAACCCAACTCTACCTATCAAGAGAATCAGACCTTGCAAAATGGCACTTTTGGTGTTTGGGTTCAAGCAAAAATGTTCCCAATTTATTTCAACATAGGAAATCTGCAAATATTGTTAAATTTTTAAAATCAACTGTCATTTGTGGACCTGAAAATTTATTAGAACTTGACTTAAGCCTATAGTTTATATAGCTATATAACACTATCATATTACAGTATATAATTTGAATTAAAATGTAAGAATTTGCTTTTCTTTTGATTGGGGTTGATTTTGACTCCTAATAATTTTAAGTTTGCCTACTCACCGGTTAGTAATCTTTGGAAAAAAACACTCAAATGTGCACTATTGGGTATCAGTATTTCCAGTACAGTGAGATAAAATCTTGTTAAGTGAAGATGCCTTTGTACTCCTAAAAATGATCTCTTATTTTCATTTTTGGTAAATCTATCACACAATGAATTAATGTTACTCCAGACACTGTCAAAGTAAAGTTTGATAGTTTGTGTTTTTCTTATATTTTAGGCTTATGCAAACTATTTTTCACTTTTTGGTTACAAGACAGTAATTTGGGATTAGGTAAACATAGATTAAGAAATTTAACAGTTAAATTTTCATTTTTTCATACTTCATTATTTAAAGACAAAGTTATCCTTAAAACATATACCCTGACAGAAAAGACATCTGACAAACAAAACTCATAATCTTCCACTTTCACATCTGCAAAAAATGTCTCAACAAACAGAAGTGAACAAGTATTGTAATAGCATATATCTGTATATACAAGACTCCCTTATGTGCAAAAGTATGAGGAAAACGTGGATCAAACAAGACAAATGAGGTGGAAAAAAACTTTAAAACTCATCAAAATTGAGTTAAAGCAGAATTTGGGTGAAATTTGTGAAGAATACAAAACTGCTGCCTCGTTTTTAGGAAGAGACACTCCATGATAACTCTACAGGAATAGCAAACTTAAAGAAAATACCCTCAAATTTGACAAATAATGCACCTGATTGTCAGGAAAAGATGTATCTAGAGTGTTCATCTAATATGTATTCCTAATATTTCCTGTTTAAAAATAGTGCAGCCTCATAAATGTCTTTTGATCTCATTTATACTCTTGGCCTCCAGAATTTGCTTGCCAGTCATCTTCTGATTTTTATTTAAATGAAAATAAAGTATACTGTGAAAATAGTAACAGACCAGACACAGAACATGCTTTTAACATAGACTGGGAGAATTTTATAATGACACAAAAAGTACAAAAGCAAGGAACCCAGAAGTAGTTACAATTGAAATAAAAGAAGACCAAGAGTGTTATAGGTACATGATGAAAAAATCACCAACATAACATTAATTGCAAATTGGACATCAGAAATGTGCCTCAGTTTAGTGATCCAACAAGCCTTTTAGATTTGTGGCTTACCTGCTCCAGAGAAATTAAGTATGTGAGAAAAAGAAAAAGCGTAGTGTTTCTGTTGTTACAGACACTTAATAAGAATACAAAACCAATTCAAAACTTGTTCCACAAACCATTATATCATAATTACAGTACAAATAACTATAAAAGAATAGAACTTGGATTAGAAAATGTGCATTCTTCTCCACCACACAGTGACAGAGCATTAAAAGTACATCTAGAAGAATAGTTACAGCACAATATACAAAGACTTAAGAATGAGGCACGCATATTACAACTAGAGTTCCAGCCCTTGTGGCTGCTTTCATGGTCTGATGTTGAGTGCCTGCAGCTTTTCCAGGTGCACAGTATGAGCTGTCAGTGGATCTACCTTTTTGGGGTCTGGAAGATGGTCACTCTCTTCTCACAGCTCTTCTTAGAAAGAAAAAAGAAAAGTTCAGAAAGATTTACAGGGCCACTTGCTGCCACTCGTTTTTTTTCTCTTGACCAATTATTTGGTGCATTCTAATTTTTTTTACTTATGAAAAGCTCTTACATAAAATCGGGTTATCTATATACATAATTGTGCATAGAAATAGGCTGTTTCTCAATTTAAATGATAGGAGATCAGGAAAACATTCTATAATCTTCATTACTTGATCAACCCAAGTCTGTCTGTCCATTTTACAAGTGGCATAGGGACTGGGAAAAAAATCTATTCATATATCATGGATATAGACACTTGTAAACTAGGGTTAGCCTATAGGAAATTGCTTAAAAATTTAATAAGCTCTAGGGTTTAATTTTTCCCTATTGACTTAAAGATGAATTGCACTTACTTAAAGTGGGAAATCAATGGGAAGGAAGCAATGACTGAGAAGTGCTATAAAAATGTGTCTGTCCTTGAGAGTTGGAACAAATATTCATGGGCAAAGGAATCTGTATGTTGTGCTTTCAGGTGTGCAAATTGATCCATTTAACTCAATATGTTAAGGCTTACAATTTCATCATGACAACCTTAAGTATATTTGAAAACAAATGTATATAGATATCTCCACCTATTTTTTAATCACAACTTCCGCATGTTTCTGTCAAAGCAGATCTTAATGTGATTTTGTTTAATAGAGCATAAGTTTTAGCATGTATAACTTTATTATGTCAGTACCATGGATTCTCAGCCCAAAATTTAGTATTTGACTCCAAAGTAGCAACATGATTTCGGTACATCGAGTTTTAAAGATAGACAAAAATCTGGTGATGTTCATCTTAAAAAGTAAAAGTAGATGAGGCCTCTCAGCCCCTTCTGAGGCATTATGTTACTTTCCCAGAGTTACACTTTTAATTCTTCTGATTAATTTGATGAATTTATCGGTAATTTATCTGATTCAGCCTTATGAAACAGTATTATCAGGTTTTGTGCAATAAAATGCTGGAAAATGCCAGGGGATTTAGATGAATCATTTAATCTTTTTTGATAATGGGGCCAAAGTAGATAATTACTTACACTGTATATCCTCCAGCTATAAAATGTCATGGTTACTGAATGTGAAATTGGGGAAGCATCTCATTTTCCAGAACTCTAAAGTAGCATCTCAGCAGTTTCACTCTGCTTTTGTGGTTTCAAATTTTGGTTCTTGTATTTCAGCAAGCACCTTCACATTTTCAGTATCCTAGGATCCAAAGGGAGAAAGTAAAATAAAAGACAGTGGGAAAAGAAAGCTTACCGTAGAAAGGGGAAAGCTTCCTTTCTGTTCTTGAAGCCCCACAATATCACATCCTCTAAATCTGGCCGTTTAGTGTAAACTCCAGGAGGTAAAGATAGAAGAGGACAGATTTGATGGCTTCGTCTTTTTATTTCTCTATTTCTGCTCATCACAAGGGCACCGGGGGTGAAAATGTATATTAGACAGCAATGGGAATAAAAGCACAAATTTGGAATGGGCCCATTTTGAAAGTTTTGAAAATTTTATTCACTCAAACAGAAATAAATCAGACTTTATATGAATTTCAATAAAAATTATAATATAATTATATATAATGAAAAAGTAAGCACAAGGTATTTTATCATGTCATGACTAATATGACAGACTGAGTCAAGTGATTAAATGAATGAACACAAAAAAGTTCTTTCTATTGGATAAAATAATGACAATTATTCTCAGTATGAAACTTTCATTGAAGGTTGAAGAAAAAATGAAGAAATGCAGAAATAAGAAAATGGAAGTGTCAAGAAACGTACATGCTGATGACAGTGACAATTATAATGATGATGTTGATGAATTAATTCACAAAATAAAGAACAGAAAACCTGATAATCATCAATCTCCTGGGAAGGAGAATGGCGAGTTTGATAGGTAATCCTGTAGCGATAGTTAACAGCGGATCACTGTTAATTGTACTATAAAATGAATTCTAATTTGGGTTAATATGTACGATTAACAAATTTTATACTTTTATGAGGAATATTCTGCCTTGCCTGGTAATCATAAAATGCAAATTAACAAGCAATGAGATATGGTCTTTCCAATCATATTGATGTTTTATTTAAAAAGTAACTAGACAAATGTGAAGAAAGACATCCTCTTATACACTGTTGCTAAATGAAATTGGTAAATCTTTATTGAAGGGTAGTTCAGTAGCATGCATCACAATTTTAAATATATCATTTCGTTAACCTGACAGCTTTACTTCTGGGACTAGATTCTACAGGAAAATATGAGTTTACACATACACACAAGCAGTTGAGGTCATTAATTGTATATTTATTATACATATGATGTAGAAGATATCTTGTATATCATATATATAACATGCAATAGGCCAACATATATATGCATGTGTAGTTATTTCTTTATATGAAATTGTTGCGTGCATACATATATATGGTAAGAACTTTCATTATAGCATTGTCATATCAAAATGTTTGAGATTGTGTAAAAGTCTGTTAATTAAAGGAAATAAGTAGTCACACCCATAAAATAATGTACTATGCAACCCTCTTATAAAAATGAAGTTGCATTTATAGTGTAGTGATTATTTCACCAGTAAAGTATCTTTAAAGCATTGGGTTTGATAACACATCTTGTATTAGTCTATTTTCATACTGCTGTAAAGACACTACCTGACACTGGGTAATTTATAAACAAAAGAAGTTTAATTGACTCACAGTTCCTCCTGGCTGGGGAAGCCTCAGGAAATTTACAATCATGACAGAAGGCAAAGGAGAAGCAAGCACCTTCTTCACAAGGCGGTAGGAGAGAGTGAGAGCAAGGAAGTGCCACACTTTAAAAACATTAGCTCTTGTGAGAACTCACTCACTATCACAAGAACAGCATGGGGGAAACAGCCTCCATGATCAAGTCACTTCCCACCAGGTCTCTCTTCTGACAGGTAGGGATTATGATTTGAGATGAGATTTTGGTGGGGACACAGCACCAAACCATATTATTCCACCCTGGCCCCTTTCAAATCTCATGTCCTTTTCACATTTCAAAACCAATACTGCCTTCCCAACAGTGCCCCCAATGTCTTAACTCAGTCAAGCTTTAACCCAAAAGTCCAAGTTCAATGTCTCATCCAAGACAAGGATGTGAGCCTGTGAAATCAAAAATTAGTTAGTTAGTTCTAAGATACAGTGGGGGTACATGCATTGGGTGAATGTTCCCATTCCAAATGGGAGAAATTAGCCAAAAGAAAGGTGCCATGGGCCCCATGCAAGTCTGAAACTCTACTTGGCAGTCATTAAATCTTAAAGCTCCTAAATGATCTCCTTTGACTCCATTTCTCACATCCAGGGCACACTGATGCAAAATGTGGGCTCCCATGGCCTTGGGCAGCTCTGCCCCTGTGGCTCTGCAGGGTTCAGCCCTTGTGGCTGCTTTCACAGTCTGATGTTGAGTGCCTGCAGCTTTTCCAGGTGCACAGTATGAGCTGTCAGTGGATCTACCTTTCTGGGGTCTGGAAGATGGTCACCATCTTCTCACAGCTCTTCGAAGCAGTGCCCCATTGGCAACTCTTTTTGGGGGCTCCAACTCCACATTTCCCTTCTGCACTGCCCTAGCAGAGGTTCTTCATGAGGGCTCTGCCCCTGCAGCAGACTTTTGCTTGGACATCTAGGCATTTCCATACATCCTCTGAAATCTAGGCAAAGGTTCCCAAACCTCACCTCTTGTGTTCTGTGCACCTGTAGGCCCAACACCACATGGATGCTGCCAAGGCATGGGTTTTTCACTCTCTAAAGCAACAGCCTGAGCTGTGCCTTGGCCCTTTTTATCATGGCTGGAGCTGGACCAGCTGGGATGCAGGGTGCCATGTCCCGGGTCTGCACAGAGCAGTGGGGCCCTAGCAAATTTTGTCGGAATACAATACTGTATGATCTTAATACTTGTAGTGTTTACTGAGTTAGAAAAGGAAGCTACATGCTATGTTGGCACTTTACTTTGTTACCAACATAATCGTTAGTTATAAAATTGTTGTTTTTCTCAATGCAAAAGTGCTCAAATATTGGACCTTTATAATAATCTGAATATTGCCAAGGGATTGTACATGGGGATCCATATTTTATATAAATATTTACAATATTGCTAAACGTTATCGAAGTATATCAAAGGACCTTTGATCTACCAAGCCAGGAGTTGGCCAACTTTTTATGTAAAGAACCAGATAGTAACAATTTTAGGCTTTATGGACCAGAGGGTCTGTGTTGTTGTAGTCCAACATCTTTCATAGACAATAAATGAATAGGTGTCACTCTGTCACTCGATAAATGAATTACTGTCATTCAATAAATGAATAGGTTTCGTTGTCATTCAATAAAAGAATAGGTTTCACTGTTACCAAAAAAAAAAAAAAAAAAAAACAGACAGACAGGTAGTAGGCTGAATTTGGCACACACTATTAATTTGCTGACCTGTGTGCTTAAAACCAAGGTGCTGCCAATGCAGTGTATTTCCTGTTTAGAGGCACTCTCAATGCATGTCTTTAGTCTTCCTTTGAAAAGTATGCACCACACCATATTTTTCATTAGTGACTTCATATTGTATAATTTACAAAAATTAAGTTTACGAAATAAGATATTTTTGCATTGTCACTTTTTATTCTTGTTACAGAATTGAGTATTTTAGTATGACTAATTGTTTTGTGTATTTGATGAGTATAAAATGTCTCAGAGTTGGGTGAGTTTTCTCAAGTAAGAAATACTGTCCTTGAAATCATTAGTCTTTCTATGGTCTTTATA